>NC_000023.11:20622336-20925366 GCF_000001405.40 Homo sapiens
GACCACCTCAACATTTAACACAGTGATTTGTACATAGCAGGTGATCAGTAAATGTTTGTTAGTTCATTATCTATTTTTTTAATTATTATTATTATTTTTTGGGACGGAATCTCACTCTGTCACCCAGGCTGGAGTGCAGTGGCATGATCTTGGCTCATTGCAACCTCTGCCTCCTGGGTTCAAGTGGTTCTCCTGCCTCAGCCTCCCGAGTAGCTGGGATTACAGGCGTAAGCCACGACACCCAGCTAATTTTTGTATTTGTAGTAGAGACGGGGTTTCACCATGTTGGTCAGGCTGGTCTTGAACTCCTGACCTCAAGTGATCCACCAGCCTTGGCCTCCCAAAGTGCTGGGATTACCGGCATGAACCACTGTGCCCCCCAACTGTTATCGCTTTAAAATAGGACCATGTTTAAATCTTCTCAGACAACTCCAAACTTGTCCCAGTTTCAAAGTAATATACACTCTTTTTAATATAAGGAGTGCATTCTTATCATTGAAAACTTACGAAATAAAAGGAAACCTAAAGAAAAAAATAACAATAACTCATATAACACACTGAGAGATAATTACTATTAAGTTTTTGGTATATATTTCATTTTAATCTTTGCTACCATCCTCCCCTGATCACAAACCCTCACAGATTATAAAGTATATTTAGGTCTGTACCCATGAATTCTGATGACAGGAAACAAGTTCCATGAAATAATAGTTCATCACATAAATACACTTTAATTTTTTTAAACATAGTATTCTATTGTTGAACATACAGACATTTGCCATGAATTAAACAGAATTTAGATAAAAAAATCTTTGGACATAAATCTTGTCCACATTTTTAATATTTTCTATGGGATAAAACTGTAGAAGGAGAATTATCTAGTTAACGTATATAAATATATTTAAGATCTGGATTAATATTGCAACATCATTTTCCAGAGAATTTTTACCACTTGCACTCCCAGCAATATGGAATTTCCCTAACTATTCCTTAATTAGTAACTAGTTTCTTCTTTTTTCCTTTAATTCTTTGGTAAAATGAAAACTTATTGTATCAGTTATCTATTGTTGCAAAACAAACCACTCCAAAGCTTAGTAAATTAAGACAAAGATAATTTATTATTTCTAATGATTCTATGGGCTGGTAATCTGGGGCTAGGTAGTTTTTCTCCTGGTCTCAGATCATTTATGCATCTGAAGTCCTCTGACAACTCAACTGGGGCTGAAGGGGACAAGATGACCTCATTCACATGTCTGTCTGGAAGTTACTTCTGACTGCTAGTTGAGTCACCTTTTTTCCCCCCATCACGGTCTCTCATCCTGAAATACATGTGAGACTGAGCTTCTTCACAGTTTCAAGGTTCCAATGATAAGAGTGAAAGATGCACTGTCTAACCTCCAGAGTAATTTCCACCGCATTCTTTTGGTCAAAGCAAGTCACAAGGCCATCCCAGCTTCAAGGGGTGGGAAAATAGATTGCACCTCTTCATGAACAGAGATCAATGTCATATTACAAAGGAGCATGGACCCAGAGAGGTGTGATTCATTGGGAGTCATTAGTATTACTCTCTATCACATTTATCTAATTTGATTTTACTTTGATTATGAATGAGGTTACTTTTTGGCCATTTGCATTTTTTCTTTTTAAGATTGTCTTTTGACTATTTTTCTATGATGTCTTAAGATTATCTTACCAGTTTTTAAGAATTCATTATATATTATGTATATGAACTTTAGTCTACCATAGTTATTACAAATATTTTTCACAGTCATTTTGTTGATTTACTTTTTAAAAAGAATATAAATGTATTATTACCACTGAACTGTACCCTTAAAAATGATAAAGATGGTACACTTTATATGTATATTTTACCTTAATAAAAATTAAATTAAATATTGCTTTTAAACTTCAGAAACCTTTCTTCAGTAAAAAAATCAGATGCTTATATATAGAAGACTAGCTTTTATATGGCTTGACTGTTTGTGTTTAATTTTTTAATCTATTAAAAATTTATTTTGGCGTGTGATATAGTGATAATTTAATGTGATTTTCTCCATAGATGTTAATTTCTATTTTACACTCCTTAAGAAAAAAATCCATCCTTTCTCAATTGTTTTCTATGCGTATTCAATCATTTGGTAAATATTTTTGCATTCCAGAATTTGTTCCTGTATTATTTTTTCAATTTTATTGCTGTCTTTATAAGGATATTTTATCAATGTCTCATTATTTCAATTGAGATTTATAAATAATTTTAATATCTGGCAGAACAAGCCCACTCTCATTTTTCTTCAATAGTTTTCTTGGTTTGTTTTTTGCCTGTTTATTCTTTCAGATGAACTTTAGAAACATATTATTCAATTAAAATCAATCCCCATGAGATTATGATTGGGATTGCATTACTCCTCATTTGGGAAAAGATTAAGTCTGCCCAACCAGGAGGATGGTATTCAAGTCTTCTTTTAATTCTCTTAATACAGAAATCTGTATCTATACTACACACACACACACACACACACACACACACACACACACATTTATGTATGTATCCCAAACATTTCTTATTATAAGCTATTTCTAGGCTATTTTTAGGGTGTGCTATTGTATCTTCATTATATTTCTAGCTGCTTATTACCTAAACTATTGATTTCTTGATAATTACCCTGCACTCAGCCACTTTTTTGAATGTGTTTATTAATTCTAATAGTTTTCTTATTGATTTTCTTTCCTTATGTGTGCATCTTAATATCTGCAAATAATACAAATTATGTCCTTTGCCTGCCAATAGTCATACTTCTTGTTTTGGTTTAATGTCTTCTTTATTGGCCAGAAATTCCAGAACAATGTTAAAAAGAACTTGTCTGTTTTTTTAAGCAAGAGCAAAGAAATTTTGTAACCAGAAACTCATTCCAATGTTTCAAATTTCATGCTGGAATATGTAACATGTAATATGTTCTGTTTTGCCTTTCTCAATGCCTATCCTGTTGCTTATGTCAGTTTACTAAAGTTTTATTATTCCTCTGAGTATATGGCAAATAATATTCATAAATTCTCTGTGAAAAAGCCCTATAGTTGCATGAGAAGAATAATTAAATATTTCCATAATTTCCCCTTCTTTCTTTTTCCTTTTGCTTTTCCTGTTCATCAAAGCCCCTCATATTTGTGATTTTCCTTGAGTCATTTCCAAATTTTCCATGTATCTGTTTAACTATGGAATGTGGGAATAGGCTAATAGCTTGCGAAGAGGTTGAATCCTGTCACTAACTGGAAGGATTAATCCACAATTCTTACTAGTTACTTACGTGTTTTGTCTGATTTTTAGTGTGCATTGCTCAGCCTTTTGTTATGGAAATTAGGTCCTGATTAGATATAAAATCACATCTCCTGATT
Source organism: Homo sapiens (assembly GCF_000001405.40). Lineage (NCBI taxonomy): Eukaryota > Metazoa > Chordata > Mammalia > Primates > Hominidae > Homo > Homo sapiens. Next base: position 20,625,727 of record NC_000023.11, read on the forward strand.
CAACTGAGATTTACTTCCCAGTGGTGACCAGGCACATTACCAAAAGCCCTCCCTGGAGCTACCGTCCCCCTTCTACCCCACTTATCTATTACTCCTCACAGCAAAACTTCCTGAAAGTTTAGTCTCTCATTGTCTCTGCGTCCTCAATTCACATTCTCTCTTTAACTCATTCCACCATGCCACTGAAACTGCTCTTATGGATCCCATACCCTCCACATTGCTGAACCCAGTGGTCAGTTCTCAGCTCTCTCCCAGGGTTTTAGCAGCATTTGCAAACGTGGTCATTTTTACCTTCTCAATTCTTTCAAGGGTCCACACACTCTTCTGGATTTTGTCCTGTCTCTCAGACTGCTCCCTCTTAGTCTCATTTGTGGGTTCTCTTCCATTTCTTGACTTTTAAAAAAGTCATGGTAAATAGACATAACATAAAATTTGCCATTTTAACAATTTTTTCCCTTTTTATTTTATTATTTTTATTTTTCCATAAGTTATTGGGGGTACAGGTGCTATTTGGTTACATGAGTAAGTTCTTAGTGTGGCCCAAGAGTGTCAATTCCAGTTACTATTACTGTGTAATAAATCACTCCAAAACTTAGTGGCTTAAAATAACACTTTTTAGAAACTCAGGCAGATATTGGCTAGTTGTTTCTTCTGTTCATGATGGAGTCAGTTGAGGTTACTGAGGGGAACTCAGCTGGCTAATCTGGAGGGTCCAAGATAATTTTTTTTTTTTTTTGAGATGGAGTCTTGCTCTGTCACCCAGGCTGGAGTGCAATGGCATGATCTTGGCTCACTCCAACCTCCATCTCCCAGGTTCAAGCAATTCCCCTACCTCAACCTCCTGAGTAGCTGTGACTACAGACACATGCCACCATGCCTGGCTAATTTTTATATTTTTTAGTAGAGACAGGATTTCACTATGTTGGCCAGGGTGGTCTCGATCTCCTGACCTCAAGTGATCCCCACCTCGGTCTCCCAAAGTGCTGGGATTACAGGCGTGAGCCACCACACCTGGCCAGGTCCAAGATAATTCTACTCACATCTGGCTCCTTGGCAGGGTGGCTGGAAGGTTGGGTTCAGCTGAGACACTTGACTGGAGCACCTACAACATGACAGTCTTAAGACAGTTAAACTTATATGGCATCTGGCTTCCCTCAGAGTGAGCACCCAAGAAATCAGGAGGAAGCTTCATGGGCTTTTTATGACCTCGCCTCAGAAGGCATCTAGTGTCACTTCCACAGTACTTTATTTATGGAGGCAGTCAAAAGCCTGCCAGATCCAAGGGGAGGGAACTTAGTCCTCACTTCTCGATGGCAGGAGTGTCAAAGAATTTGTGGCCATTAAAAAAACGAAACAAAACAAAACAAAAAAAACTGCCATAGCCCTGCATGCTGTAACTCCTATGATGTCCCTGGCCCTCCTCTCCAGCTTCTCTCTACCTTGTTCATTCTGCTGGACTCACACTGGGACACTCCAAGCTCTCTCATGCCTCAGAGCCTTTGCTCTTGCTACTCTCTGTTCTGGGAATGATTTTCCTTCAGATCTGTGCATACTATACCTTTTTCACTTCTTTCAGGTCTCTGCTCCAATATTCCCTTCTTATATAGAGCCTTCCTGGACTACCCTGCCTGAAATAGCACCCTCCTCTCAATGACTTTATCTCCTTACCCTCCATCATTTTCTTTACAGACATATGCAGACTTGTATATTTACTTATTTTTTTGGTTGTCTATTAATGTCTCATTCACCAGCATGTGGACTCTGTGAGGACAAAGACTTGGACTGATGTGATCACTTGTACACCTTGAACAGAGACTGACATACATAGTTACTCCATCATATTTGCTAAATGAATGATTGAATTCATGTGCATGTTTTCCATTCTATCATATAATCCTTTTTTTTTTTTCATTCCTCTCTGAGGAGGAAATGCATTTTCCATTCCTTTCTCTCTGGGGGATGTTTTCTGCCACTTGTGGCTCTTTATTAGCTGTTTGTTGGGGATTTGGTTTTGAAAAACATTTGATGCATCCATTTAACTTTTGGACAAATACTAGATTTGAGCAGCAGATTTTATTTCTATGGTCTCTTAAATTAGTTTTTTAGCTTGTGCTTCTTTATTAAGCCCAGGCTAGATAATAGCTTTATGTTTTCTATGTGCCAAAGTAAAAATCAGGAGATGATTTAAAATTTTCCATTAGACATATATTTACAAAAATAAAACCTTACAAGAATTGATTACATAAGACTGTGTTATTTAAGTGGCCTGGTATAGCATGTGCTTTCTCTTACCTGAAGAATCTTAGGAAGGAATGTGTATATTTATATCCTACTTTTTTCAGAAGAGGACTTGAGGCAGAGTGTATACACAATAGGAGAAAATTAGTAAATTGTGGCAAGGCAAAAATAAGTTTTTAAGAAGTGAAGATTTCCCCCCACAGAAATATGCCAGCCCTTACATTAAAATGTGAAAAATGAGAAGCTTCCAATAGGATTTTTTTTTAATTGCAAAAGTGCCATTTGGGTGTTTTAATCACAGGAGAAGGACGATGGTGAAAATGAATTTATCTGTGCTCTTCTACATTAGGCCATGATTAGAGTAGACTAATTAAAAAAATACTTGAGAAATACTAGGCCTTTCAATAGATTTTTGGGTATTTTTATTTGCTTATTCTTTGTGGATCAATTGATAACATTTTTATTAGCCTTCTGAGAATTAGCATTCTGAATATTTTGAGTGCTATCTCTGGATCCAATATTATTTTATTGTTCTGCCACAACATTTGCATTTCTGTTTCCTTTATTGTTTCCTTTGTGCATCATTTTTTTTTTTTGCTATTGCTCTGTTTGTGGATTGAGGTATCATAGAAGTCAGAAGAAAATTCAACGAAGAAACCATAGCATCAAGAGTGTTTGCAATGCATTCAATTCAACCACCATTTGTTGGATACTTACTGTATGAGTCTTGGACTCAAGCACATCTACAGACCAAGCAGATAAATTAGTGAAGCAGGGCAGGTGTGCAGATAAATTAGTGAAGCAGGGCAGGTGTACAGAAAATCAATTGCAGAAAAGCAATCAAGCTTTCTTTGTTTCTACTGAAATATGGTGTAAACAGATAACATCATAAACACAGTTATGTGAATGGGGATTATATTTTACCATGTACATGAGGAAATGTAAATTGAAAACAGACACAGTTAATAAATTATTAATTATTTTCTTTCATGTTTCTTTTTAATTTGGAATCAGAAAATGGGTGCCTTAACTTCTGCAAAAACATTAAGTGTCAGGTTTTATATTTCACATTGTGAGGTACAGGGCACCTTAATTCAGCGTTAAATCCTCTAATTGGCTTTCATATTTAATTTAATTTGATTTGATTTCAGGTTCATAACAGAATGAAGCTCTTCAAAAATTGATAGTTTCCTTTGAAGAGGATTGTTGCACAGTGTTTTTATAAATAGAAGATGTTATTTCACTTTTAGTATTATATTGCACTCCAGTTAAATAACTTCTATTTGGATCTCTCAATTCACACTATCAATAGTGTTTGAGGAAGATTAACTGAAAAAGTCTAGTTTATTCTCATAAAATTTCAGATTAAGAAACATATTTGGAATTTGGGATTCAATTTCACACTTTTGGGAATATAAATCCAGCTATGACTTCTACTTCTTTTAATAAAGGAAAGTAGATGAGATTATTCTCTGACAAATGAAATTCCCAGAGATTCATTTTTGTGTAATTAATGAATAAAACTAATTCCTCTGTTGGCTAATGCCCTTGATGAGAGATATTAAAAATATTTAGAAGGTAATAATGTCAAGTGCTAAATTGAGATGGGCATTCTTCCATGGGTAACATGTACCAGCGTCTATCATGAATTAAGAAGAATTCAATATCCATTCATGATTTTAAAAAAAGAGACTTTCAGTAAACCAGGAAACTGTACTGAAGCAATACAGATCTTCTTGTCCCTGCAGTTCCTTAACATCATTTACATAATGCTGTTGACATTGTTACATATTAACACTGCATCATGCGTCCTGCTGCCCTGGCTCTTTCTGATGTTGTAATTGTGCTTTTTTCATGATGATCAGAAATGCAAGTCCTACTTAGAGTATGTGGGAAAATCTGAATAAGCCATTTTCTGATCATGTTAAATTTACTACCCATAATTTTTTAGTGCAAAGGTAGAACAGCACATCAAACAGCTATGTCTTTTCTTGAACTCTTTAGGCCATCATTGCCACATCCCTAGAATGCAGTATCTTTCAATGTTGACTAAGCCCGTGCTGTGCACACTCTGATGCCAGCAGGGAGGAGAGTGGAAGGTAGATGAAGGGCCCATGGGCTGAGCCAGAAGAGCAGTCCAATTTACACAAGGAATGGCTGCCTCTCATTCCACATAGCTTTAGATTGACCTGGAAGAGCACAATGTCACCACATCAATCAAAGGCAAGGGCAGACCTGGATGGTGTTGTGGAGTAATGGTTTCAAAAGCCCTCAAGGACACAGGCAAGGCTTCTCTTTGAGTACCATTGACACATAGGCCTTTGGAGGCTTCAACAGGGGGTCACACTGGATACCAGCAGAGTGACACACAGAGTAACAAACACCTGCTGCCAGTCCTGCCACCCTGAGGTGCTGTAGACTGGAAGTGGCACAGTCCAGTGGTGGACCATTGGTAGCTCAGAGCTACTTGTCCTGTGTCTGATATGAGTGAGAGCCACCCTAAACCAGCAAGTTAGTACCAATCTTGTGCAATTTCATGAGAGAAATACCATGAAGGCTCTTGGGAGAAAAATGCTTGCCAGACTGTCTTCCTAGAACTGGGACCTTAAGACCAGTCTATATATATGATTCCTGGAGCTCTTCAGGGCATCTGGGTGCCCCTGTGCAAGGGGTGCATAGGTGAGGTAGCAGCTCAAAGAGCACCTGGAAGGGAGAAATGGCAACTGGTGACCAGGTCACACATACAAGTTCCAGTCTGGGCAAAGTAAGTGCGTACCACCTGGGCAGCACTGCTGGCTGGGCCACTACTGATGCCTGAGGGGAAATTAGAAAATTTCCTGGAAGGTAGCTCTGAGGCCAGGTCCTCTTATATTGAATACATATGCTTTATAAAGTTTGTAAATGTAAGGCCAGGAGTGGTGGCTCACTCCTGTAATCCCAGCATTTTGGGAGGGCGAGGCAGGTGCATCACCTGAGGTCAGGAGTTCAAGACCAGCCTGGCCAACATGGTGAAACCCTGTCTCTACTACAAATATAACAATTAGCCAGGTGTGGTGGCCGGCACCTGTAATCCCAGCTACTTGGGAGGCTGAGGCAGGAGAATCGCTTGAACCAGGGAGGTGGAGGTTGCAGTGAGCCAAGATTGTGCCATTGCAATCCAGCCTGGGCAACAGAGCAACACTTCATCTCAAATAAATAAATAAATAAATAAATAAATAATAAATAATAGATAGTTCCTAAATGTAAATGGTTGGTGTCAGGTAAGTAAATTAATATGTAACTGTATTTCATAGCAGCATTGTTGATTTTATTCATATTCAAAGTCAATTCTATTGCAATTGTACTCCTTTTCCAGTTCTCTAAATATTTTCTCACACAGCAAGTTGGTCAAGAGCATAAGTCCTGAAAGTAGAAGGCTGGGATACAAATCTCAGCTCTCCTACCTACTGGTTCTGTGACTTTGGGCAAGTTACTTAACCTCTTTGTGTTCCAGCTTCTTCATCTATACAAAAGGGAAAATAACAGTACCTACCTCATAGAACTGTAGTGAGGACTAAATGTGTGAATACATGTAAGTACCTAGAACCCTGTCAGCTGCATGATAAGGACTCTTTAAGTGTGTGCTATTATTATTGTATGCCAGCGGTTCTCAACAGAAGTAAGTTTGTCCTTCAGAGACATTTGGCAACATCTGGAGATATTTTGGTTGTTCCAACATGTGGTGGAGGAGGGTGTGGGGAATGCTACTGGCATCTAGTGGGTAGAGGCTGGAATGCTGCTAAACATTATATAATACACAGGAAAGCCTCCACAACAAAAACGTCATTCGGCCATGAATGTCAGCAGTGCCAAGGTTGAGAAATCCTTATTATATACTATTGACAGTTCTTACTGTGGTCTGTTTCACGATGGTGTCTTCAGGTGTATACTTTTGACATAGGTACACTTTCTTTGCAAAATAAACAAGCTACAGTCTTAGTTTCTACAGGAAACATACACTTTCCCATTTACCTTGAAGTAGATTATTATAGTGGTAGTGGGTACAAGAAATACTTCCTGATCCTCTTTACTCTATTACAAGTGCAACAGCAACAATTGAGAGCCAACCATTGGCTTCAGTGACAAGGAGAAAATAGAGAGTGATGGGGTGATAGGGAGGTAGCGAACTGGCTTTAGGTCCTTGAAATCATCAAATCTAGAAAGAGACCACTTACTTTCTTTCCTGTCCCCTCTTTCTTATGTGTCAGAGGGCACAGCATCAGTTATTGTTTGAATGGGGGGAAGTAGCAGAGGAAAAGGTAAACTAGTAGACAAAAACTCTGGCAGTTGTTATTTCAAATATAGTAACTGTTTCATGCAATTGTAAAAAAAAAAAATCATGAGAATGAATTGCAACAACCACCAAAAAATCGTATGTGAATCAAAAGGTTGGGCAAATTTCTGGTGGGAACGTTGCTCTTGAATGAAGCTTCCTTATGGGGTTGTGGATTGTCTATGTCTTTAATACTCAAAGTGGGGTCCACAGACCAGTAGCATCACCCAGACTTTGTTAGAAAGGTGGAATCTCAAGCCCCAACCTCTTCCTGATGAATCAGAATCTGCATTTTCACAAAATTTCTAGGTGGTTTACATGCACGTTAAAATTTGAGAAACACTGAAATGCGCTCTCTGTCCCTAGCACTCATGGTGTGCAGCTTAGCTTTTAATTCAGAAACGGGCCTATTAATAGGCTAAAGGTGACAGGAGAAAACATTTTTAATCAATGAGAAAGCTATTTCTCCCTTCCATTAAGCAATTTACATGCCATTGAGTTTATTTATAGATTCTCAAATGATCTGATTTTATAAGATATGATCTTTTCATTAAACAGATGTTACGGTTAATGATTTGTTTTATATATACAATTTAAAAGTTAAGAACGAAGAGTATCAAAGCTTTGAAAGGTAACAAGGTATGTTCTGCTATCTTTGTAATTTGCAAACGGGAAGAACCACACTTGCTATCCAGCAATGGCATTCTATATTTTTGATCTCTATAGTGTATATTTATTTGCATAAGTCTAAATACGGTAACTCTAATCTCCTACACACTTAGCTGACTGTCACAGGCTGAGACCAAAAAGGCAATTACAGTAAAATTGAGTGGTGTTAGAAGTAAAGGACACATTACTTCAATTAAGTGCACTTCCATATTAAATAAATTGGACTGGTAGGCCAGGACACTGAAAACTGTGTTTGTAGCAGAAACCCAAGTATGTGAGGGAGGCACCACCCATACAGTGTCTCAGGGGCATTTGAGCAATCCTGGCGTGCCTGTGTCTGGCCTTGCCCTCAATTTTTATCCTGTCTGCATCCCAGAGAAAGAAGTATCTTATTCTCTGTTAAAGGAGCCAAAGGGTGGGTGAGCAACTGATGTAGAGCTTTACCAGCTGCATATTCACAATTCCTGCTGTCTCCCCTAAAGTTCCTGTGAACCCTCCTGAGTCTTTTCTCATGCTACCTACTAAAACTCCAGTTGATCCTGGAGAGCTTGATACAATTGGAAAACTTAAAGCAGACATAGAACTGTGGCTTTCTCTGGAAAGCAAAAACATTCCCATGCCCTTCCATGTTGGGTGATTTCCAAAGTACTATAATCTGTGCGCCTTTGAAATGGTCGGTGTTTTGGGCCGCAAGCCACCAGTAGGAATAAATTTCAACTTTATCTGCTGCTGGTGAAGGATAATGAGCATTTTCTTATGAAATTTGGGGCCTCTCTCTCCCCAGCAGCTTATGCACTTCTGTTGTGCCAGATTCCATACACTGTCATTATCATTATTAGACAGAACAGCATCTAAAACACCATCAAAATAAATCTTATCTCAAATTGTCTTCCTCAAGTGAGCTGAGGAGATTCTGGCACCTATAAATGCAGAAATGTACACTGCAATGGGCTGTGTGTTGTATCAGACCAAAAATGAAATGAGGGACATATCAAGCTCAAGGTTTATCAGAAGCTTCTTGATAATTCTGCCACTGTTTCAATTTAAGTAGTCTCTTATGAAACATTGGATCTCATTAGGCTTTCAGCTCTTGAGCCCCAGGATGCATTGTATTTAATTAACTCTTCCTGGCATAAAACTTCTAAGAAGCTCTAAGCACTGGTGACCAAATAAAATACTCTCAAAGGTAATCTCACAAATCCCTTGATATACAGATATAAAAATACAAATATATATATACATATATTATATATACAAATATATATATACATATATTATATATACATATATGTATACAAATATTTAAATGTCATTTACTTTTCAATATGCAAGCTCAAGTGTAGTTGCAGAGACAGATGTCTATAGATATCTGACTTACAGCCAATATGAAATCTGGCTTAGAGAGAAATTGATCTTATTGCTGTTCAGTGGTTGTAAGCAACATGCATGTTCACCCTTAGACTGGATTGATGGCATCAGTAAAACTTATGGAAACACTTCTGAAATAACAGAAATTTGGGCTGAATATGCTGAAGTTGTGGTATGTCGATATTCATGGAATTTTCATCATCTCTTTGCAATGAGTTCTTTTCCTGGTTTGTCCATTTGACATTGTCACAGACTGAACTGTTATTTGCATATGAAGTTTTTAGCAAAACTGAGCAATAATGAGCAATAATAAGCAATATAATAAAAATAACAAACAATAGTGGTTATTTCTATTGGCTTTTGAACCTATTTCACAGGACACAAGAGATGAGAAAACCCCCTTTTCAATCAGGGTATCTAAAGTAGAAACTTCATAGGAGAGTGTAAAAAGCTCCCCTCCCCAAAACAATTCTTATGTCTGAAAATATTAATCAATAGGAGATTAAAGGGAAGAGAGTGAAGGAAAAGCAGTGGGGATGATGGTGACCTTTGGTGGGGGTAGTAACAGGAAAGAGCAAGACAGCAGCTTTTGAGATACTGGTAATATTATCTTTCTTGATCTGTGTGCTGGTAATGTAGACGTGTTCAGTTTATGAAAATTTATCATCCTGTGCACGTGTTATCAGTACACGTTTCTCCATGTATGTTTCAACAAAAAGCTAAAACAAACAAGTGAACAAACAAACAAAAACCCAAACACGTGGTTTGTGAAAGTGGTCCAGGTAGAACCAGGTATCCAGAAGACATGGTGAGGGTCAGAGTGGGATAATTTCACTTGAAAGAGAGAGAGGACACATTAAAGGGACCTGGCCCAACCAGCAGCCAGTGTCTGGAGGAAAGTTTAAGAGGGCTGGATGGCAGATGGTGATGGCAGCTAATGGTAAGAAGAAGGATAGTGAATCAGGATGCTAGAATTCAAAGAGAATTGAAACAGAAAGCTGACACAGGAGCTAAGTGTGTATAGATCACAGAATATTGCTAAAAGGAGTTCAGCAGGAATTAACATAGATCTGGGCAGCAGAGGAAGTGGGGGTGGGACTCTCCTCCCCAATGCATAAAGTGGCAGAGATCCTAGACAGGCTTTTGGATGAAACCCAATACTCATTTAGAAAGTGGAATTATCAATTACACAGAAAACATTGGTTCCCTAGATAGTATGTCCTCTGAGGTTCAGTCTTCCAAATGAGGAAGAGTCCCTTTTGAGTCCTGTTTGATTCACCTTCCCAGTCAAGGATTAGATTTTGTGGCCATACACAGCAAGCCAGATGGCTGAGTAGATCTATGAATTGTTCATTCAACACATAGTTGTTGAGCACCTACTATGTGCCAGAAGCTGTTCTAGGTGTTGGAGAGGCAATGAATAAGCAGGGAAAATCCCTGCCCCTTGAAGCTTACACCATATTGCTTATGTTTAATGTACCAGAGCTGAAGGCCTTATGCAGAGTTTTATAAGCAAAGAAAAAAATCTGTTGAGAATCATCAGAAACCATGATGGTTAAAATATACAGAAGTGTGTCCAGTAGGTAACCTAGGCACATAGACACATAAAAAAGATATTACACATAGGCATGTTCTTTATTAACTCCAAGCCCAAGGAAGGTACATTTTATGGGGTGAAAACACCCTGGGGTTAAGGTTTAAGACTTCTCCCTCTTTCTTGCCAGGTGAATGTGAGCAATTTGCTTTACTTTCTCAAGGTCCCAATTTTCTCATTTATGAGATTTGAGTACCTATATGCTAAGGTTGTGATGAGGATTAACATGCTTATCTTAGTTTCTAACTTACAATAATTCTATCTATAATTATTTAATAAAAAGCAATGCATTCTGAACGCCTAAATAGTTCCAAGTCTTCTAGGTTTCTTCAGTCCCTCTTTTATTTGTAAGCCATGTGAACTTTATCAAGCCCTCAAATCTGTATTGTACGATGGCCAGGGTCTGTCACAATATTTATAAGGATTGATGAGGTGGGGGGACTTCGTTTCCTGGGAATCTCTTTTTCTGAATTCCTACTCCATCTAAATTCTTGATCCCCACTCACGAGGCCATGATCTGGCCTCCTGCCACTTGGCCCCTGCACAGGTACTTCCATTTCACCTTCCTTCTCTCCACGTGTAACTAACACAGGGCTGTTCTGTGTAATAGACTTCGATGGAAGGTTTGGAGACAACCAAGGGAGCCCATGGCATTGCCCAAAACAAGAGCACCCTCTTCATGGAGATTTACTTACTGACCATCTTTCCTTCTCCAAGATTTGACTTCATCCCTCATTTCTCTTTCTCTTCATATACAATTTATCAGGAAATCTTGTTGGCTCTACTTTCAAAATATGCAAAGGAGAAACCTTTAAAAAAACTGATTTTTTCAAGTGCCTATGACAATGTCTGGTATAGAGTAGTTGCTCATTCATTATGTGTTGAGTGAATCGTCTAGCCTTTCAAGTGGTTATTGTCAGAAGTAAATTTTCTCTGTAGAAAACTGTCATCAACCTCACACTTCAAGTCAATTAATTAACACTTGGGTATAGTAGCCATATCTTGCTTCCCAAGGACTGATTTTCTTGAATATTTGATAAAGTCAGTTTCCTAGGTTTGTAAAGCTGCACAGGAGACGGTGAGCCCTTAATGACCACCATACAGGCAGGTATGTTGTGAGGATCAGCTTGAAACCAGATGAACAGCCTCTCTGTCTTAACCACAAGCATCATATCCCTATATTTAAATAGCATCAGGTTGATTGAGGAAAGGGAACCATCTGAACTGTTAGGTGTTTGCAATGAAAAATAAAATTGCAACAGCCAAGAAACCATTACCACAAGTCCTGCATGTGTTGTTAGACATTTCAGGTTTTACTAAGTATTAATACATTGCAAGAGGTATCAAGAATATGAGAAACGTACACATTTGAATTTTAGTTCAGTGAGATGCTTTTCTTACTGCTGCCTCAATAAAAGCACAGTTTTTAGACACATATTAACATATCTGTTCTGCTCAAAATCTTTTTTATGATTCTTCATAAAATACATGAAACACACTCCCTTAGTCTAACATTCCAGGAAACCCATATCCATTACAGGGATGGAAAATACTGGGCCAAAAGACTCCAGCTGTGTTTTCATTTCTTCCATGCCCACAGTGAGTAGGTGGTGGCCTTCTTTCCTGTTGAGTCTGAATTTGGTCTCAGCATTCTTCTCCACACAGCATTCTAAGTAGTTGTTACTGATTAATCTTCTGCCTTCCTACAGTCTACTCTCAATATGGTAGGCAGAATGAGCCATTAATGTGTAAGGCAAATCACTGTCCTCCGCTGTTCAATGTCCCCACCCGAATCCTTTACCTCAAATGACCTGGTTTCCCCACTTTCTGATTTTATTTGTCTCTTAGTACTCTGATTCACTGTGTCAGCTGTGCTGGCATCCTTGTTCCTTGAACACACTGGGAATCCTTTGGACTTACAGCCTTTGCACTGGCTATCTTTTACCAGAACATTCTCTGTAAATATAGCTTTATAGGTAACTCCCTTATCTTAAGGGTTTGCTCAAATCTTACCTTAATCAATGAGGCTTACCATGACCACCAATTGGAACCCTCCTGTGATAGCAGAATAATGTCCCCCCAAGGGATTATCCCCCCGGATTATACCCCACAGGGGGCATTATACTGGATTATCTGGGTAGGTCGGATGTAATCACAAGTGTTCTTATAAGAGGGGGACAGGAAGGACAGAGCCAGAGAAGATGTGACAAGGAAACAGATCAGAGAGCAGAGAGATTGGAGGATGCTGCCTTGCTGCTAGTCTTGAATAAAGAGGAAAAGGTCATGAGCCAAGGAGTGTAGGTGTCCTCTAGAAACTGAAAGAGGCAAGGAAATGAATCTGCCCTAAAGCCTCCAGAAGAAATGCCAGTCCTGTCCAAATCTTGATTTCAGCACTTCTGACTTCCTAACTATAACACAGTTTGTGTTGTTTTAAGCCACTATTTGTAGTAGTTTGTTATAGTAGCAAGAAGAACTACATCCTCCCTCCTAGACTTTTCTTTTTTCATTTCACTTACCAGCCTCTATTTTACCAGTTAACATGCTTATCATGTCTATTGTTTTATTGTTTCTCTGCTGCCTTGCCCTTTGCCCACCACTATAATGTAAGCCCCATGAGGACAAACATTTTCATATATTTTGTTCATTGCTGAAAACCTGCACTTAATTTGTTGAATTAACTAATTGGTTAGTCAATTCTGAATCTATTTCGACACTATAAAATTACTTCTCACTGTGTTAAAAATGAATCCTTTTATTTGGCCCCTGGTTCTTTTTCTGTCTCCCTCTGTCACTCTCTGTGTCTCCATCTCTTTCTCTTTCTCTGTTTCTGTCTGTCTGTTTCTCTGTCTGTCTCATATACACACACTCTCTTTCCCTGTCAGGGTGGGTCCAACTCAGGTTATAGGTCTTCCATGAAGCCCTCTCTTGACTCAACAGTCCACATTTAACTTTGCACTTTCTGAATTCCTAGAGCATCTCTTTTCATTATCCTCCAGTTTTGCACTTATATTCTCTTACTTTTTGTATCAGCTAGGTTTCTGTCAGGAAACAGAAACCATACAGTAATTAGAACACAGAGAGTTTAATATAAAGAATTATTAACTAATAACATGGGATTAGCTACTATGAGGTCAAGGATAATTCTAAAGAATACAGAGATAGCAGATATAGGGAGCAGCCACTACCTCTAGGGTTGAAGTGGAATACCTAGGGAGGAACACATTTGGAAGACCTTCCCTCAGCCCCCACCAAGGCTGAGATTCAGACCTCAGTTGAGGGTGTGTGGCTGTGGCCCACTGATTAGTAGTGAACTTCACTGAGGTACTGCAGACAGGGGCTGGCAAGCAAAACACTGCTGGCCGAGGTACTAACTAAACTCACCAGGAAGCCACCCATGGAGATGCTGATGAGACTCACCAAGAAGTTGCCCAGGAATGCTACTAAAACTCTGGGAAGCAGTCCTCTAGGTTACTAACGGAACTTGCTGGGAAACTGCCTGTGAGAATGCTGCTGAAAGTGGCTGAGAGGCTACCTGTATGGGTGCTGCTGAAACTCACTGAGGGGTGAGTACCTCTGAGTGATCTGCATGGCCCTGGCCACCTGTGCTGCACAGGCAGACAGGAAACCAGAAAAGCACATTAGGAATAGAAGTCTCTTTGCCCTGCCATGCACTTCCAGTGCCTAGCACTGAGCCAGCTGGCAAAAGAGAAATACTTACAGGGTCCAGCTCCAGTATCACAAAGCAGGGGAAAGAAGGGTGGATTTGCAACTGAGAGGCAATACATTGATAATTGGCACACCTTTGTATTTGTAATTTTCCTTGAGTGTTTGCAGTGTTCTAAGCCCCTTGAGGGCAAGGACAATGTCACGCTTCTTCCTCTCCTCCCCCTCCCCCCTCCCCACCTTCACCATGGTTTATATAGCATTTTTAACATGAAGTTGACCACATGTAGTGAGTACATGGTCAACTGTAAATAAGATTTCCCTGAGGTCTTATTTGCTCAATAGCCTGGGAAGCCAATGACACCATCCTCTCCCTTTGTGTTACCTATTCTGAAATAGAAGTTCAACCATGAGTGAACAACAGCTGACACCAACCTAGCAATTTCCAAGTGCAAACAAGACTGTGATTTTCTCCTCAGTGATTATGCCATCTTGGATGTCATTCTCAAAAACACTGAAGTCAAGCTGGGACCAATTGTGATTTTGTTTATTAAACTCTCACTTGGTGTGAAACAGTCCTGTCAGCTGCTGGTTCTCTTAAAGTCAACTCTCACTCAGACTTCTAAGGCGAACCAATCAAGAAAGTATGTTCCAATGTGTCCCACCTTCTCTTTTTCTCATAAAGACTTAGAAGCTTCACAGATCAGTCCTTTCGCAATCAGAATGACTCGAGCTGCACACACCTGCTTTGTGGCCAAAAGGAAAAGACTATAGTCTAAAAGTTGTATTAATTTTAATATATATATTTCTTGGCTTCCATATTAGTCAGTTTTGCATTGCTATAAAAGAATACCTGAGACTAGGTAATTTATAAAGAAAAGAGGTTTATTTGGCTCACAGTTCGGCAGGCTGTACACAAAGCATGGTGCTGGATGATGAGGGCCTCCGGAAGCTTACAGTCACAGCAGAAGGTGAAGGGGAGACCGCGTGTCACATGGTGAGAGAGAGAGAGAGCAAGAGAGATGCTAGGCTCTTTTAAACAACCAGCTCTTGCATGAACTCATAGGGTGAGAACTCACTCATTATCTCAAGGACAGCATCATGACATCCATGAGGGATCTGCCTCCATGACCCAAACACCTCCCACTGTGCCCTCTTCCAACACTGGGGATCACATTTCCACATGAGATTTGGAGGGGACAAAACACCCAAACCATATTGGCTTCTAAAGGCCTTCAAAAATCTTATTTTGTGTGAATCTAAGAATCTCTCACTCCAGGGCCTCTATTAAGCAGCCCAGCCTAAAGATAAGGTTGCCTAGTCCTAAAGTTAACACTAACTACCCTTGTTTACTCTTCCCTGGCCTGTGGTTAATATGTGATGGTACTCTTTCCTCACCCTGAATATAATGAGTTTGCCTCAAATATTAGCCCAACATCAGTAATTGTGGCCCATATAGTTTATTGAGAGCAAAAACAGTTCTGAGTCCTTGAGTTAGATAAATTTGTACGAACTCAGGGTCTATTATTTGTTATTTGTGTGACCTTGGATATGTTACTTACTCTCTTTAAATTTGGATTCCTTCTTGGTAAATCAGGGCTAGATGATGAAAATGAGATAAGTTATCCTCTTTTAAAAATCATTTTTTTCTCCTTAGTAAACAGGGGCTAATGATGGTACTTATGCCACAGAGTGGTTATGAGGATAATGTTTGTATAACCCGTAGGAACTGAGTGTTCATTAAGTGTCAAATGTGATTATATCACAAACCTGAAAATGTCAATCTTTCTAGTCCAAGCCACAATTATCTCTTCCCTGAACTGTTTCAGTGGCTTCCTAACTGGTGTTCCTGCTTACAGTCTTGCCTAGAGTCTATTCACCCCACAGAAGCCTGAAGAATCTTTTCTAAAATCAGGTCTTGTCACTCCCTTAACTCAAAACCCTATATTGGCTTCCCATCATACTTTGAACGAAATCCCAAGTCCTTACCAGGATCTAAAAGACCCTATGTGATTTGGCTTCAGCTGATGTCTCTGATCTCCTCTCTTATTGCTATCTTCCATCCCTCACTTTCATCTGGTTACAATTTTCTTGCTGTTTTTTGACCACGTAAGCATGTTCCAGCTGAGAGACTTTTTATATGCTGATTTCTCTCATCTGAATGCTCCTCAACCCAGAAATTCACATTGCACATGGCTTATTCCTGCATTTTATTCAGGTCTCCTCTCAAATGTCTTCTCATCAGACAGGCCTTCATTGGTCACTATGTGCAAATTGGGTCCTACCTCCCATCCATTGGCCTCTAGTCTCTTACCTTCCCTTATTTTATTAATGACACTTATTGGTACCTAACATCATCTTATATACTTATTTATTTATGAGCTTTGGTTTTCTTAAAATGTAAGTTTCATGAAAGCAATACCTTTGTTTTGTTCACCATGGTCCAGTGCTTGGCATATGTTAGGTGCACAATAAATGCTTGTTGAATTAATGAATATTGCTGCTATTATTATCCACGACTTTGACTCTTGTGAAACTTTGAGTCTTTTGTGATGCTCTTGATGGAGTGCTAATACCTCTAACAGTGGCTGACTCAGCTTTTTCTTGGTGATTAGTATAAATCTTAGCTGAGATTTTCAGAAATGAGATTCCTGGCTTGACTACAAGTCTTTGGGGAAACATAAAGTGAAAAAAGAGTAAGGAAGGGAAAGAGAAGCTCCTCAATAGGAGATATGGGAATATCTCAAAGAAAAATCTTCACCCAATTTATTATTTTGTCTAGAGCCATCCCTGGATACTTGTTCAAATCAGGATCTTAAATGAGAGAAAAACTCCTTTTCTCTACTTCCTTTTCCTAAATCTACTTGTATTCAGCATACACAACATAAATGTAATGTCAATTGCTAAAGATAAGCCAATTCTAACATTATTCAAGCTGTCTGAAGACAAAATGAAAGAATTCAGTTTTGTTGTTGCTTTAGCAATGAAAACCATGCTCTATTTTATCATCAAATAAGACAAAGTAAGTACAAAGCCATAGTGAAAGTATATACCTGGGCTTCTGCAAGCCCACTCCTAGGAATACTATAGCTGAAGCTCAAAAGCACTTTGGCTTATAGGCCATTTTCCCAGCTAAGGAGTTTAGAACTTCTATTTTAAAGTTCAAGTTGAATAGTGACTATTTGTTCTAAGTTGGTTCTACCATACTTTTAGGGCATGATTAACAATGATTATATGGGTGAAGGGCAAGCCATGGGGCTACTAAGAACTACTGAACAAAATACAGTAAATATCATGATACCAAGACCTACGACTACTCAGATTTGATTAAAGACAAGCACTCATTCTCCTCCCACCCTTGTTTTTCACCCAAAGGGAGGCTAAATTTCTTATTCTCTTGAGAATGGGAGTGGGTGAAAAGTGTTATGAAGGGAAAAGTGAGGACTGGTGGAGGAATGGCAGGCTGCCCTGTCTAGGGCAACTATGAGGTGAAGGGTGGCTGCCTTAGTTTCTAACATTCTTCTGGCCCTATTTCTCCATGTCGGGCTGACACAATTTGTGCCAATTAACAGGCGAATGCTTGGAAATACCACTGCTCTATGTATTCACAGGACCCAGAATTACTCCCATGAGCTATTAAGTAGACAACGAAATTAGAAGATGCCAAAACACAGCCTGAATCAGGGTAGAGATTCAGATCACACACCTGAACCCTTGGAACTTCTGGCAGGCTGGCTGCATAGGCTCACTCCAAAGTTTTCATTAACCTTGTGATAATATGGCTTTTCATTTTACACATTAGATGTCATTACCTTATTCATTTACTTGTTATTTGTTAAATGCCAGTTTCACCCCACTTAAGAATGCAAGCTCTATCACGGTAAAAACTGTGTTCCTTATGCCTAATACATGCCTAGGACATGGTGGGTGCTCAATTTATATTTGTTGAATGAATAAATGAATGAATATCCATGAATGAATACATTGAGGTATGAAGGTGAGTTAAGCAGGCTTTTCTTGCACTAAGGGAGTACACCAGACCGGAAGTGGGGAACTATTGACTAATAAATAACTCTAAATGTTGAAATTCTGGAGCTAAAACCAGCTAGTGAGGCTAAAAGAGAAACTGTCCTCTTTATATGGGATCTGAATTGTCCAATTTGCCATATCCTGCTTTACACATTATGTACCTGCCTGGAGTTTGAGGACATTTGAGTTTGTGTGGCTGCTGATCTTGTTACATCCCTTGTCAATTCCTTTCCCCCTGAATTTTTGGTATGCTGGAAAAGCCTTCAAAACTTTGACATAACCTAGGAGAAAGGGAAAGGACACCAAATTACTTAAGATTAAGGTTTGGTGGGAGAGCGAGGGGCTCAAGGTCGAAATTAAGTCGAATTATAGAATGAAGGTCCATTTCATGCATGCCTGAGTTTGTGGTCTGATACTCTCTAACTTACTACATTTATATGATGTATGCACTACAGGACTGAGGAGCAAGAGTTATATTTTAAGATATATCCTCATTACAATTGACCATGATTCAACTTACAACTGAAGGTAAAGAGAAATCCCACTAACAAAGAATGATACTTGATATTTTGGTTGATATTAATTTTTCTGCTACATCCATTAATATTTTGTTTTTGTGAATCTTCCTGTTATGTATCACCTCTTTTACATCTTAACAAAGTCACTTTTATTCCTGAATTATTTAGAAAAATGTATGAAGTCTGAGAGGCAGACAAATCGTTTACTGTCTTTGGATCTTAGTAACTTCATGTGTCAAATAAAGGAAGTCAACTAGACCAGCTCATCTTAAACTTTAATGTATATCACCTGGGGGATCTTGTTAAAATGAATATTGATTAGCAGGTCTGAGATTGGCCTGCCATTCTGCATTTATAACAAGCTCCCACCCAGGTGACGTCAGTGCTGCTGGTCCAGGGGCCACACTTTGGGTAGCAAGGGACTAGCTGACCTACAACATTCTTTTTCTTTGCGTTTCTAGGTTATTTACTGGACATAATTTAATTGGCACAGAAAACTCAGTATATACACACACAGACACACACTCACAGTGAGTTTTTCTGTGCCAAGAATTAAGCCAAGTGGGGTGCACTACTTTAGTTTTTGTAGCCCATGAACTTAATCATATAATGCCTTATGGGGATGACTTATCTCTCTTAGTACAATTTAAGGTCATTGAAAACATATTGGAGTCTTATATTTTCATATTGTTTAACATCCTGTGCAAAAGGATTAATTGGGTAGTAGGGTGAATAGTTGCAACTTAGCCACTAAGTGAGCAACATGAGATAAAGCATAATGTGGATATTATTACTGTGTCTATCTCAGTTTGATGCCACAGGGAAAATAAGGATGATCTGTGTCACATTAGCCATTGTCAAATGGAGTCATGGCATTGGGAGTCATGTTGAAGGAAAGCATGTTTCTAGTGCTTTCTGAGCAGGACATGAAACCCTGTATCAGCCAGTTTAAACAGCCATATTTGCATATATAATATACATTTTATAGTCTATAGATGAGATTAATATCACCTGTATAGTTCCCAGACTTTCCTTGGTTCTTCCCAATGCTACTCAGATTTATCCTAAAGGTCTCTGGGAGTCCTAAGAGAGTGTCTTAGGTTTGTACTGAGAATGACACCTCTAGAGGTATCTATTATTTCCCTTCTATCACAATTGCTGCGAAGAGAATAAAATACCTAGGAATACAGCTAACAAGGGAAGTGAAGGACCTCTTCAACAAGAACTATAAACCACTGCTCAAGGAAATCAGAGAGGACACAAACAAACGGAAAAATATTCCATGCTCATGGATAGGGAGAATCAATATTGTGAAAATGGCCATACTGCCCAAAGAAATTTATAGATTCAATGCTATTCCCATTAAACTACCATTGACATTCTTCACAGAATTAGAAAAAACTAGTTTAAAATTCATATGGAACTAATAAAGGGCTCATATAGCCAAGACAATACTAAGCAAAGAGAACAAAGCTGGAGGCATTACACTACTGAACTTCGAACTATACCATAAAGCTACAATAACCAAAGCATCATGGTACTGGTACAGAAACAGACAGATAGACCAATGGAACAGAATTGAGAACTCAAAAATAAGATTGCACATCTACAACCATCTGATCTTTGACAAACCTGACAAAAAGAAGTGATGGGGAAGGGATTCCCTATTTAATAAATGGTGTTGGGAGAACTGACTCTCCATATGCAGAAAATTGAAACTGGACCCCTTCCCCACACCTTATGCAAAAATGAACTCAAGATGGATTAAAGACTTAAATACAAAACCCAAAACTATAAAAACCCTAGAATAAAATGTAGGCAATACTATTCAGGACATAGGCAAGGGCAAAGATTTCATGGTGAAATCCCAAAAAGCAATTGCAACAAAAGCAAAAATTGATAAATGGGATCTAATTAAACTAAGGACCTTCTGCACACTAAAAGAAACTATCAACAGAGTGAACAGGCAACCAACAGAGTGGGAGAAAATTTTTGCAATCTATCCATCTGACAAAGGTCTAATATCCAGAGTCTACAAGGAACTCAAACAAATGTACAAGAATAAAACAACCCCATTAAAAAGTGGGCAAAGGACATGAACAGACACTTCTCAGAAGAAGACATTCATGTAGCCAACAAACATGAAAAAAAGCTCAACATACTGATCATTAGAGAAATGCAGATCGAAACCACAATTAGATACCATCTCATGCCAGTCAGAATGATGATTATCAAAAACTCAAAAAACAACAGATGCTGGTGAGATTGCAGAGAAATAGAAATGCTTTTACACTGTTGGTGGGAACGTAAATTAGTTCAACCATTGTGGAAGATGGTGTGGTGATTCCTCAAAGACCTAGAGGCAGAAATATCATTTGACCCACCCATCCCATTAATGGGTATATACCCAAAGGAATATAAATTGTTCTGTTAGAAAGATACATGCGCGCGTATGTTCACTGCAGCACTATTCACGACGGCAAAGACATGGAATCAACCCAAATGCCCAACAACGATAGACTGGATAAAGGCAAGGTGGTACATATACACCATGGAATACTATACAATGATACAAAGGAAGGAGATCATGTCCTTTGCAGGGACATGGATGGAGCTGGAAGCCATTACCTTCAACAAACTAACACAGGAACACAAAACCAAACACCACATGTTTTCACCTATAACTGGGAGCTGAACAATGAGAACACATGGATACAGGGAGGGGAACAACACACACTGGGACCTCTAGGCAGGTTGGTGGGGGGATGGAGAGCATCAGGAAAAATAGCTAGTGCATGCTGGGCTTAATACTTATGTGATGGGTTGATAGGTGCAGCAAACCACCTTGACACACGTTACTCTATGTAACAAACCTGCATGTCTTGCACATGTACCCCAGAACTAATAATAAAAATTTTTAAAAAAGGAAAAGAAAAAGAAAAAGAAAAAAATCTCCCCCTAAACGTTTCTTAAAGCTGCTCTTATTTCCGATTGGTTTAGAAAACATGAAAACACTTGCATTTTTAAAATGATCAATGGTAACACTCCCCTGGACCTTGCTCTCTTCACATTTAAACCAAGAGTAGTATTGGATGATCTCTCAAAGACTTTTTCTACCTCTGTATATATTTTACTTAAGCATTAATCAAAATTATTTGATGCTTTTGTAAAGATACTTTCAGGTTCGCAGTGTTCAAAAATATAGAGTATATTCATTGTTTAATCAGAATGTGTGTCCGTTGCTGGGAAATTCAAAGAGTTCTGTCACCCCTGAGAAGTAAATCACAGTCATCAGAAGCTTCTGTAATTAAGTTTATTACAGAGAGTATAATATAATTTACATCTGCAAACTCTGAGCTAACTAAAATAATGGGATGTCAATGTTCATAAAGTACCCAGCGAAGGCACTTTTGTTGAAACAACAATAATACAAATGAGGGCTTGCAAGGTCTGCATTCAGACTAGAAGAGTTGTAGAGCAGCTATTGACAGTGTAGACCTAGATAATTGGGGCTGGAAAGCTAGCCAATCAAGTAAGTATTCTTTATTTTTCTTTAAACGAAAATTTTATTTTAAAAATTTTTAACAATTTTGGGGGTACAGGTGGCTTTTGGTTACATAGATAGTTCCTTAGTGGTGATTTCTGAGATTTTGGTGCACCCATCACCTGAACAGTGTATGCTGCACCCAATATGTAGTCTTTTATCCCTCAACCCTCCTACCCTTACCCTGCCAAGTCCCCAAAGTCCATTATATCATTTTTATGCCTTTGCATCCTCATAGCTTAGCTCCCACTTATAAGTGAGAACATATGATATTTGGTTTTCCATTCTTGAGTTACTTCACTTAGAATAATGGCCACCAGCTCCATCCAAGTTGCTGCAAAGGCTTTTATTTCATTCTGTTTTATGGCTGAGTAGTACTCCATGGTGTATATATACCACATTAAATAAGTATTCATAATTTAAGAAATGATTCAGAAATATCCTTCTTGAAATGGGCCAAGCATATTTCTGGGTAATAGTTTATTCTCACTCTACTCTTACACCTGTCAGCCCCAGCCCACCACCATAGTGCAGTAGATTCAAATATCCCTCCATATTTTCTGATTGCATTCTGGGGGTAGTATAAAGTTAAAACCAAAAGATTTCTGGAAATTATTTTGTACCAACTAAGAAAGCAAATAATATATCTTTGTATTTCATTTTTTTCCCTGTTACTTTCTATATTGGTTAGAAGTGCTTTTAGCTGCAAGTAATGGAACATTTGTCTAATAATATCTACTACCAATAAGACTTAGTTGTTTATTGAATCAGCCTTGCATCCCAGGGATGAAGCCCACTTGATCATGGTGGATAAGCTTTTTGATGTGCTGCTGGATTCGGTTTGCCAGTATTTTATTGAGGATTTTTGCATCGATGTTCATCAAGGATATTGGTCTAAAATTCTCTTTTTTGGTTGTGTCTCTGCCCGGCTTTGGTATCAGGATGATGCTGGCCTCATCAAATGAGTTAGGGAGGATTCCCTCTTTTTCTATTGATTGGAATAGTTTCAGAAGGAATGGTACCAGTTCCTCCTTGTACCTCTGGTAGAATTCGGCTGTGAATCCATCTGGTCCTGGACTCTTTTTGGTTGGTAAGCTATTGATCATTGCCACAATTTCAGAGCCTGTTATTGATCTATTCAGAGAGTCGACTTCTTCCTGGTTTAGTCTTGGGAGGAGGTATGTGTCGAGGAATTTATCCATTTCTTCTAGATTTTCTAGTTTATTTGCGTAGAGGTGTTTGTAGTATTCTCTGATGGTAGTTTGTATTTCTGTGGGATCAGTGGTGATATCCCCTTTATCATTTTTTATTGCGTCTATTTGATTCTTCTCTCTTTTCTTCTTTATTAGTCTTGCTAGTGGTCTATCAATTTTGTTGATCCTTTCAAAAAACCAACTCCTGGATTCATTAATTTTTTGAAGGGCTTTTTGTGTCTCTATTTCCTTCAGTTCTGCTCTGATTTTAGTTATTTCTTGCCTTCTGCTAGCTTTTGAATGTGTTTGCTCTTGCTTTTCTAGTTCTTTTAATTGTGATGTTAGGGTGTCAATTTTGGATCTTTCCTGCTTTCTCTTGTGGGCATTTAGTGCTATAAATTTCCCTCTACACACTGCTTTGAATGTGTCCCAGAGATTCTGATATGTTGTGTCTCTCCAGCATATAAACAGAACCAAAGACAAAAACCACATGATTATCTCAAAAGATGCAGAAAAGGCCTTTGACAAAATTCAATAACACTTCATGCTAAAAACTCTCAATAAATTAGCTATTGATGGCACGTATCTCAAAATAATAAGAGCTATCTATGACAAACCCACAGCCAATATCATACTGAGTGGGCAAAAACTGGAAGCATTCCCTTTGAAAACTGGCACAAGACAGGGATGCCCTCTCTCACCACTCCCATTCAACATAGTGTTGGAAGTTCTGGCCAGGGCAATTAGGCAGGAGAAGGAAATAAAGGGTATTCAATTAGGAAAAGAGGAACTCAAATTGTCCCTGTTTGCAGACGACATGATTGTATATCTAGAAAATCCCATTGTCTCAGCCCAAAATCTCCTTAAGCTGATAAGCAACTTCAGCAAAATCTCAGGATACAAAATCAATGTACAAAAATCACAAGCATTCTTATACACCAATAGCGGACAAACAGAGAGCCAAATCATGAGTGAACTCCCATTCACAATTGCTTCAAAGAGAATAAAATACCTAGGAATCCAACTTACAAGGGACGTGAAGGACCTCTTCAAGGAGAACTACAAACCACTGCTCAATGAAATAAAAGAGGATACAAACAAATGGAAGAACATTCCATGCTCATGGGTAGGAAGAATCAATATCGTGAAAATGGCCATACTGCCCAAGGTAATTTATAGATTCAATGCCATCCCCATCAAGCTACCAATGACTTTCTTCACAGAATTGGAAAAAACTACTTTAAAGTTCATACGGAACCAAAAAAGAGCTCGCATCGCCAAGTCAATCCTAAGCCAGAAGAACAAAGCTGGAGGCATCACGCTCCCTGACTTCAAACTATACTACAAGGCTACAGTAACCAAAACAGCATGGTACTGGTACCAAAACAGAGATGTAGATCAATGGAACAGAACAGAGCCCTCAGAAATAATGCCGCATATTTACAACTATCTGATCTTTGACAAATCTGAGAAAAACGAGCAATGGGGAAAGGATTCCCTATTTAATAAATGGTGCTGGGAAAACTGGCTAGCCATATGTAGAAAGCTGAAACTGGATCCCTTCCTTACACCTTATACAAAAATTAATTCAAGATGGTTTAAAGACTTAAACGTTAGACCTAAAACCATAAAAACCCTAGAAGAAAACCTAGGCATTACCATTCAGGACATAGGCATGGGCAAGGACTTCATGTCTAAAACACCAAAAGCAATGGCAACAAAAGCCAAAATTGACAAATGGGATCTAATTAAACTAAAGAGCTTCTGCACAGCAAAAGAAACTACCATCAGAGTGAACAGGCAACTTACAAAATGGGAGAAAATTTTTGCAGCCTACTCATCTGAAAAAGGGCTAATATCCAGAATCTACAATGAACTCAAACAAATTTACAAGAAAAAAACAAACAACCCCATCAAAAAGTGGGCAAAGGACATGAACAGACACTTCTCAAAAGAAGACATTTATGCAGCCAAAAAACACATGAAAAAATGCTCACCATCACTGGCCATCAGAGAAATGCAAATCAAAACCACAATGAGATACCATCTCACACCAGTTAGAATGGCAATCATTCAAAAGTCAGGAAACAACAGGTGCTGGAGAGGATGCGGAGAAATAGGAACACTTTTACACTGTTGGTGGGAGTGTAAACTAGTTCAACCCTTGTGGAAGTCAGTGTGGTGATTCCTCAGGGATCTAGAACTAGAAATACCATTTGACTCAGCCATCCCATTACTGGGTATATACCCAAAGGACTATAAATCATGCTGTTATAAAGACACATGCACACGTATGTTTATTGCGGCACTATTCACAATAGCAAAGACTTGGAACCAACCCAAATGTCCAACAACGATAGACTGGATTAAGAAAATGTGGCGCATATACACCATGGAATACTATGCAGTCATAAAAAATGATGAGTTCATGTCCTTTGTAGGGACATGGATGAAATTGGAAATCATCATTCTCAGTAAACTATCGCGAGAACAAAAAACCAAACACCACATATTCTCACTCATAGGTGGGAATTGAACAATGAAAACACATGGACACAGGAAGGGGAACATCACACTCTGGGGACTGTTGTGGGGTGGGGGGAGGGGGGAGGGGGGAGGGATAGCATTAGGAGATATACCTAATGCTAAATGATGAGTTAATGGGTGCGGCACATCAGCATGGCACATGTATACATATGTAACTTACCTGCACTTTGTGCACATGTACCCTAAAACTTACAGTATAATAATAATAATAAAAAAAAGACTTAGTTGTTTACTTAAACAGAAGCACAGAACTAGGTGGTTCAGGGTTAGTTATGCAGCCCTGTGATGGTGTCAAGGACTCAGGTCTTCCTTGGATTCATCTGCTCTGTCATCTTCAGTGTATTCAGTGAATACTATGGGCATGGCTGCCTCAGTTTTGTATAACACCATCTTAAGCAAAACATATGGAAAGTGGTAGAAAAAGAGGCTTTCTCTTCATTATCTCTCTTTCAGAGGAAACAATTATTCTTCAAAGGCCATAGCAAAATTTTCTTTATGTTTTATTGATCAGAATTGGTCCATATCCTCACCCCTAGAACAATTACTGACAAAGTGATATGGGAATGCCACAAATGTCTGAGATTAATCAGAATTAATTCCCTGGAGCTGGATACTGTCAAACTCTAAATTTTAAATGGTTAAAAATATGACTCTCATACAAACATAGGATGAGCACATGTCAAAGATAACTCCTTAATGAGGGTGCCATCAAAGTAGTAAAGCTAGTTCAAAGGTAGTTAGAAGAGAGTGACAGATAGCATCAAGGAAAAAAAAGAATGCTGAAATGCAATTGCCAACATAGATACAAAACTGATTATTACCTTACAGGACTAGAAAACTGTAACCTTAGGGATAATTTTTTTTTTTTTTTACCAGACAGGAATTCCTTGCAACTTATTAATGTTCTACAAGTTAATATCTATCTTTAATGAATCAATAGTAAATTGTAAGTCAAACAAAAGTACATTTCCTTAGATAATTAGATAAATACTCTTTGGCTGGGCCTGTTAGTCATTGAAAGACAGACAGTCATTATTTTGCCTTATTTCCACGTTTGGAATACTATTTCTTAACAGCGTCTAGGCAAAGGACTCTAATTGAGGTTTTCTTAGAAAGATGAAGGAGAACATGTTTTCTGGGTAGGCAATCAATACTGTCTGCCACAAACCTCTTATTTCAAATGAGTAAAATTCATCAGGTGTTTAAATATTTTTTTCTAGATAATCATCTTAAACATGGATAACAATGTCAAGCATTTTCAACTGTTAACATTATATCTTCCATTTCTGATATTATTAAAACATTATATTTTGAGCAGTATTTCAGTGTCACTGGGAATAATTTTTATTGACATTTTAATCTAGGTTCCAATGTTAGATGAATATGTGGATTTCTTCAGTCAACTTCTCTGAAAGTAAAGCATTGTCGCTGGTGAAATGATTATGTCAATAGGTGGCATTTTCTTGATTTTCTCCAGAGGGTGTTTTCTATTTGTGATTTATTTTCTTTGAAGTTGGTCCTTACAATTGATCTTGAAGACATCACTTCTTTCTTTTCACAAGCTTATCTGTGGGTAACTAAATCCCAATGGCACTGTAGTAGACTTGTTTTTATTTAGTTATTATTAGTTTTTTCTATTGACTCACTAAAGCCAAATCTAGAGCTCTGTGTCAAGAATACCTGTGAATTCCACAGTAAGCATTTTGATCTTAGGGAAAAGCAAAGTTTGCCTCCAATTCCAAATGGCCCAAGCAGTACTGGGATACTAGCTATAAGAAGCCAATATTGTAATACATTCCATTTGGGATAAGAGTCATTGTTAAGGCATTTGTCTTATGGTGAAGCTTGGAAATAGCAGTTATAATTAAACAGGTGATGCTCTCTGAAGCAATTTCACTTGCAAGTGAGTCATGCTGCAAGAGATCTATGGAAGTACATCAGAAGCAAGTCTTGTGCTCATCATTCCCTCTGTGGCATCTCTTGGGTCTGTCATTCTTTTTGGTGGCTTACAAAGAAGATTCCAACAAGTGAGAATTTCAATCCTCTTTCAAATGCCAAAAACAAGTTAGACAGCATTTTTGGGAGGGAAACAGGAATAGTGACTGATATGGTTTGGCTGTATCCCCACTCAAATCTCATCTTGAATTCTCACGTGTTGTGTTGTGGGAGGGACCTGGTGGGAGATAATTGAATCATGGGGGCAGCTTCTCCCATACTGTTTTCATGATGGTAAGTCTCATGATATCCGATGGTTTTAAGAATGAGAGTTTCCCTGCACAAGCCCTCTTCTTCTCTTGTCTGCCACCATGTGAGACATGGCTTTCACCTTCCACCATGATTGTGAGGCTTCTCCAGCCACGTGGAACTGTAAGTGCATTGAACCTCTTTCTTTTGTAAATTGCCCAGTCTTAGGTATGTCTTTATCAGCAGTGTGAAAATGGACTAATACAGTGACTAGATCCTAAAATCATATCTTTATATTTACAAGCTAGGGTGTTTTTCCTCCACTGATTAAATTAAATTTCTGCCTTTAATTAACTTTTTCCTGAGATGTTTGCTGTGTTATTTATAGTTGGGACTTCCTTAGTAGGTCAGGAGACTATAGTATAGAACAGAAATGTTAAGAACAACATAGTAAATGATATAGGTTTACCTCAGCAAGGCCATGAAAGTAAGGAGAGAGTTGATCTGGAGAAATAGTTTCTCAATTGGCCAAATGAAGAGAAAGTAATGTTTAACTTGCTAGTATCTGATTTCTTTTTATTAATTATAACTATGTTAAAACCAGTATTATGAACTTAAAGCTTTCCTTTACTTCAACAGTTCTATTTTGGTTTTCTAATGTTTTACCTTAAGAAATGTATTAGTTAAAGGGAAGTATTAATTTGATGTGATGGGTATGGGAAAAGGATAAATTTTAATACATTCTTTTATAAACAACATCATAAAATGACAATGTTGCTCCTGCCTTTCTATTCCACCATTTATCAAAACACTGGTTTTACTGTTTTTCCAGGTCTCTTTATAGTTCAGTATGGGTGCTTTATTTTAGTACGCATGTCAAAGAAGATAACAGTTTGTAATTTGCTTTCTCCCTTTAATATTATATCAAAACTGTTGCATTTATTTTAATAAGCAGCCTCACTATCTGTTAAGTTGCATAATAGCTTATTTGGCTGTGTTTTGGACATTTATGATCTTAATTCTTTTTAATGCTGCAATAAAAACCCTTGTACATAAAGTTTTTTTTTCTATTTAAAATTATTTGTTATTTGGCAGGTATATTAGCAAGGATGGGCTAGCTTATGTTTCAATAACAAGTTGATCCCCAAGTACTAGTGGCTTAATGCAATAATGACTTGTCTCTTGTTCATGCTACACATTCATCATTAGTCACTGGAGGGAGGAGCACCCAGGCTGATGGAGTTTTCACAATATGATAGCTGTCGACTGGAACATGTGTCTAGGAAAAAGAGAAGAGACTGGAAAATTATGCACAGACCTTTCACTGCTTCTACCTGGGAATGACACATGTCCCCCTGTTCACAGCCATCAATCAGAACTAGTCTGGAAGGGGCTGGGAAATAGAGTGGAACAAATGGAGTATTGAAAGAACATTACAAATTCTTCAACAGCAGTGATGTTGGAGTGGGAAGAAAGATTATTTTCTTAGAATAAATCCCTGATTTGTTGGGCTCAAACAGACGAGACACATGTGTATTTTTGAAATTTTTTTCTTTTCTTTTTTTTCTTTCAGAGTGCTTTACAAAAGGATGGGCCTTCTTCATGGTGTCTAGTGGTAAAGAGTAGTGACAAAGAGCACGGGCTTGGGTCAGAGGCATATTTGTGTTTGTATCCTGGCACTTAGTAGTTACATGTCCTTGGACGAATTACTTACTCTTTCTAAACCTCATTTTCCTGATTTACAATATGTGTGTGAGTTTATCTACTACACTTGGATAGGATTAAATGAATGACTATATGTAAAATACTGGCCCAGTGTGTCTGGTCTATAGTAACTACTCAATAAATGGTAAATATTATTGTTTACCACTTTTCATTATGTTTCCATTATGAACATGTCTTTTCTAATTTTACATGTATCAAGTATTAAAATGTTAAATTTGGAATAATTAGCGGGGTCAACAATTAAGTGGTTTTAACAACATGGAGGCTCCTTTAAAAATTAACAATAAAACCACTACATGATCCAGCAATCCCACTACTGGATATACATCCGAAGGAAATGAAATCAATGTCTTAAAAGAGATACCTGCACTCTCATGTTTATTGCCACACTATTCACAATAGCCAAGGTATGGAATCAACCTAAATGTCCATTGACAGATGAATGGATAAATAAATTATGACACACACACACCACACAAATATTATTCAGCATTGAAAAGACAGAAATCCTGCTATTTGCAACAACATGGATGAACCTGGAGGACATTATGCTAAGTGAAATAAGCCAGACACAGAAGGACAAATACTGTATAATCCTACTTATATGTGGAATCTAAAAAAGATGAATTCATAGAGGTAGAGATTAGAACAATGGTTTCCAGGAGTTGGGGAGAAGGGATAACGTGGAGATGCCAGTCAAAGGGTACAAAGTTTCAGTTATAAGATTAATATGTTCTGGGGACTTAATGTACAGCATAGTGACTATAGTTAATAATACCGTATGGTATACTTGAAATTTACTAAGAAAGTAGATCCTAAGGGTTTTCACCACACAAACACACACACACACACACACACACACACACACACACACACACACCCCTTAAGTATATATAATTTTTATTTGTCAATTAAACCTCAATAAGGCTGGAGAAAAAATTAATGTGTTTAGATGTGGTAATTATTTATATTTTCCCCTCAACAAAATGAAGTGAGTGATCGCATTTATTCCCTAGTAAGAGATGATCTGACTAGGAGGCTCTCTTTGGTTTCTCATCACCAAACTCAGCATTGTCTCTATTATCTTTTCTTTAATCCTAATTGGAGATGTAGTGAGGGTGGGGGCCTAGAAAGCCAAGGAAGTTGTGCTGTGTTATCAAGATTCTGGTTCTTGTTTATAAGGCTAAGCCATTATGCGTGTATGTATACAGGTTTTGAGTATCCCATTCATGAGATTTGGAGGAAAAACAGTATGTCATGATGGAGACAGGAAGAGATGGATATAATATTTTACAGGTTGTAGTATTAAAAACATATGAGATCATTTGCTTTTTTCACAAAAGATAATAATTCCTTATTTAAATATTTCTTTGTGATTTTATCAAATAGGTTTTATTTATATGATACACCATCTGGATGTCTGATATTGAACAAATGCTAGTGTTCTTTCTATTTTTGTGGCACTAATAAACATATTGACAAAACAGTTTTGAGAGATTTTTATGCAGTTTCACTGTGCCAGGTGCTGCAGTATAAAAAAATTATGGTTCTCAGCTAAAAGAAATACATCTTACAGCTGTGTAGATGAATATGTATGTACATAGACAACAATTGTATGTACATACAATATGTATGTACATAGACAACAATTGTATGTACATACAATATGTATGTACATATTCAAAAGTGTGATAGGGTAACAGCCAAAAGTAAAGCAGAAATGTAGGCTCTGGGAACATAAGAATGGGCCAATTTTACCTCGTTGTTTTGGAGAACCTTCAGGGAGGAGAGGCTTTTGAGTTGGGCCTTGAAACCTGTGGAAAGCTTCAATTGGAAGCAGAAAGAAGTACACTCTAGGAAAAAGGAATAAAATGAGCAAAGGCACAGAGAGGAAAGAATAGGGCCTGTTGATTATATGCTCTTCCATAGGCATTAGGAAGCCAAGACAGGATTTTTAGCAGGAGGTTGACATAATTTGAAGTGTCCCAGCCATATAGAGGCTGGATGAGATGGGACAGCCTGGGTAAGAGAACCCAGTTAGGAGGCAATTGTAATGATCCTGGAGAGAAGAGCAAGAGAAGGATAGGTCTGCCGGCACTGCTGAAAGAGCCAGCCTTGGCAAGGTAGACTTGGCTCTGTCTATGATTTAGCATAACAAGTGGACGATGAATGAAGATGAAGGGAGACGAGTTGATAAGGCAGAACTTGTTGGGTGAGCCCCATGTTTTTAGACAGGTAAAAGGCTATTTGCTGAGAGGAAGACAGTTGGTTGGAGACCTGAGAAAATTTACAAGTTTAGAATTGCAATTTCAGTGAATAGGTTAAAGATGTGTTTAGGGATGAGTAAAATATTGGTCAAGAAGCAGTTGGGAGGAAGTTGGTAGTACTGTTAATCAGGGAAATTGGCATCTCAGACACTTTTGGTGACAGTGTAAGGTGCTAGCTATCTTTGGAGGCCAATTTGGCATTATCTTTTGAAATTTAACCAGTGTTTTCACTTTGATGCAGAAGTTCCTCTTCTGTGAATTTGCCATGTAGAAATAATTTCACATATGTACAGAAGTGAATATGTGAGGTTGTTCACTGAAGAACTGTTTAAAACAAACATCAAATTGGAAATAACATAAATTCCTAGTCAATAGACAATTGACTGAAAAAAAATACAGTACAACCCCACGATGGGATCCTATTTAGATGGAAGTCTGTGTTAGGTGATGGCACAGATAGGTGTTGGTGAGAAGAGATAGCAATATTATGTTAAAGTGAATAAAGTGAAAATAATAATATTTATGGCATGCCCATTTTTCTTTTGGAAAAATATCACCTAACAAAACTGTGTGCTTATATAGGCATATCTATAATTTTAAAGATTTGTATATGTATAGGATATATCTGAAAGGATACATACTGGATGTTAGTAATTTATATTTTTTCATTCAGCACAGAGTATCTTTGCTTTTTTCATAAAAATCAAATCAAAACTAAATCTCTGTGTGTGAATACATGTGTATGTGTTTGTGTGTATATTTGCACCTGCATCCATATATGCATGTGTCTGAAAAAAATAGTCTAGAAAGATACAACTAATCTTCACATTTTATTTTACCTTTTCATTTCTGTTGACTTTTTATTTTAAAAGAAGGAAATATTAATTTTTCAATTTAAAATAATAATTACAACATAAAATATTTTTAGACGATGAGGTCCTCATATAGATATTATGAAGTCTAGATTTTTAGTACAGCCTTTCATTACAATGAAACACTTCTTACCTCTAGCTGTGCTTGGCAGCCTACGATCTGGGGTGGAGAAACAATTGGAGGAATTTATCTATGTAAGCTGCGGTTACATAAAGTAGATGCAACAGGATGTCAAGGGCATTGATTAATCTAGAGAAGTGATAAGGGAAAAGTTGAGGTTGTTGCCCGTAACATTCAAGTTGGGTAGCCTGCAATCCCATTAAGCTGTCACACAAGAGAAAAATCCTACACCATGTACTTTAGTTTTGCACTTCACTTCATCCTGTCCTCTCTCTTTTGGCTACCACCCTGACTTTTCATCTTTTCTTTTAATTCTTACCACCTTTTAAGAATATATTGGATGCATAGATAGCTCTTATTAGAGATACGTCCCATCAATACCTAATTTATTGAGAGTTTTTAGCATGAAGCATTGTTGAATTTTGTTAAAGGCCTTTTCTGCATCTATTGAGATAATCATATGGTTTTTGTCTTTGGTTCCGTTTATATGCTGGATTACATTTATTGATTTGCGTATGTTGAACCAGCCTTGCATCCCAGGGATGAAGCCCACTTGATCATGGTGGATAAGCTTTTTGATGTGCTGCTGGATTCAGTCTGCCAGTATTTTATTGAGGATTTTTGCATCAATGTTCATCAAGGATATTGGTCTAAAATTCTCTTTTTTGGTTGTGTCTCTGCCCGGCTTTGGTATCAGGATGATGCTGGCCTCATCAAATGAGTTAGGGAGGATTCCCTCTTCTTCTATTGATTGGAATAGTTTCAGAAGGAATGGTACCAGTTCCTCCTTGTACCTCTGGTGGAATTCGGCTGTGAATCCATCTGGTCCTGGACTCCTTTTTGTTGGTAAGCTATTGATTATTGCCACAATTTCAGAGCCTGTTATTTGTCTATTCAGAGAGTCAACTTCTTCCTGGTTTAGTCTTGGGAGGGTGTATGTGTCGAGGAATTTATCCATTTCTTCTAGATTTTCTAGTTTATTTGCGTAGAGGTGTTCGTGGTATTCTCTGATGGTAGTTTGTATTTCTGTGGGATCGGTGGTGATATCCCCTTTATCATTTTTTATTGCATCTATTTGATTCTTCTCTCTTTTCTTCTTTATTAGTCTTGCTAGCGTTCTATCAATTTTGTTGATCCTGTCAAAAAATCAACTCCTGGATTCACTAATTTTTTGAAGGGTTTTTTGTGTCTCTATTTCCTTCAGTTCTGCTCTGATTTTAGTTATTTCTTGCCTTCTGCTAGCTTTTGAATGTGTTTGCTCTTGCTTTTCTAGTTCTTTTAATTGTGATGTTAGGGTGTCAATTTTGGATCTTTCCTGCTTTCTCTTGTGGGCATTTAGTGCTATGAATTTCCCTCTACACACTGCTTTGAATGTGTCCCAGACATTCTGGTATGTTGTGTCTTTGCTCTCATTGGTTTCAAAGAACATCTTTATTTCTGCCTTCATTTCGTTATGTACCCAGTAGTCATTCAGGAGCAGGTTGTTCAGTTTCCATGTAGTTGAGTGGTTTTGAGTGAGTTTCTTAATCCTGAGTTCTAGTTTGATTGCACTGTGGTCTGAGAGACAGTTTGTTATAATTTCTGTTCTTTTACATTTGCTGAGGAGAGCTTTACTTCCAACTATGTGGTTAATTTTGGAATAGGTGTGGTGTGGTGCTGAAAAAAATGTATATTCTGTTGATTTGGGGTGGAGAGTTCTGTAGATGTCTATTAGGTCCGCTTGGTGCAGAGCTGAGTTCAATTCCTGGGTATCTTTGTTAACTTTCTGTCTCGTTGATCTGTCTAATGTTGACAGTGGGGTGTTAAAGTCTCCCACTATTATTGTGTGGGAGTCTAAGTTCTAGATCCCTGAGGAATCGCCACACTGACTTCCACAATGGTTGAACTAGTTTACAGTCCCACCAACAGTGTAAAAGTGCTCCTATTTCTCCACATCCTCTCCAGCACCTGTTGTTTCCTGACTTTTTAATGATTGCCATTCTAACTGGTGTGAGATGGTATCTCATTGTGGTTTTGATTTGCATTTCTCTGATGGCCAGTGATGGTGAGCATTATTTCATGTGTTTTTTGGCTGCATAAATGTCTTCTTTTGAGAAGGGTCTGTTCATGTCCATCTAGAACTAGAAATACCATTTGACCCAGCCATCCCATTACTGGGTATATACCCAAAGGACTATAAATCATGCTGCTATAAAGACACATGCACACGTATGTTTATTGCGGCACTATTCACAATAGCAAAGACTTGGAACCAACCCAAACGTCCAACAATGATAGACTGGATTAAGAAAATATGGCACATATACACCATGGAATACTATGCAGTCATAAAAAAGGATGAGTTCATGTCCTTTGTAGGGACATGGATGAAATTGGAAATCATCATTCTCAGTAAACTATCGCAAGGACAAAAAACCAAACACCGCATGTTCTCACTCATAGGTGGGAATTGAACAATGAAAACACATGGACACAAGAAGGGGAACATCACACTCTGGGGACTGTTGTGGGGTGGGGGGAGGGGGGAGGGATAGCATTAGGAGATATACC
This sequence comes from Homo sapiens, assembly GCF_000001405.40. Taxonomy (NCBI): domain Eukaryota; kingdom Metazoa; phylum Chordata; class Mammalia; order Primates; family Hominidae; genus Homo; species Homo sapiens. The sequence goes on from NC_000023.11 coordinate 20,661,121, forward strand.
TAATGCTAAATGACGAGTTAATGGGTGCAGCACACCAGAATGGCACATGTATACATATGTAACTAACCTGCACATTTTGCACATGCACCCTAAGACTTAAAGTATAATAATAATAAAATAAAATAAAAAAAAAGAAGAAGAGAGGCAGAGGCAGAAGGATCACTTTAGGCCAAGAGTTTAAGACCAACCTGGGCAACATAGCGACACCCTATCTCTACAGAAATTAAAAAAGAAAGAAAGAAAGAAAGAAGAGAGAAGTGGAGCTTGTGTAGGACAGCAGTGCATATTACCCTTACTCTTTTGATCTGACGCTTTGCATATTTTCCCTGAGGACAAAATAAAAGCAGCCTCTGCCTTTTGGGAGCTGGCCTGGTACCATCAGCTGGTCTTTGGCATTACTTTGAGCTGGCCTGGCACTAACAGCTTAGCCTTGGTGTTTTCTTGTTGAACATAAACTATTTCCTAGAACACCAACATCAGGTGAGGCTGCCCGATGGCCATAGTGGATCAAAACAAAAACAAGACCATTTCATAACCAAGTTTAAACACAGACAAAACAAACATTGTCCAAGCCACATAAATGATCAAATATGTCTCTCTCCAAGTTAATATAAATGACTGCTGCTTCTTTGCCAATCACAGATTTAGCCTCATTTTAGCCTTCCTTCTAGATAAGATTTATTAAGACATTCAATCATAGAATTACTCCTGTTTCCTTTCCATTTCAGAGCAAAGCACTACTTCCTTAAACCCTCCCCAAAGCACCTAGCAGCCCCAATCCTAAAACAAGTCTTTTCTAACATCCTCTTACTGAGATGCCCTGTGGTTCCCCAGGGTGTACATTTTCTCTCACTGCAATGAGTAATAAATCCAGCTTGTTCAACATCAGGAGTGTTCCTTGTGGTCTTTGACTGGAATGAAGGCCCAGCTTTATTCTGGTCTTAGTCCCTTTTGGCCACAATTCCCATGTGGACTTCAGCTGTGCTACCCTGGGTTGCCTTGAGGAAACACCATTCTGAATTACATACCTTAGGTTTAACCTGCCACTCTGCTTGCCATAGACCCAGAAATGGACTAACTAGTCAAATAGAGAGACAAGTAAAGTTGGAATACATTTGACAGAATGGAAACACGGGGAGGATCAGGGGTACATCATTCTTGAATTTATCCACACCATGACGTGGAACAGTGTCTATCACATAGCAAATCCTCTATAAACCTTATACTTTCTTATTATACTTATCATTACCTCTATGATGATAATGGCAAAATGCTGATTTGCTCCTCTGGGGAGGGGAGTGGGGCAAGGACATTACACTTGTCCCCAAGAGCCTGCTAGGCCTGGATGAGTTATTTCTCTGAGGGAGGACTGGTCCAGACAAGGAACCTGCAGCTTTCTGCACTGCACATTAATTACTTCATTGATTCATTCAATGCCATTCGACATTTAGAGAATGCTGGCTATGTGCCAAATCAAATTAGGGACTACCATTTTATCAACAATAAATGCATAACTTGCCCTAAGGAAAGCAAGTGCTAACATACAGAAAAAAAGTCGACATTGTGTCACCACAGAATTCTTTTTTGGGGAATAGATTCATGGCAGGGTTCCCTTAAAATTTTAAAACAAATTGTGTGTTTAATATGATTTTATTTATCAAAAATGTGCTTTGGATGACTTTTTTGAACCTATCTTTTGTGAAGAGACACCTTCACATGACATAGGCTCCAACATTGCCTTTCTTTCCTCCACAATCCTATAAGGGGCATATATTAAAACAAAAGTGGTGAGGGAGCTTCACACGGCTATTGAGAGCACAGACAAGAGCCAGGATGAGTCTGAATCTGGCGTCACTATCCACCAGCTGTTTGCCTTGGGCAGGTTAATTTGCCTCTCTATGCTTCAGTTTCTTTGTCTGTGAAATGGAGATAATGACATTGCCTACATCACAGAATTGTGAGGATTAAATTAATTCTTGCAAAATGCTCAGAGCATTAAGTGTTAAATATGTGTTAAAAATGAAGCACATAGGGAATTTGCAAGCAATAGCAGAAATTATGGGCCTCCTGTCCCAATCCACTGTTACTTAAATGAAGAAAGAAGTTTTGACATTCATTTATTCGTCAATCATTTGTCAGACTGCTGTGTTGCAAATAGTGAGTTAAATAGTGGGCAATATAACAGGCAGAGGCACAGAATCTGACCACGGTGGGGAAGGGGATGAAGGGATGGTGGGAGGTGGCAATGGACATTCTTTTCTTTTTACAGTAGAGAGTCTCCCCCCATCCTCCACTCCCAGTGCTGTTTGAGAGCAAGAGCAGGCATTGTGCTTTGTGGAAGCTGAATAGCAAGATTCTAATTTCAGGGGTGATGTGAGGATAGCAGACAGATCTGAGTGTGTTCAGTGGGAGCATTCCCTCGGGCCTGCCGTGTCTCCATTCACTGACACTGATGTACAGTGACTGCCCTCTCTTCTCCTCCTTAACCAGTGGTAACTTTCTTGGGCTGAGTGTTTTGGGACCTGTGAAGGCCTTTATGTCAGCACATCTCCACAATGAATATCATAAGAAAAAAAGAAAGAAAAAGCAACTTAGCAATAGAGACACATAACCCAATTTAGAAATGGGCAAAGCATTTGAAGAGACATTTCTCCAAAGAAGACACACAAATGGTCAGTAAGTACATGCCAAGATGTTTAACATCATTAGCCATCATGGAAATGCAAATCAAAACCATAAGATAACACTGCATAACCACTAGGACGGCTGTTATCATAAAGGACAGACATAGCAGGGGTTGGTGAGGGTGTGGAGGAATTGGAACCCTTATACACTGCTGGTGGGGATGTAAAATGGCACAGCCACTTTGGAAAACAGTTTGACATTTCCTCAAAGTGTTAAACATAGAGTTACCATATAACCCAGCAATCCCATCCTTAGGTATATTGCCAAGAGAAATAAAATGTGTCCATACAAAAGCCTGTGCACAAGTGTTCATAGCAGCATTATTCGTAATAGCCAAAAAGTGGAAATAGTCCAAATATCCATCAATGGATAATTGTATAAGCAGATTGTGGTATACATATGTAAATAGAACATTATTCAGCAATAAAAAGAAAGGCAGTCCTGATACATGCTACAATGTGGATAAACCTGGAAAACATTATACTTAGTGAAAGAAGCCAGACATAAAAGACCACATACTGTGTGGTTCCATTATATAAACTGTCCAGAATAGGCAAATCCACAGAGACAGAGAGTAGATTGATGGCTGCCTGGTCGAGGGGAGGGCTGAGAAGAAATGAGGAGTGAATGCTAATTGGTACAAAGTTTCTTTATGAGGTGATAAAAATGTTCTAAAATTGATTGTGGTGATGGTTGTACAACTCTGTAAATATACTAAAAACCACTGAACTGTACACTTTAAAAGGATGAATTTTGTAGTATGTAAATTATGTCATTATATCTAAAAAGAGAAACTCTTAATAAAACAAGAGGAAACATTACATCTGATTAGAGCCATGTCAAGCTGTCATCCATAAAATTTAGAAATCAAAGCTCTCACCATTTTCCTTCCTTGCTCTTATCTGGGGGAGTATTAGAGAGTGGAAGAAATCTAGAAGTGTCCTTCACTCTATTCTCCTGCTTGAAGGCAGAGAGGTTAACAGTCAGGGCTATGGATTTTAAAATGCAGCCCTCCTAATTTTAATATTCCCACATGATTATATTATGAAATTTCCCCAAAGCAGTGGAATATGAGAACAGGGTAATAAGAGTATGGGGTGCACTTAAGGTAGGGAATTCCTCAGGAGATACTTCACAGGTTTCTGCTACTGGGGAATTTCACTGCGGGAAAAGTATCCTGTTGCTAGGCAACACTGCAGCTTGGATTGAATTCATGGTGATCAGAATGCCTCACGTAAAGTCACAATGCGTATTCCTATCTCCAGTAAGAAGAGTGCAGAAGAAAAACATTGTTTAAATTAAAAAAGGATATAATCACAGCATTGAGAAAAATTTAAAAAATATAGGACTCACTCATATACCCCTCATTTAAACAGAACGATTACAATTTCTGTATATTTTATTAGATTCTAATTGTTCACAAGCATACATTTTTACAGGATTATAATTGTAATGAGCACACCACCTAGCAGTCTTCTTTTTCCTTTAGTGTAGTATAAGATCTCCCTATATTCCTAAAGTTTTCCTAATTATTATTTTAAATGACCACATAGCATTCCTTTTGGTTGATGTCCCATTGTTTGCTAAACCTTTGCTAAATGTTACTGGACATTTACACTCTTTTTCATTTTCCTGTTTTTATTGAGAAATCCAGAGCACATGCCTTCTTTGAGAAGAATGTATAACACAAGAACTTGACGAGTTAAGTACTGCTCTCGATGACTATATTTAATTAGCCTTCTTTTTTTTTTTTATAGCCGTTTGGAAATCACTTCGGAAGCCCATTTAATCCATCCAATCAGTCATTTCTCCAGAGTGGGAACACTGTCTAAATGCTTGGTTGAGTCTTAAAGCTGCCTGTGTGCCTGGCAAAGTCCTCTCTGATGGAAGCTTTGCATTTTTGAGATTGCCAGTTGCATGGGATGTGCCTGGGGGAATTAGCAAAATTATTTGAAGAGCATTCCACAGGAATGAAAAGGAATTCTCTCTACTGTAAAAAATGGGGCTCCCTCGTCACATGAAATTAATGTGCAAGAAACTGGTCAAATGTAGGGATGAAAAAGGATTACAAAAGTAAAAGGAAATTTATTGTCTTCAGCTTCAAGATTGTTGCAGTGGCTAATCAGAAGACTCACAAGGTTTAAGATTGGGGCTTCCCTTATACTTATTTGAATATCTAACGGCTTTATTTCCTTGCTGAATTGAAAAAAGGTACAGATTAGAAATCTAATGAAAATACTGTTTTATTTAAGAATGTCTGATGGTTGGGGGTTTTACATTCATAGCTTCAATAATTACCATTATCAAGACTTTCAAAAATAAGTATTTGAAAGCCATGTAGAAAAAATTGAAATAGATTTCCCAAATTAAAACAAAAAAAATGGAAATCCTCAATCAGAGTATGTGTGTTATTTTTTAAAAATATACTTCAGATCAGAAAGGTAATGTAGTTCTGTTGTCTAAAAACCTAGCTCTTATCCCTTTGGCCTTTACCTTTCAAAACTGAAATGTTGCAAATTGATTTTGAGATGGGAAGCCCTGCTAATGTCAGTTGAATACCTACCCTGGAAATTTTTGCCATTTCAAATAGAAAAGCCTCTATAGGCTTTCTTCTGATTCAGCAGCAGCCTGCTTAGCATTAAGGAAGGGCAAGCCAGACTCCAGAGCCGGGTAATTATGGCTGAGCTCTTGGATATTCTCTTCGGGAGATAACAAGGTCCCTTCTTCCCATATTACAAGATGCCAGGAGGAGCTTGTGCCTGGCTGCATCCTGCATTTTGAAAGCGGTTCAGCTTGGAAAGCTTTTGAAGCATCAAGTTAAAGGTACAACCTTTGCCAAACAGAGATTGCTTTAAAAAGAAGCTGACTGAGAATATGGCTCTCAGCAAAGAATCTGCAAAGATCTTTGAGCAGGAGGCCATATTAATCATTCATGATCACGAAGATGCTGTCTAACTCGGAGCAAACATTTGTTCCAAAGGAACTAAAGCATCTTGTGTATCAGGGTGCAATGGTTCCTCAAAATAATCAAATCAGAATTTTATAACTAGTTAGAATTAAGTGTTTGGCAACCTCTTCTACTTTTTTTTTTTTAAAAAATTCTGGTTCATTGAGGTATAATTCACATTTTTATGTATACAATTCTGAATACTCTGACAAACACATATAGTCATATAACCACCACCACAATTTAGCTATAGTATATTTCCATCAATCCTAAAGTTATTTTACTCTCCTTTGTACTCAACCCTTTCTCCTACCTCCAGTCCTTGGCAACCACTAATCTGTTTTCTGTCATGACAGTTTTGCTTTTCTCAGAATGTCATATCAATGGAATCATACAGTATATGGCCTTAGAGTTTGCCTTTTTTCACTTAGCATAATGCATTTGAGATTCATCTATGTTGTTGCATGTATTAGTAGTTTGTTCTTTTTAATTGCTTAACAGTATCTCATTGTAGAGTTGTACCACAGTTTTTTTTAATCCACTCACCAGCTGATGAATGTTTGAGTGGTTGCCCTCATTTTACTTTTATTATTATTTTCTTTTTGCATAATGGTGTACAATTTACAAGGCTCTTTACATTTGCTTATGTCATGTTATGGAAATATTGCATTCTAATTTTTTGATGATAATTAATCAGAGTCACAGGGAGCTTAAATGGCTTTCAAGATTTAGCAGCTGAGGTCACAGCTTCGAATTTCACTCTCCCATGCTAACCCTCTTTCCAGTATACAATACCACATCTCTGGTGTGAAATGGATATTATTGATTGAAAATCTTTATGCATTGGAACATAATAATGTACTGTATATTTAACAGTCTTGAAAAAATAGAGACTCTAATTTTTTTAAAGAAATAAGAATCCTAATTATGTCAATGCAGTGTGGGAGGATGAAAATCAAATTTGGAATCAGACAGTTTTAGATACAAATCCTGGCTATGCCAGTGATTAACTCTGCGACCTGGGGAAAATTGCTTAGCCTCCCTGAGCCTCAGTTTCCTCAGTTTCTTTATAAGAACAATGCTTTCCACCACACTGGCCTCTAAGTGATGGTAAAGTCTTGTGATGATAAAGTGAAGTTATGTGTATATGATGCATCTCACAGAGCAGCTGGAACATACTAGGCATTTCCTATGTTACTTTATTTCTCTCTCTGCCACATGCACACACACACACACACGCACACACACACCTATCCATTGGTGTGAAAACAAAGTGCTGGCAGAACGGTGCAGTGAGGGAAAAGAATTGGAAAGGAACTAAGCCCATGATTGGAGAGGAGGAATGAAATCAGGGTACCAGTCTGTCTTAGAGTTGCAGTACTGATTGATGTGAAGGCCTTCTCCAACAGAGATGGCCTCAGTCTGTTCTAGTGACCAATCCACCTTGGAGAAAACCCTCATGGTTGCTATCTCTGACTCCTTCCCATCTTCTCTTACCCACAGTCTTTGTTTCTTGCAGAATGAGGATCTGGGCTGATCTTGGATGAAATTGCGTGAAAGGCTCAGTTTGCTGTGGCTCTGCTTTCATGCTTACAGTGCCTTCTCCTCCCAGGTCCAAGGAGAAATTTAGGATTCCCTGACTCACCAGAGCATTTCTCGTCCCTTAGTCTTATTCCTGGGAAGCCCCTGGTGCTGTCCTCAGATCCTCTTTTTCTACCATTAAAACTGCCCAGTTCTATCATTAGAAAAAACCTGATAGTGCAACTTACCGGAAGCTCTTGACTTCCTGAACATAACTTTCTGTAATAACTAATGGTAGGTTTAAGTTATATCCTTCTCAGGAATACTTGCATTTTATCAGTAGACACTTCTAAAAAACAGAATACTAATGTAGAATTTCAGGCAGCATGTCACAGTAGGAAGAGCACTAGATTAGCTATCAGCAAATCTGAGTTCTTCTTTTTGTGTTTTGACCAAGTTACTTTAGGACTTGAGACAAGTATCACTTCCTGTCTGAAATGGTCATGTAATATGTGTTCTACCCTTTCCGGAACATTTCACATCATCCCATATGTCAGCCACTATGCAGCCCATTCCCAGACCAACTCTAATTATTCAAGTACCTAAATGCTCCTGGGCTATGCCATTTTTATTCATGATTACCCCTTTCTGGGCAATAAATTCTGCTTCTTTGCTCTGTGTGGGGAGCTCTGTGTAGCCTAAGGGCCACATTTACCATGGTGTTTGGCTTCTTTTCTATGCAGAAGTTATGGTGCTATGCTACAATGCCATTGGCCACTGCAGGGAAACATTGGTCTCCCTGTTGTTATTTATCAGCTGTGACCAAGTGTCCCAAGTCTCATCTGACAGAGTCTGGGGCATTTCTACCCCCATCTTACCAAAGGAGCACTATTCTTTGTACCACAAAGAATAGTGACTGATTGAAAAATAAAAATAAAAATAAAAGTTGACATACTAGGGGAACTTTGATTTTTAAAAAACGGAGGATTAGTGGAATAAATTTTTTCATAAATCTGTGATAATAGTTTTAAATTCATGTTAGAAAAATAGAGACTTTGGGAAGAAAGATCAGTGTACTCTTAGTACATTTTTCTGTAGAGTAAATCCTGTCCTTTTGAATAGAATGTAATCTAATACATTAAAAAATGTCCTGAGGCTTTTATTTTAAAGGCAGTGATATTGCTACAGGCAAAGTAATTATAACCATTAACTCCTCAAAATGTCAGTGGAGGCTTTGGCATCGAAATCCCAGAGGAATCCCAAATTGCCTAACCAGTTTTAAAATTTTAAGAATTGTATTCTTGGAGGAAAAAAGTACTTAGAGAGGGAACTCAGAAGTCTAAATTTTGCAAGAAAGTCACAATAATTTAAACTTATTTTTCAAAATTCATTCTTATGTTGCTTTGGGGCTTTATCTTTACAGCATGTTTTATATAGTTTGAAAATAATTCACATAGTCCCGGAACTTCAGGAGCAAACCACCATTTAGACTGTATGATTGAGAATACCACTTATTTTTCCATAAAGTGGGGGAAGTATTTATTATTATTATTATTATTATTTTAAATTTCTTTATTTTAATAGCTTTGGGGTGCAGGTGGTTTTTGGTTACATGGATGAATTGTATAGGGGTGAAGTTTCAGATTTTAGTATTCATATCACCTGAGTAGTGTACACTGTACCCAATAGGTAGTTTTTCATCCCTCGCCCCACTCCTACCCTTCCCCCTTCTGAGTATCCAAAGTCCTTTGTACCACTCTGTATGTCTTTGCATACCCACAACTAAGTTCCTGCCCATAAGTGAGAACATGTGATATTTGGTTTTCCATTCTTGAGTTACTTCACTTAGAATCGTGGCCTCCAGCTCCATCCAAGTTGCTGCAAAAGACATTATTTCATTCTTTTGTCTGGCTGAGCGGTATTCAATGATACATATCTATCTATATCTGTATCTATATCACATTTTCTTTATCCACTCATCAGTTGATGGGCACTTAGGTTTATTCCATGTATTTGCAATTGTGAATTGTACTGTGGCAAACATACACATGAAGCTGTCTTTTCGATATAGTACTTCTTTTTCTTTGGGTAGGTATCCAGTAGTGGGATTACTAGATTGAATGGTAGATCTACTTTTAGTTCTTTGAGACACTTCCATACTGTTTCCGATAGAGACTGTACTAATTTACATTCCCAACAGCAGTGTATAAGTGGAGAATATCACTTTCTTATTAACAATCTTTCATCACAAATATTAGTAAAATAAGGCAGATATATTATGAACAAAACTGAAATTTTAAAATAGGAAATAGCTATAACTCAATTATTACTGTCATTAATTACACTTCTTTATGATTTGTTGCCCCATTTAAGTAATGATAAACTGAAATAAAATCAGTGATTAAAATTGAAGTGGGGAAGAAAAATTCATCCATTAACTTTATTAGGCATTTAACTAAATATGAAGGTTGATGTAAAGCAGAGTGAACCACACATGTGACTTACTAGGGACTTCCCTGGTCTTAGCACTGAAAGGCCCATATATGGGAACTTCCTCTGTCCGAGGCAAACCGAGAGGGTTGATTACTCTAAATAAAGTAAAAATGCCTTGTATAATCCTAATCTCAAGAAATCTAGTCTACTAAGGGAGATGAGATAGATATGTGCAATGTGAAGTTTAATAATGAAGTAAGAATTGAATAATAGTACAGTTTTTACTTCACGTTGTTGATATGTTCTTGGAAACTTCGACTTTAAGTGAAACAGTATAGTATAACGAAACCAGTTTTAAATTGACATAAACAAGAATAAGTTCCTACAACATATTTTTGGTCACAAAAACATCACCAAACCTCTAAATAAAGACCCAAAACAGTTCCAATATTAAACAGTGAAATAAATGTGAGCTATAGATACATTTAAGAAAGATGAATAAAAACAAATAAGATAATTTTTATTTGCCTAAATTTAAGGGATACAAGTGCTGTTTTGTTACATGGATATATTGTGTAGCGGTGAAGTCTTGGCTTTCAGTGTATCCATCGCCAGAATAATGTAAACTATACCCATGAAGTAATTTCTCATCACCCATCTCCCCTGCTGCTCCCCACCATTTGGAGTATCCAGTGTCTATCATTCTACACTCTATGTCCACGTGTACACATTATTTAGCTTCCACTTATCTGTGAGAACATGTGGTATTTCATTTTATGTTTCTGAGTTGTTTCATTTAAGACAACGATCTCCAGTTCCATCCATGTTGTTGCAAAAGACATAATTTCATTCTTTATTTTTGGCTGAGTAGTATTCAATTATGTGTATATACCACATTTTCTTTTTTTAACTTTTATTTTAGGTTTGGAGGTACAAGTGAAGGTTTGTTATATAGGTAAACCTCTGTCATAGGGGTTTGCTGTACAGATTATTTCATCACTCAGGTACTAAGCCTAGTACCCAATACTTATTTTTCCTGCTCCTCTCCCTCCTCCCAGCCTCCACCCTCAAGTAGGCCCCAGTGTCTGTTGTTTCCTTCTTTGTGTTCATAAGTTCTCATCATTTAGCTCCCACTTATAAGTGAGAACATGTGGCATTTGGTTTTGTGTTTCTGAGTTAGTTTGCTAAGAATAATAGCCTCCAGCTCCATCCATGTTCCCACGAAAGACATGATCTCGTTCCTTTTATGGCTGCACAGCATTCCATGCTGTATATGTAATCTTTTTCTTTATCCAACCATCCATTGGTGGAAACTTAAGTCGACTCCATATCTTTGCTATTGTGAATAGTAGTGGAATAAACATATGAGTGCAGGTATCTTGTTTATATAATGATTTCTTTTCCTTTTGGTAGATACCAAGTTATGGGATTACTGGATCTAATGGTAGTTCTATTTTTAGTTATTTGAGAAATAGCCATATTGTTTTTCATAGAGGTTGTACTAACTTACATTCCTACTCACAGTGTATAAGCATTCCCTTTTCTCTGTGGCCTCACCAACATCTGTTATTTTTTGACTTTTTAATATAACTATTCTGACTGGTGTAAGATGATACATCACTGGGGCTTTAATTTGCATTTCTCTGATGATTAGTGTGTTGAACATTTTTTTTCATATGCTTGTTGGCCATTTGTATGTCTTCTGTTAAAAAATATTTTTTCATGCCCTTTGCCCACTTTTTATTGGATTTTTAATTTTGTTGTTGCTGAGTTGTTTGAGTTTTTTGTAAATTCTGAAGTTTAGTCCCCTGTTGGATGCATAGTTTGCAAATATTTTCTCCCATTCTGCAGGTTGCCTGTTCACTCTGTTGATTATTTCTTTTGCTGTGCAGAAGCAAAGTCCCATTTGTCTATTTTGTTTTTGTTGCCCATGCTTTTGAGTCTTAGTCATGAATTCTTTGCCTATACCAATGTTTAGGAGAGTTTTCCCTAGGTTTTCTTCCGGTATTTTTAGTCTGGGGCCTTACACTTAAGTCTTTAATCCATCTTGAGTTAATTTTTGCATATGATGAGAGACAGTGGTACAGCATCATTCCACATATGGCAATCAAATTTTCCCAGCACCATTTATTGAAAAGGGTATCCTTTCCTCAGTGTATGTTTTTGTCGACCTTGTCAAAGATCAGTCAGCTGTGCATATGTGGCTTTATTTCTGGGTTCTCTATTCTGTTCCATTGGTCTATGTGTCTATTAAATAGTGCTGTGCTGTTTTGGTTACTATAGCCATGTAGCATAATTTGAAGTGAGGTAATGTGATTCCTCCAGCTTTGTTCTTTTTGCTTAGGACTTTTTTTTGGCTATTTGAGCCTTTTTGGGGGATCTGTACAAATTTAAGGATTTTTTTTCTAATTCTGTGAAAAATGACATTGGTATTTTGATAGGGATTGCATTGAATCTGTAGATTACTTTGGGCAATATGGACAATTTTTTTAAATTTTAACAATATTAATTCTTCCAATCCATGAGCTTGAGACATTTTTCTGTTTGTTTGTGTCATCTACAACTACTTTCATCATCATTGTTTTATAGTTTTCCTTGTAGAGAATTTTCACCTCCTCGGTTAAATATATTCCTAAGTATTTTATTTTATTTGTAGCTATTGTAAGTGGGATTGCCTTCTTGGTTTGGGTTTCAACTTGATTATTCTTGGTGTATAGAAACACTACTAATTTTTGCACATTGATTTTGTATCCTGAAACTTTACTGAATTCATTTATCAAATCTAAGAGTTTTTTGTGGAGTCTTTAGAGTTTTCTATATATGAGATCATATCATCACTGAACAGAGATAATTTCATTTTCTATTTTCCAATTTGGAGGCCTTTTATTTCTTTCTCTTGCCTGATTGCCCTGGCTAAGACTTCTAGTACTATGCTGAATAGGAATGGTGAGAGTGGGCATCCTAGTCGTGTTCCATTTCTTAGGAGGAATGCTTTCAACTTCTCCACAATTATTCTAGTTCAGGGTCGTGCGTGGCTGGAGCCTATCCCAGTAGCTCAGGAAGCAAGGTGGGATCCAAATCTGGCCAGGATGCCATTCCATCACAGGGTGTGTGTTTCTTTCTTTCTTTTCTTTTCTTTCTTTCTTTCTTTCTTTCTTTCTTTCTTTCTTTCTTTCTTTCTTTCTTTCTTTCTTCTTTCCTTCTTTCCTTCCTTCCTTCCTTCCTTCCTTCCTTCCTTCCTTCCTTCCTTCCTTCTTTCTTTCCTTCTTTCTTTCTCTCTCTCTCTCTCTCTCTCTCTCTCTCTCTCTCTCTCTCTCTCTGTCTCTCTCTCTCTCTCTCTCTCACACACACACACTCTCAGATTGGGACCATCTAGACATACCAATTTACCTAACATGCACATCTTTGGGATGTAAGAGGAAACTGGAGTACCTGGAGAAAACCCATGCAGACATAAGGAAAATGTCCAACTCCACACAGACAATTGCAGACAATCCCCAGCTTGGAATTGATATTTTCCTCATCAATCTTACAATGAAATGAGTTTATTTGAAGACCTGCTTTACTGATAACAATGTATTGTCAAAATTAGTACAAGTTATTATTATATAAAGTAATAGTTTTTTAAAATATTGAATCTTGGGAAAGACATTCAGAAGTTGAACACCTACCATGTAGTGAGGTGGTTATTATCTTTCTCAGAAAAATCTTCCTGAGAAAACTGGACTTTAGAGAAATTTAGTAACTTGCACTAGATTACAATGACAGTAAAGGGTTGAGGTGGAATTTGAACTCAGGTCTTTGGATTTTGAAAGTCACAATCTTCTCATTGTCCCAGAAGAATCTGGAGATCACAATCTTAGCTTCTTTTCTTATACCTGAGCAGCTGAAGCCTGAACTAGTAGCCTGTGTAGCATCCTAGAACACTGCAATGACAGAGTTTGGATATAAATCCAAATTTCTTGGCTTACGGTCCAGGGCTGATGATAGCATGTAGTGACAGATCACACGGTGTGGAGTCAGCTACTGCCAGGTCTAACGCCACCTCAGAAAGTTAAGGTTTTAGGAAAATTGTATTCACTAAAATGATGTCAACTCTAGCCTTCTCCCATTTCTGCCCCATCCCACCCCCTCAACAATCCTAACAAAAGTAGCAGCAGGAAGATGAATGTTGATGTGTACTCCCTCTAGGGGCTTCATCTTCTGTATTAGACAGCAGCAGATCAGGAAAACAGAAGCCACTTCAGATATGACAACAGAGAGGAATTTTACAGAGAGTCAGGTTGGTGATTCTCTGGTATTGGAAGGACTGGAGAGTGGAAATGGAGAAGGTGGAATAGCCCAGGAGCCAGTGCTCTTTGGCCTCTACACTCCTGTGTCTCAGCACTGCTATGTAGCCACCTCTGGAGACCCTGGTCATCTGCTGACTGCCACGCTTCTATGAGCCCCCACTCTTCAGAAGGTCTCAAGTATCCAGGGTCACATACTGTCATATGCTGTTGCCACTGCTGTCAAGGGAACCAAACATGTCGTTCCAGGAATCCTTGGTTGCTTGCTTGCTGCTGCCACCATTGCTGCTGCTGCTGCTGCTGCATGCTGCTGCATGCTGCCCTAGCAGCAGAATGGTCTCTACCTTCTTCCTAATTCCTAATCTGCCATGAGTGTCTCCTTTTGGTAGAATCTAAGCAGAATCCAAATGGCAAGGGTATTTAGGATCCTTTCCTTTTCTATTTTGTATTTCTTTTAAGAAAAATCCTCTTTCTCTCATATAAATCTTTTCAAAGGATCAGTTTTTTACTTTATCAATATCCTGTTTTTCATTGATTTTCAGTGTATTTTTATGAGATTTTTAATTTTTTGAATTGAATTCTGTGTCCAATATTCCACATATATGTATGTTTGTATGTATATGTATATATGTGAGCATATATATACATAGACACTACAGTTATAATCCACATCTATAATTCATTTTAGCTATATACCATGTATTTGTTCTATAGTGATTTTAATATTGTCAGATGTTAGTATTTCCTAACATCCCATGAAATCTTAACTCAGATATTATTTAATAATACTCTCTTTAAGGTCCAGACATATGGGATCAGTTAAACTATCTTTTATTATTGACGACTAATTTTCTTTTTTTATTTTATTTTATATTTTTTGTAGAGACAGGGCCTCACTATGTTGCCCAGGCTAGTCTTGAACTCCTAGGCTCAAGCAATCTGCCTGCCTCAGCCTCCCAAATTGCTGCGATTACAGGCACTAGCCACTGTGCCCAGCTGATGACTAATTTTCTAGTCTTATGATTAGAGAAAGCTGTACACATAAGATGTAGATTCTTTGGAATGTATTAAGGCTTCTGTTTGGCCTAGAACATGGTCAACTTTTGTTCCAAATGTGATAAAAAAGCATACGTAAGGCCGGGCGCGGTGGCTCACGCCTGTAATCCCAGCACTTTGGGAGGCCGAGGCGGGCGGATCACGAGGTCAGGAGATTGAGACCATCCTGGCTAACATGGTGAAACCCTGTCTCTACTAGAGATACAAAAAATCAGCCGGTCATGGTAGCGGGCGCCTGTAGTCCCAGCTACTCGGGAGGGTGAGGCAGGAGAATGGCGTGAACCCGGGAGGCGGAGCTTGCATTGAGCCGAGATCATGCCACTGCACTCCAGCCTGGGCGACAGAGCGAGACTCCGTCTCAAAAAAAAAAAAAAAAAAAAAAGCCTACGTATTTTCTGCCTACTTCATAAACATAAATATATGCTGTATATGCACCAAAGTTCACTTCTGCCATAATCCACAATTCCATTTCGACTTTGACTTCAGCTTTTGGGAAGCCCAAATGGTAGAATGCCTATCTAAACATAGTTGCTATCAACTCTGAATTTTGGGATAAATGATTTCCAATCACTCAAGTTACTCTCACATCTAATAACCACATCTATTATATAAATTTGGCACATTGTTTAGATTTGTTTTTAATTTGTTCCCTTTAAAATACAGGTCAGATATTGATATGAACTGTAAGAAAATTACCTCCTTATGTGCTTTATGTATTGAAATTCTAACAGCTGGTTGAGCTATAATTGCATATTTATTATTGAATAAAGTCAATGATGTGATAATAACTGACGATTGTGAAAGCTACTAATTTTATATACAAAATAAATTATTAAGGCATTCCAAATAATTGAGTAAATAAGAAAATAGATTGGTAGTATTTAATCCAAATATTATACGTTAATGCATGATATGGTTTGGCTCTGTGTCCCCACGCAAATCTCACCTTGAGTTGTAATAATCCCCATGTGTCATGGGAGGGGCCTGTTGGGAGGTAATTGAATTATGGGGATGGGTTTTCCCTATGCTGTTTTCATGATAGTGAATAAGCATCACGAGATCTGATGGTTTTATAAAGGGGAGTTCCCCTGCACATACCCTCTTGCCTGCTGCCATGTAAGACGTGGCTTTCTCCTCTTTCACCTTCCACCATGATTGTGGGGCTTCCCCAGCCATGTGGAACTGTGAGTCCATTAAACCTCTTTTTCTTTATAAATTACCCAGTCTGGGGTATGTCTTTATAATATAGACTAATACAGTCCATTAAGAAGATAACGTTAGGAAGAACATTATATCTTTTTTGAGCTAAACTTTAGAAAAATTTAAATAAAATACAAAGCAGAATAATAGAGTTAAAAATAAAATAATTATTTGTCTAATTCAGTTGCATTAGATAGGAAGGAAGGCTTAAGACCTTGAGAAGACATCATCAACAACAATGCTCTGTACAAGATGAGCTAGCCCAAAATCACCTTGCTTCTCCACCAATGTTGATTGTAACTAACTGTACTGGGTTGAATAGTGTCCCTCCAAAAATCCATGTCCACCCAGAACCTCGGATCGTGACTTTATTTATACATAGCGTCTATGCAGATATAATTAAAGATGAGGTCACACTGAGTTAGGGTGGCCTGATGACTGGTGTCTTTATAAAGAGGGCTGTTTGAAGACATACATATACCCACAGAGACAAGATGGCCACATGAAGATGGAGGCAGAGATTGGAGTGATGCAATTATATTACAAGCCAAAGAATGCCAACGATTGCTGGCAACTACCAGAAGCTAGGAGAGAGTCAAGGAGGATTCTCCTCTAAAGCCTTCATGGGGATCATGGCCCTGCTGACATCTTGATTTCAGACCTGTGACCTCCAGAACTGTGAGAGAATATATTTCTGTTGTTTTAAGCTACCCCGTCTGTGGTACTTTGTTGCAGCAGCTTTAGGAAACTAATACATTGAATATCTATTTCATCTCACAATTGTGTATAATAGTCAGTGCAAGAGCAATCTAGTGCTGATAAAGTTAAGAAATTATTTTAGACATTTAATATTAAAGTATAATTTTTCATAATAAAAGTGAAATACTAATTACATTTTATTGAAACCATTTGAGATTTAATTCTTGTGTTCTAGCAGTTCATTCTATGATGACTGATTTTAGGTTTTGGTCAAATATTGGTTTAAATTCTGTTATAACTGATCATTTCTTTATTTGCTTTAGCTATGGGTTTTGGAGAGAGGCTTGTTAACATTGCTAGTTATTGTTATATATATTACAAGTGTCTACGTTTAGGTGTATGTATATATGTTAATGATAGTTAAACCTTCTTGATATGTTTTCTTTTTATGAGTATATAACATCCCCTTTGTGTTTTATGGCATTTTCTTTTTTTGAGATGGAGTCTCGTTCTGTTGCCCAGGCTGGAGTGCAGTGGCTCGACCTCGGCTCACTGCAAGCTCCGCCTCCTGGGTTCACACCGTTCTCCTGCCTCAGCCACCCGAGTAGCTGGGACTACAGGCGCCCGCCACCACACGCAGCTAATTTTTTGTATTTTTAGTAGAGACGGGGTTTCACTGTGTTAGCCAGGATGTTCTCGATCTCCCGACCTCATGATCTACCCGCCTCGGCCTCCCAAAGTGCTGGGATTACAGGCGTGAGCCACCGCGCCCTGCCCACTCCTTTATTTTCAACCTTTATTATTCTTTTAAGTGTGACTTCTGCAGTAACCATGTGGTTAGAATTTTTTTTTTTGTCCAATCTGAAGGTTTTTTTTTTTTTCTGAATGGTAAATTTACCTTTTTACATTTCTTGCAATGAATGTTAAATCTGGACTCATTACTGCCAATTTTTTGCATTTTTTTATTTACTACAATTTCTCTCTGTTTCCCTTTTCTCTCTTTTCTTCATTCAGTTGGATAAATCTTTTTTTTTGTTTGTTTGTTTTCGAGATGGAGTCTCACTCTGTTGCCAGGCTGGAGTGCAGTGGCATGATCTCAGCTCACTGCAACCTCCAACTCCCTGGTTCAAGTGATTTTCCTGCCTCAGCCTCCTGAGTAGCTGGGATTACAGGCATGCACCAGCACGTCCAGCTAATTTTTTTTTTGTATTTTTAGTAGAGACGGGGTTTCACCATGTTGGCCAGGATGGTCTCGAACTCCTTACCTTGTGATCCACCCGCCTCGGCCTTCCAAAGTGCTGGGATTACAGGCGTGAGCCACCATGCCTGGCCTCAATTGGGTAAATCAAATTTTCTTTTACTGGCTTAAAATAATGCATTCTAGTTTTATTTTGGCTATTCTTAATTTTTGTAGACTCATATTTAGGTTTGTTCTCCCCTTTTAGTATTTTTAAAAATTTAAATGTCTATATCTTTTCTTAAAACAAAGCAGGTACTTTATCTCTGGTTCTTCTTATTTCCTCTTGTTTCTTGGCTTCCTCTGGTGACACTGAACACATTCTTCTCCCCTCTATGAATTCTCTAGAGCTGCAGTAAAGGAGGGATATTTCACACCATGCATGCTACTTTGCAATCTTATAGAACCACATATGTTTTGTAACCCAAAACTTAAAATACATAAAATAGACAATGAGTTGCTAGAAAAATAAAGGGAGGGATCAGTAGCCATAAGAACAGTACTTGCTTTCTATGCTTCTTTTCCACTGGAACCATGTTTATAATTTTTTTAACCATGATCAAAATAAAATCATTTTACATTACAACTGGGAACACACATTCATATTAAAAATAAGAAATGAAGCAAACTTTTCATGAAACATTATGTACTATTATGTTTTCCATTCTATTGTACTCCAAACAAACACAACACTTGGCATGACTCGCTACATTGATTTCATGACCCACTCATGTGTCATGACCTGCAGTTTAAAATCATTAACCTAGACAGTGGGATGCTTTAGGAGATACATCCTGTTTTATCCGTTGGCATAGTGTGCATGCTTGACACAGTATATGATTTAATAAATGCGTGTTGCATGAATAAAACAAAAAGCAGGAGAAAAGAGGGGAGACTGCAGCTCAGAAGTTGTAAGGTCTAGGCTCTTCATTTTCTCTTTGTATATTAAACTCAGGTGAAAAAATATATTTAAACATAGGCAGTCAATTATTTCTCTGAGGCAGGAGATGTGAGTTACATGGAAAGAGCCACGTGTTGTGAGTAGAACCTGCGTGCAAGTAGATGCTACTTGTGGAGCATCATTGAGAGAACATAGTGTATCAGCCCAGCCCCTAATAATGCCACCACTATCATCTAGCTTTCTGGGAGTCCCTCATCTGAACGCAAACACTATTAAGAGAAAACTGTAAACGATCTCAGACATTTATCTGGAAGAACAATTGAAAACTGGGGAGGTAGATGAAGACCAGAAGGAAAGGAAGGGGTTAATGGAAGAAATGAAAATTGTTTGGTATGTTTTGCTGTTTTGCCTGCTGGTTTTATGAGATTCTTGTAAATATTTTTCCATTCCTGTTTTAGCGCTGGCTTCACTCTTGATTGCTTAGAATGATTGGTTGTGATGTGGGGAGCAAGTGACAGGAGTATGTATAAGGCTGATGAGGAGCCATGGTTTTCACAGTGGCTGTAGAGTGAACACTGATGCAGAGGCATCTCCACGGTGTTTGTCAACTGTGGCAGCAGTAGTGGCTGCTGATAATTATGATGAAAAGTTATACATTGTACTTATTTAAGCCTCAGAAGTCCTGTAGTGTAGATGTATGTTTTTGGGTGGTTGCAATTTATTTACTCTCCCCCACCTCCCAGTTTTATATAGAAATCAAGAAAAACACTGAAGCTACAAACTAGTGGTTGGCGAGATGTTGAAAAGACTTCAAGATTGATATTTATTTGATTTCAAGTAACTCAAACACAAGCTTACTTTATTTCAGAACGGTGTGCCAACAAGAATTCTATCATTGTCTGATGAATGAACCAAGCTATAACTTTATACTATTCTTACTGGGGTTTATTGATTCAACATACCTGTGGCAATGTCTATAGTGCTCACCAAATAGTTCATGTGCTTCCTTTATTTTCCAGTCTCCCTGGTGGTTAAATTGAGGTTGTGCAACTATTTCTGGCCAGTGGGCTGTGAGTGAAATGATGTGTGCAATCTCCATTCTGAAGCATTTAAAAGTCAGTGTGACACTGTCAAACTCATTCTTCCCTCATCTCAGGGCCCATGGGGGCTATATGTTGAAATGTTGGAGTCACAAGATGTAAGAAGCCTTGATTTCTGAGTCATTGCATGGAGGAAATACCTTGAAACATCTTTTTATCTGAATCAGTCTCTGTGGGAGTGATAAATAAACTTTTGCCACTGAAATTTGGGGGTTTATTTTTTACTACAGTACAGTTTATCTTATTCTGACTAAGCTAGGTACTTTGCTAGGTACTAGGGATAGAGAGATTAATAAAATATAATCCATGCCAGTAAAGAATTCCATCTGTTATAGGAGATAAGTACATACTCTTACCATTATAATACAATGAAATAAGTGCTATGATAGAGATAGACAGGGTTGAGTGGGTTTACTCAGATGCAGCACCTATCCCTGACTGGGGTGGGGGTTGGAAAGTCCTCCAAGCAAGGTGACATATAAGCTAGGTAAAAAATTAAGAGAAGGGTGTCTAGGTGAGAATAAGCTGTATGTGCAATGATAGAGCAAGGCACATTTGAAGAGCTGTAAGTAATTCTGTGCAACTAGAGCATCAAGTTGCTGGGTGTGGGGTGTGGAGTGATGAAAGATGAGGCTGGAGAGATAAATGAGGATGGATGATAAATACTGTTGGACTCTATTCTAAGGGGGGTTGGAATTCATCCTAGTGAAAGATTAAAGCATTAGTCAAGAAGGGATATAATCAGATCTATGATTTCTAAAGATCACTCCAGCAATAGAGAAAAGAGAAGAGAGCCACGGACCAACAAGGTCTCAGGAACCCAAGGGGAATATCAATATTTGAACCACCAGCAGAAGAAATATGTGGCAGAGATTACAAAAGAGGAATCAGGCTAAGACAAAAAGCAAAACAGAATGTGAATGCAGTATCCAAGGGAGTTGAGGTTTCAAGAGGAAAGTTGCTTTCCAAAGAATTAAAGTACTCTAATAGCATAAGAGAAATTACAGTGAAGTGGAGAGGCGTGGTTGAAGTCAAATTTAATAAGTGGAGGAGTGAATAGGAGTAGAGAAAGTAAAGTCAGTAAAAAAGGTTCTTCTAATAAAAGTCCCGAGTGAAGAGAAGGAAAGCCCTGTGGCTATTACTTGAGAGAGACAAAGTATAGAAGGAGTTTATTTCTATGTCTGAATGTCCTTCAACCAATCTTCCACAAGGGAATTGTTCACTCTGTAAAACACACACACACACAGAAACACACATATACACACACCCAATAAAGAAAAGAAAAACTATTGTTATAAACCCGAACCTCTCATTTAATTTCTTCTTTAGCTTTGTTGCAGAAAACCACAAATCTAGAGGATTCTAATTCTTCTTTTGGATATTACTATATTTAGGTACCTGGATATTGATTAGGAATGTCACAGAAATTATGGGCTTGTACCATTAAAGATTTATGGTCTCCAAATCAGCTGGGCTAGATTAGCCATTCAACCATTTCTTTCTTCTCCCACAGTCAAAGTCATTGGTGATGGCTGGCTGAAGACCTTGTAAGCACAGAGAGATCTAATGTTCACTTCGAGGAGTTTGTGCTGCTACAGAGGGAACCCTCCTTCTGTTTCCCAAGATCTTCAGAAATGCCTACTAAATATACAAATTACTCTGTGGGAGTGAGGTGTTTTGAAGGTATGAAAGAAGGAATTGAGTTTCATGTCTGGATTAATGTGGTACAGAAAACATGTAGTATCTGTCGGATGGGAAAATAAGTCTACAAACTAAGTTGAGTTGGCATAAGCAGGAAGGAGCTCAGAGATGGAGATGGCCATGAGAATGCAAGTTGTGCATTTGAAAGTCACAAAGGTCCACAAAGTTCTGTGGAAGGACTTTGAGAATGCACAGCACATGAAATAAATAGTCCAAGTTTATCTTAATAGGCCCTAAAGAGATAGCGAGATCTCAACTGATACCTGCAAACACTTCCCCACTCCCACCCCCATGTCCCACAGAAGTTTGTGTGTGTGTTTCTTTTCCAAATGTGCGTAGATGGAATTCTACAAGGGCAATTTCTTCCAGTTAGTGAGAGCAGGGCCAGGGACTAGTACTCTTTATGCTAAACACTTCTGTATTATTTTGTGATTTATTTATTAATTGTTAAACAATTATGGAAATACACAAATGTTTATTTAATATTAAATAAATTACTTATGATTTATTATGAGCATATATTTCTTTTGTAATTAAAAAAGGAATGAAAGTTTGGAGTAGAAGGCAGTAAATGGCTAGCTCAGTGAGTGTCCCAATTGGATTTAAGAGAGAAGGGACAGCTCTCTTTTATGTAGAGAGATCAGGAATGGCTTTGCAGAAGAGCTGGGATTCAGGTTGTGCCCTAAAGCACAGGCAGGATTTGAATAAGCAGAGTGCTTGAGAGAGACTTTTCCAAGTGGGGCAAAGAATGTTGGCAATGGCAAGGAGTGTGAAAGTAAGGGGACAAAAGGAGGTAAGGGGTGAGAGTGGAAGGGGAAGCCTGCTTTAGCTGTCTTTCTGCTTTCATCTCATGATTTGGGAAATATCTTGCTGTAATTACTCTTTCCTATTGTTTTCTCTTTCTGTTTTTTTTTATTTCTCCTTCCCTCCCAACAAACCTTTCATCTTTTCTTCCTAAAGTTTATTTTTTATTAATACCGCCATGCTTCGTCACTTATCCCTCCAGTCTTGAGTCAATCCCCTTCTTCCTTCCTTCCTTCTTTCTTTCCTTTCTTCCTTCCTTCCTTTCTTCTCCCCCTCCCTCCCTTTTTCCTTCCCTCCTTCTTTCTTTTTTCTTATTTTATTGTTGGAAGTAGCACTTCTGTACTAACACAAAATAAGTTTCCCTGCTCTGGTCTGATACATTTACAAAAATGAATTTCTCTGAAAAAATGAAAAGTAGATGGATTTTGGTCTGTTTGGAGGAATGCCAGAATGGAAGAAACAAATCATTATTACAACACCACTGTTTTCCAGTTTGCTGTAGATTATGTTTCTTCCTCAACCTCTGAGAAGCATCATGTTTGAGGAAATCAAGTTGAACAGTCAGCACAGTGCTAAGGGGATAAATCTCAGTAGCTGAGCAGCCCAGGTAATTTCCTTCTTTTCTATCGTCCTACAGTTGGTCATCTAGAAATGTCCTTGAGTCAGGAGGTGGACCAGGGTAGGGAATGAGAAGTGAATAACACACATCTGTCCTTATATATGGGAGAAGAACCCACAGGGTTTGACCCTCTTAGAATTTCATGACCAGCATCTTGGCATAAAGACATCCTTGGTCAAAGATATTTTAGTCTAAACAACTGCCAAGAGTGGCAGAGATTCTGGGTGTATCCAGGGAACGGAGAGAGAATTAGATTAGGAAATGGAGCCCTATGGTTCGTTCTCTGTTCTGTCTCAAGTGTGCTTTGGGCAAAGAAATAAAAAGGTGATGGGAAGGTCCAGTTTTGACCATGTGCTGGGCCTTGTGCCGTCACATATGAAACCCTCAACCACTCTGTGATAGAGGTGTTAGTGACTCCAGCAGAGGAGACACCACAGATCAGGGAGTTGAGGAAGCCCTGGAGCATTTCCAAGGTGGTCACTGATGACCTGAGATTAGCACTCACGTTATTCTGATGCTAAAACTTATGTTTTCTTTATACCATGCTTCCTCACTTATCCCTCCAGTCACAATTTTCTGATCTGAAAATAAGAAACATGGGAAACTCTAAGTCCCCTTCCATCTCCAATATTCAGTGGTTTCATAAGTTAGCAAATTCTCTGCCCTTTGCTGAAGGAGTCAATCACTGGCTCTACTTACTGAATGGAAAGCTTTAAATGAACGCTTATTTTGGGGTCGCATCTCTTTAGATGTCTTCTGCTCCATTTTTTCTTTTATTTTCATCTTTAGACAAAATTGATGAAGTTTGTCAACAGAACTTTACCCCTTTAAAATTTGCGTGGAGATTCATTGCATTGGGCTATGATTTAATACAATAATTTTAAATTTGGTTGCTTGAAATCCCAGAAAAGTGCCAGATACAGAATCCATTTCCATAATTCCTTGGAACAGAAACTGTGCTGCTGCTCTTGTCTTAACAAGCCTATCTCTCCAGCAGGAGAAATGCAACTATGGAAGCTGAAAGAGTCTGAAAGTGTGAGCTCCAGTGTGCTTAGGCATTGAGCATGACTCTTGGCAGAAAAACACTTTGCAGATAGGGAATTAAGACCAATTAACAAACTCAGTGAGTGAACCACTGCTTGACTACTGTTGGAAAGGTGACATAAAGGCATTGAGACAGCTTTGATCAGAGATATGATCTTTGAGACCTCTGGCAGGCTCATTACTTTCATTATTTGCATTTGTTTGTAGCCAGTAGACATCAGTTCAGATGGTCTTCATATGTCTTTTTGATATAAGTGGATGTTAGGAAAGAATCAGTAGGCATAAAAGAGGCCACTGGTTTAGTTTCTGAGCATGTCTCAGTTGGGTCCACAGGGCTGCTATTTCTGGGGTAAAGTACTTATCAGAGGAAGCCCTGGGTTTCTTATTTCACATTGATTTTCATGTGGTACTTGCTGTTTACGATAGGAAATGCTAAAAATCCAGCCTGACAAACTATGACATCATTGAAAAGAATGTAACAATCCGATGATGAAACCAAATTATCTCAAGGTAGTAGTTCACATGGTATCTGATAGACGCCACAGTGTTTCACAAGAAAATTAAAAATATCCCATGGTGCCTCTATCAATTTGCTGTGGCGCCTGGGATACATTGGCACATAGTTTGAAAACCTCTGGGATGTCCACCGGTTCTAGAATTTGGATGTTTGTCCCCACCAAAACTCATTTTGAAATTTGATTCCCTGGCCGGGCGCTGTGGCTCACACCTGTAATCCCAGCACTTTGGGAGGCTGAAGCGGGCAGATCACCTGAGGTTGGGAGTTCGAGACCAGCCTGGCCAACATGGAGAAACCCCATCTCTACTAAAAATACAAAATTAGCCAGGCGTGGTGGTGCATGCCTGTAATCCCAGCTACTCGGGAGGCTGAGGCAGGAGAATCACTTGAACTCAGGAGGCGGTGGTTGCGGTGAGCAGAGATCACGCCATTGCACTCCAGCTTGGTCAACAAGAGCGAAACTCTGTCCAAAAAAAAAAAAAAAAGAAAGAAAGAAAAGGAATTTGATTCCCAATGTGGGAGGGAGGTGGGGCCTAGTTGGTGATGTTTGAGTCATGGGGGCAAATCTCTCATGAATAGATCAATGACCTCCCACAGGAGTGAATTCTTGCTTTCCTGGGGATGGATTAGTTCTCATGAAAGCAGGCTGTTAAAAAGTCTAGCTTCCTTGGTTTCTCTTTCTTGCTTCCTCCCTCACAATGTTATCTGTCTTCTGCCTTACTGACTGTCCCTTTGTCTCCAATCAGCAAATACACAGCGTTGGGCGATTCCAAGAAAGTACGTTGTATGTAAATGCAATTCATCAGTGCCTGGCTGATAGCAAGTTCTCAAAAAATGCTAATTGTTATTATTATTATTTTTTTGAGATAGTGTTTCTCTCTACATTGCTCAAGCTGTTTCTGAACTCCTGGGCTCAGCCCAGCAAGTAGCTGAGATTACAGGTGTGAGCCATTGTAAATAGCCTGGCTGTCATTATCATCACCACTCTTTTTTTGATATTTTGATTTTTAATTGTTGTGGGTACATAGTAGGTGTGTATGTTTATGGGGTTCATAAAATATTTTGGTACAGGCATGCAGTGCATAATAGTCACATCATGCAAAATTGGATATCCATCCATTCAGGCATTTCTATTTTGTATTACAAACAATTCAATTATATACTCTTTTAGTTATTTTTAAACGTAAACTTAAATTATTATGGACTATAGTCCCCCTGTTGTGCTATGAAATACTAGGTCTCATTCATTCTTTCTAACTATTTTTTTGACACCTTAACCATATCCTGTCCTTCCCCCCACCACCAATTTTCCTCCCAGCCTCTGGTAATCATCCTTCTATTCTCTATCTCCATGAATTCAACTGTTTTGATTTTTAGATCTCACAAATAAGTGACAGCATGCGATTTTTGTCTTTCAGTCCGTACCTTATGTCACTTAACATAATGACCTCCAGTTCCATCCATGTTATTGCAAATGACAGGATCACATTCTTTTTTTATTACTGAATATTACTCCATTGTGTAAAAGTACCATATTTTCTTTATCCATTCATCTGTTGATGGACACTTAGGTTGCTTCCAAATGTTGGCTATTTTGAACAGCGCTGCAACAAACAGGGGAATGCAGATCTCTTCAATATACTGATTTCCTTTCTTTTGGATATAAACCCAGCAGTGGGATTGCTCAATCATATAGTAGCTCAATTTTTAGTTTTTGGAGGAACTTCCAAATTATTCTGCATAATGGTTCTACTAATTTTCATTCTCACAAACAGCGTACAAGGGTTCCCTTTTCTCCACATCCTTGCCAGCATTTGCTATTGCCTGTCTTTTGGATATAAGATATTTTAACTGGGGTGAGATGCTATCTCATTGTAGTTTTCATTTGCATTTCTCTGATGACCTGTGATGTTGAGCACCTTTTTATATAACTGTTTGCCATTTCTGTGTCTTCTTTTGAGAAGTGTCTATTCATTTATTTTCCCCATTTAAAATCGGATTATTAGACTTTTTTCCTACAGACTTGTTTGAGCTCCTTATATAATCTGGTTATTAATCACTTGTCAGATGGGTAGTTCGCAAATATTTTCTTCCATTTTGTGGGTTGCCTTTTTCACCTTGTTGAATGTTTCATTTGCTGTGCAAAAGCTTTTTAACTTGATGTGATCCCATTTGCCCAGTTTTTGCTTTGGTTGCTTGTGCCTGTGGGGTATTATTCAAGAAGTTTTTGCCCAGACCAATATCCTGCAGAGTTTCCCCAGTACTTTCTTTTAGCAGTTTCATAGTTTGAGGTCTTAAGTCTTTAATCCACTTTGATTTGATTTTTTATATGACAAGAGATAGGGGTCTAGTTTCATTCTTCTGTGTATGGATATCAGTTTTCCCAGCCCATTTATTGAAGAGACTATCTTTTCCCTGATGTAGGTTCTTGACACCTTTGTCAAAAATGAACTCAGTGTAGGTGTGTGGATTTGTTTCTGGGTTCTTTATTCTGTTCCATTGGTCAATGTGTCTGTTTTTATGCCATTATCATGCTGTTTTGGTTACTACAGCTCTGTAGTATAATTTGAAGTCAGGTAATGTGATTCCTCCAGTTTTGTTCTTTTTGCTTAGGATAGCTTTCTTTTCTCTTGCTGCTTTTAGGATCTTTTCTTTATCCTTGACATATGGGAGTTTGATTATTAAATGCCTTGAGGTAGCCTTCTTTGGGTTAAATCTGTCTGGTGTTCTCTAACCTTCTTGTACTTGGATATTAATGTCTTTCTCTAGGTTTGGGATGTTCTCTGATATTATCCCTTTGAATACACTTTCTACCCCTATCTCTTTTTGTAGCTCATCTTTAAGGCCAATAACTCTTAGATTTGTCCTTTTGAGCCTATTTTCTAGATATTGTAGACATGGTTCATTGCTTTTTATTCTTTTTTCTTTGGTCTCTTCTGACTGTGTATTTTCAAATAGCCTGTCTTCAAGCTCACTAATTCTTCTGCTTGAACAATTCCGCTATTAAGAGACTCTGATGCATTCTTAAGCATGTGAATTGCATTTTTCAACTCTAGAATTTCTACCTGATTACTTTTATTTATTTTAATCTGATTGTTAAATTTATCTGATAGAATTCTGAATTCCTTCTCTGTGTTATCTTGAATTTCTTTGAGTTTCCTCAAAACACCTATTTTGAATTCTCTGTCTGAAAGGTCATATATCTCTGCTTCTCCATGATTGGTCCCTGGTGCCTTACTTAGTTAATTTCTTGAGTTCATGTTTTGCTGGATGGTGTTGATGCTTGTAGGTGTATATCAGTGTTTGGGCATTGAAGAGTTAGGTATTTATTGTAGACTTCACAGTCTGGGCTTTTTGTGCCTGTCCTTCTTGGGAAGGCTTTCCTGGTATTCAAAGAGACTTAGGCCCCAAGCCCAATAATATTGTGGCTTTTGCAGACTCCCAAAGGTACCACCTTGGCGGTCTTCGATTAAATCTGAAAGAATTCTCTGGATTGCTAGGCAGAGGGTCTTGTTATTTTCCCTTACTTTCTCCCTAACAAATGGAGTCTCTCTGTGCTGAGCTACCTTGAACTGGGGGTGTGGTGATGCAGGCAGCCCCGTTGTCACCACCACTGGGACTGTGCTGGTTCAGACCTGAAGCTACCACAGCCCTGGGTCTTGCCCAAGGCTCTTCCCTTCAGGGCAGTGAGTTCCCCCCAGATTCTGGGCATGTTCAGAGATGCTGTCTGGGAGCCAGGGATTACAATAAAAAACCTTAGCAATTTACCTGATGTTCTAGTCTACTGTGGCTAAGATGGCCCTCAAATCACAATAACATCTTTCCCTTTCTTCCCTGCTCTTCCATAGGCAGAAGAGCCTCTCACTGTGGCCACCACCACCACTGGTTCAAGGGGGGTTCTGCCAGGCCCCTGCCAATATTCACTTAAAGTCAAAGGGCTCTTTTGTCAGCCTGTGCTGAATACTGCCAGGCCTGGGACTCCCCTTCAGGGAAGTGAGCTCCCCTCTTTCCCAGGGCAGGTCCAGAAATGCCGTCCAAGAGCCTAGGCCTGGACTTGAAGACCCCAAGAGCCTACTTGTTCCTCTACTCCACTGTGGATGAGCTGGTACCTAGGGTACAAGAAAAAGCCCCCTTTACTTTTTCCTCTGCTTTTCTCAAATGGAAGGAGTCTTTCACTGTAGCCACCAAAGCTGGGAATGTGATGGGTCACCCCTGAAGCCAACATGTTTCAGAGTCCAGGGCCACAGCATACTCCCTGGGAATCGTTGCTGGTTATTCAGGGCCCAAGGGCTCTTCAGTCAGCAGGTAATGAATCCTATCATCTCCACTCTTTGACAATACAAGAACAGATGAACACAAACTTCCAACACCCTGATCATATATGTCCTTATCATGCACAGGGGCACTTTTGGTTTCTTCCCCGATGGATAAGAAAAATGATTCACTGGGAATTTGGGAAAGCAGAGAATCTGACAGATGGATTGTCTGAAGGTGAGAACATGGCCAGGCTAACCTCCACTTGGTGATGCATATTTGAGCAGACATCACCCGCCCCTTTTCATCATCCCTCTCTTCTGGTGTTTTAGCTCTGCCAGGAGCAGTTACACAGATTGGGAGTCATGTAAAGATCTACAGAGAAGAATGGCAGGAAGAAGACAAGGTGGGACCTGGGTGAAACAGTGGCCAAAAAGGACACAATACCAAATAGAACACAGATGCAGTTGGCATACCAAGAGATAGATGGCTTTGGGCATAAAGACTTTTGGGGGTAGGCAGAAATAAATGAAGATGTTTTGATATATCCTCCTACTAAACAATAATTTATATGAATCACTAATAATTACCTGATGATATAACATATAAGTACGTGATTATTTATATGAGGATATAAATTGATATGTTATCTGTAATTTTCTGCCTAGAACCACTATACTATACCCATTAGGCTGGGAATTGGGAAACTTTCTTTTCTGAACTCTATTGATAATTAGTTATATGGCCTTAAACAAAATACTGACTTTTTAAGAATACAATTTCCTTCTCCATAAAGTAAAAACAAATTTGTAGACCATTTTCTGGAATTTATACTGGATCCTAAATATGCAATTATTTCATTTAAGGAATCTTGTCATTCATTGATTTCTTTACTTGTTTTTCAAAAAATTATTGATGGAATTATTTCTATGTCATCAGATTTGTAGTTGATTGCAGGGATGAAATGGTGAATACAATGGCGAGGTAAAAGAGAGGCCCTTGTCTTGGAGCAGACTAGGGTGAGGGCATTCTCATCTTTTTCTTTCAGGAAGCTGTCTTAGTCTTTGGAGAAGAGACTGGGCATGATAGATGAGAAATGTTAGCAACATCGGCAAGGTGGTGAATGATCCTCAAAAAAATGGCACCCAGACTACCCCCCTGGGGACTGATGCACTTCTGAGAGTGAAAACCTATTGTCTAAAGCATGATTTTTGGTATTCATTAGATCTGGGTGTCTTTAGATAGCACTCATTTGGTAATGGAATTCAGTGTTGGGATGGTAAAATTCATTCAAAAGATAGTAGCAAGCAAGGCAGTGTTAGTTGCTTACCAAAATCCATGTGCTCTTTTCCTTCCCAAGCACACAAGTAGGCTACATTTTCCAGCATGCTT
Source organism: Homo sapiens (assembly GCF_000001405.40). Lineage (NCBI taxonomy): Eukaryota > Metazoa > Chordata > Mammalia > Primates > Hominidae > Homo > Homo sapiens. The sequence goes on from NC_000023.11 coordinate 20,691,520, forward strand.
TGCAGGTAGAAGTAGTTATGTAACTTCTAGCCAATGAAATATGAGCAGGATAGCCTGTGAACAATTCCTATATACACTCCTCCATGCTCTTTCTCTTTCTGTCACAGGGTAGACAACCATAGAAACCTTGAGAGTCACATACTGAAGATGACAGAGCCACAGGATAGAAGGAGCCTTGGTTCCTGAATCATGTCTTGGAAGATCTATTATATTAGTTAATGTTCTTCAGAGAAACAGAACCAATAGGATATGTGTGTGTATCTGTGTATGTATGTCGGTGTATATACATATATATGTATATATACAAAAATATATATACATATATATGCAAATATATACATATACACATATATACATATGTCTGTCTATATATTTATATATGCACACACATACGTATGTGTTTGGAAGAGATCTATTTATTTGTTTATTTATTGATTGATTTTAAGAAACTGGCTTATGCTTTTGTGGAGGCTGGCAGTCCAAAACCTGCAGAGGTAGGCCAGCAGGCTGGAGACCCAGGAAAGAGTTGATGTTGCAGCTCAAGTATAAGGGCGGTCTGCAGTAGAATTCCCTCTTTCTTGGGGGAAGTCAGTCTTTTTCTCTTAAGGCTTTCAACTAATTGAGTGAGGCCCACTTATGTTATGGAGCATAATGTGCTTTATTCAAAGTCTCCTGATTTAAATATTAATCTCATTTTACAAATACCTTTATAGCAACATCTAGACTAGTATTTGACCAAACATCTGGGCACTTTGATTTAGCCAAGTTGACACATAAAATTAACCATCACAGAAGAAAACCACCTGTTGATTAGGGGCAGCTCTTTTAGAACATAGATTTTTGAAAAATGACTTCTATAGCATCTGAGCCATTTTACTTATTCTTGTTATCAGCAGCTAGCATTACCTTAACTAATAAACTACAAAAAACCCATCAATTACTTTTTGTAATTTCAGTTTACTTATTTGCAAACACTTTGGTTTTGCACTGGCTCCCTGATGTGTAGGACTAGGAAAGGGGCAATTTTATAATTCTAATAAATAATAATGATGATGATTTGTTGGATCCCACCCTGGGAATGTATTAAACACCTCCGGGGTGACATTATCTCCTGTGGGTCACCAATAGGCACAAAGAAGCAGTCTGTTACTAATTGGTAGCCTAGTGGTTCCAGGAAGTTAATGCACCTTCTAAAGTGATTTGCTCCTATAGAGTAATTGATTTATTGGCATTCCATGTCTTAATGTTTGTGAAGCCCTTGGTGCTAATCAGAATAAACATGCTGAACTAATCTTTACTAAACTGCCAACAACATTTTACATGCCCCACTTTTAAAGGCAAGGCTTCCAAATTCAGTAATTTACAGTATGTTTTACTGCAGATGAAAGCATTTATTTTTCTGATGTGAATTGTTGTGAAGGGTAATATTTTCCACAGGAAGGTGATGATATACATAACAAAAACAAATCAGTGACCAAAATGCCTAATTATTTAAAGACAAATGTGGAGGCTTAAACAGGAAGATGGTGGATAGGAGGCAGGACTAGCTTGTAGCTCTCACTCAGATGGACAGGGCAGCATGTGGAGATTCACGGTGTGAACTTTTGCTCCAAGAACTATTGCAGGAATATACCAGGAAAGCCTGAAAAATCCACAGACCCTTTGAAGGAACTGGATCACCACTGCAGGCTCCCTGGGACACTAAAAAACTGTGAGTCAGCTTGCTTTCTCAACAGGGAGGCTCGTGATCTGGTGCAAGGTCTCAGCCTTGGTCACCAGCTGCCTGGAAATAGACTCAGTGCTGTTGGGGAGGGCATGGTGGGAATGAAAATGGCCAGTAGGCCTGTGGGCTGCAAGGGAGCAGGGTGAGGCCTGTGACTGCAGGCTTTCCCCCACTTCCATGGTGACCTGTATGACTCAGCAGAGACAACCATAATCCCCTTGAGAGTATAATTCCATTGGACTGGGAACCATACCCCTGTCCCCCACAGCAGCTGCAGCAAGCCCCGCCCAAGAAGAGGCTGAGCTCAGACATGCCTATTCTGGGCCCCCACCTGGTGGTCCTTCTCTACCTACCCTGGTAGGTGAAGACAAAGGTCATAATCTCTTCAGAGCTCTATGGCCCTGCCCACCACCCAAGAAACCTGAATACTTAACTAGGTGTCCCTAGGGCATCTTCTCTATAGGACCACAGCTGATGCACTCTTGAAAGTGCCACCTCCTGGCTGGAGGCCAACCAACACAAAACCAGCACACTAAACAAAAACACAACCAAGGACCCTCACAGATTCCACCTCGCTCCCCTGCCAGCTCCACAGGAGCAGGTGCTGATATCCATGGCTGCAAGACCTGAAGACAGATCATATCACAGGACTCTGCAGACACTCCCCAGTACCAGCCTGGAGCCTGGTAGCTCCACTGGGTGGCTAGACTCAGAAGAGCAAAAACGATCACTACAGCTCAGCTCTCAGGAAGCCCCATTCCTAGGGGAAGGGGGAGAACACCACATCAAGGGAACACCCCATGGGACAGAAGAATCTGAACAGCAGCCCTTGAATCCCAAATCTTCCCTCTGACATAGTCTACCCAAATCAGAAGGAATCAGAAAAAATAATTCTGGTAATATGATGAAACAAGGTTATTTAACACCCCCAAAAGATCATACCAGCTCACCAGCAATGGATCCAAACCAAGATGAAATCTCTGAATTACCAGAAAAAGAATTCAGAAAGCCGATTATTAAGCTAATCAAAGAGGCACCAGGGAAAGGTGAAGTCCAACTTAAATAAATCAAAAACATGATATAGGATATGAAAGCAAAATTCTTGAGTGAAATAGATAGCAGAAGTAAAAAAAAATCACAACTTCTGGAAATCAAGGATACTCTTAGAGAAATATAAAATAAATTGGAAAGTCTCAGCAATAGAATTGAACAAGCAGAAGAAAGAACCTCAGAGCTTGAAGACAAGGCTTTTGAATAAATCCAATCTGTCAAAGACAAAGAAAAAAGAATAAAAAGAAATGAACAAAGCCTCCAAGAAGTTTGGGACTATGTTAAACATCCAAACCTAGGAATAATTGGTGTTCCTAAGGAAGAAGAGAAATCTAAAAGTTTGGAAAACGTATTTGAGGGAATAATAGAAGAAAACTTCCCTGGCCTTGCTAGAGATCTAGATATCCAAATACAAGAAGCTCAAAGAAGACCTGGGAAATTCATCACAAAATGATCATTGCCTAGGCACATAGTCATCAGGTTATCTAAAATCAAGACCAAGGAAAGAATCTTAAGAGCTGTGAGGCAAAAGCATCAGGTAACCTAAAAAGGAAAACCTATTATCAGATTAACAGCAGATTTCTCAGCAGAAACTCTGCAAGCTAGAGGCCATTGAGGACCTACTTTTAGCCTCCTTAAACAAAACAATTATTAGCCAAGAATTTTGTATCCAGTGAAACTAAGCTTCATAAATGAAGGAAAGATACAGTCTTTTCCAGACAAACAAATGCTGAGAGAATTTGCCACTACCAAGCCAGCACGACAAGAACTGCTGAAACGAGCTCTAAATCTTGAAACAAATCCTTAAAATACACCAACATAGAACCTCCTTAAAGCATAAATTTCATAGGACCTATATAACAATAACACTATACTGTACTGTACTATACTATACTATACTATACTATACTATACTATACTATACTATACTATGCTGTACTATATAAAACAAAAAACACAAGGTATTCAGGCAAAAAAATAGCACAGTGAATAGAATAGCACCTCACATCTCAATACTAACATTGAATGTAAATGGCCTAAATGCTCCACTTAAAAGCTATGGAGAGGCAGAATGGATAAGAATTCACCAACCAAGTTTCTGCTGTCTTCAGGAGACTCATCTAACACAAAAGGACTCACATAAACTTAAGGTAAAGGGGTAGAAAGGATTTTCCATGCAAATGGACACTAAAAGCAAGCAGGAGTAGCTATTCTTATATCAGAAAAAAAAAAACAAACCTTAAAGCAACAGAAGTTAAAAAAGACAAAGAAGGACATTATATAATGATAAAAGGACTAGTCCAACAGGAAAATATCACAATCCTAAACATATATGCACCTAACACTGGAGCTCCTAAATTTATAAAACAATTACTACTAGATGTAAGAAATGAGATAGATGTCAACACAATAATAGTGGGGGACTTTAATACTCCACTGACAGCACTAGACAGGTCATCAGGACAGAAAGTCAACAAAGAAACAATGGACTATACCCTACAACAAATGGACCTAACAGATATTTATAAAACATTCTACCCAACAACTGCAGAATATACGTTCTATTCATCAGCACATGGAACATTCTCCAAGATAGACCATATGATAGGCCACAAAACAAGTCTCAGTAAATTTAAGAAAATTGAAATTATATCAAGTACTCTCTCAGACCACAGTGAAATAAAATTGGAAATCAACTCCAAAAAGAACCCTCAGAACCAGGCAAATAATGGAAATTAAATAGCCTGCTCCTGAATGATTGTTGGGTCAACAATGAAATCAAGAAGGAAATTTAAAAATTATTTGAATGGAATGATAATAGTGACACAACCTATCAAAACCTCTGGGATACAGCAAAAGTGGTGCAAAGAGAAAATTTCATAGCAATAAACACCTACATCAAAAAATCTGAAAGAGCACACGTAGACAATCTAAGGTCACACCTCACAGAACTGGAGAAACAAGGACAATCCAAACCCAAACCCAGCAGAACAAATGAGATAACAAAGATCAGAGCAGAACTAAATGAAATTCAAACAAAAAAAATACAAAAGGTAAATGAAACAAAAGCTAGTTCTTTGAAAAGATAAATAAAATTGACAGACCATTAGCAAGATTAACCAAGAAAAGAAGAGAGAACATCCAAATAAGCTCAATTAGAAAAGAAATGAGAGATATTACAACTGATACCACAGAAATACAAAAGATTATTCAAGGTTACTATGAGCACCTTTACATGCATAAACTAGAAAACCTAGAAGAGATGAATAAATTCCTGGAAATATACAACCCTCGTAGATTAAATCAGGAAGATATAGAATCTCTGAACAGACCAGTAACAAGCAGTGAGATAGAAATGGTAATTTAAAAAATGCCAACAACAACAAAAAAGTCAAGGACCAGACAGATTCACCACTGAATTCTATCAGACATTCAAAGAAGAATTGGTACCAATCCTATTGACACTATTCCAAAACAGAGAAAGAGGGAATCCTCCCTAAATCATTCTATGAAGCTAGCATCACCCTAATACCAAAACCAGGGAAGGACATAACAAAAAAAGAAACTACAGACCAATATCCCTGATGAACATAGATGCAAAAATCCTCAACAAAATACCAGTGAACCAAATCCAACAGCATATCAAAAAGATTAGCCACCATGATCAAGTGGGTTTCATACCAGGGATGCAGGGATGGCTTAACATACTTAAGCCAATAAATGTGATACACCACATAAATAGAATTAAAAACAAAAATCACATGATCATCTCAATAGATGCCGAAAAAGCATTTGACAAAATCCAGCACCCTTTATGATTAAAACCTTCAGCAAAATCAGCATAGAAGGAACATAGCCTAAGGTAATAAAAGCCATCTATGACAAACCCACAGCCAACATTATACTGAATGGGGAAAAGTTGAAAGCATTCCCCCTGAGAAATGGGACAAGACAAGGATGCCCACTCTAACCACTTCTGTTCAACATAGTACTGGAATTCCTAGCCAGAACAATCAGACAAGAGAAAGAAGTAAAATGCATCCAATGGTAAAAAGGAAGTCAAACTGTCGCTGTTTGCTGATTACATGATCATATACCTAGAGGACTCATCCAAAAAGCTCCTACAATGGGTAAGCGAATTCAGCAAAGTTTCAGGATACAAAATTAATGTACAGAAATCAGTAGCTCTGCTATACACCAACAGCGACCAGGCTGAGAATCAAATCAAGAACTCAACCTCTTTCACAATAACTGCAAAACAAAAATAAAATAAAATACTTATGAATATACCTAACGAAGGATGTGAAAGACCTCTACAAGAAAAACTACAAAACACTGCTGAAAGAAATCATAGACGACACAAACAAATGAAAACACATCCCATGCTCATGGATGGGTAGAATCAATATTGTGAAAATGATCATACTGCCAAAAGCAATCTACAAATTCAATGCAATTCTCAGCAAAATATCACCATCATTCTTCAGAGAACTAGATTAAACAATTCTAAAATTCAGATGGAACCAAAAAAGAGCGTGCATAGCCAAAGCAAGACTAAGCAAAAAGAAAAAATCTGGAGGCATCACATTACTCAACTTCAAACCATCCTATAAGGCCATAGTCACCAAAACAGCATGGTACTGCTATAAAAATTGGCACATAGACCAATGGAAAAGAATAGAGAATCCAGAAATAAACCCACTTACAGCCAACTGATCTTCAACAAAGCAAACAAAAACATAAATTGGGGGAAAGGACACCCTATTCATCAAATGGTGCAGGGATAATTGGCAAGACACATGTAGAAGAATAGAACTGGAACCTCATCTCTCACCTTATAAAAAATCAACTCAAGATGGATCAGAGACTTAAATCTAAGGCCTGAAACCATAAGGATTCTAGAAGATGATATCAGAAAAACCTGTCTAGACATTGGCTTAGGCAAAGAATTCATGACCAAGAGCCCAAAAGCAAATGTAACAAAAAGATAAATAGATGTGACTTAATTAAACTAAAAAGCTTCTGCACAGCAAAAGAAATAATCAGCAGAGTAAACAGAAAACCCATAGAGTGGGAGAAAATCTTCGCAATCTATACATCTGACAAAGGACTAATATCCAGAATCTACAAGGTACTCAAACAAATTAACAAGAAAAAAACGGACGATCCCATCAAAAAGTGGGCTAAGGACATGAACAGACAATTCTCAAAAGAAGATATACAAGTGGCCATCAAACATATGAAAAAATGCTCAACATCATTAATGATCAGGGAAATGCAAATCAAAATCAAAATGCTATACCAGCTCACTCCTGTAAGAATGGCTATAACAAAAAAATCAAAAAACAATAGATGTTGGCATGGATGCAGTGAAAAGGGAACACTTCTACACTGCTGATGGGAATGTAAACTGGTACAACCACTATGGAAAACAGTATGGAGCTTCCTTAAAGAATTAAAAGCAGATCTACCATTTGATCCAGCAATCTCACCACTAGGTATCTACCCAGAAGAAAATAAGTCATTATACGAAAAAGATGCTTGCACATGCATGTTTATAGCAGCATAATTTGCAATTGCAAAAGCATGGAGTCAGCCCAAATGCCCATCAATCAATGAGTAGGTAAAGAAAATATGATATATATGGTATATGAAAATATTATATATATCTATATCTATATATATATATACACACACACACATACACACACACACCATGGAATACTACTCAGCCATAAAAAGGAACGAAATAATAGCATTCACAGCAACCTGGATGGAATTGGAGACTATTATTCTAAGTGAAGTAACTCAGGAATGAAAAACCAAACATTGTATGTTCTCATTCATATACGGGAGCAAAGCTATGAGGACACAAAGGCATACGAATGATACATTGGACTTTGGGGACTCAGGGAAAGGATGGGGGGTGGCAAGGAATCAAAGACTATACATTGGGTACAGCGTACACTGCTCAGGTGATGGGTGCACCAAAATCTCAGAAATCACCACTAAAGAACGTATTCATGTAACCAAACACCTCCTGTTCCCCAAAAACCAACTGAAATGAAAAAATAAAAATGGAAAAAATAAAGAGAAATGCAGGGACATAAGAGAAGGGATAAGGGCTTAAGACAGATATCATATTTGTAAAACTGTGTTATTTTCTATTGTCTGCTTTGTGCAGGGCTGTGATGATAACACTGCAGTTTTACATCATTTAAATTTTCAACTCAACTCCTTAGACAGAGGCTTCCTCCAAACCATTCAGTGTGCTGTTAAGATTGCACAAAGATTTCCATAGTGACATGGTAACCATTACTTGCCACCCACTGAATACATGTGAACACATGTTAATCCTGAGATAATTTCTTTCTTTTCTTTTTCTCAGCCTGTTGGGTAAGGTTTCACTCCTGGGCCTGGCGGTTACATTGGTCTCATAAGTAGAAATGCAGAAATTGAAGGCAGATGGACATAGAGCTCCCTTTCCTGGTGGGAGAAGTCACTTAAATAATAGGTTGATTGAAAGTTTTTCTTTCCTCTGGTGTCTGTGGAGGCAGAAATAGAAAAGCCAACTTCACATTCCTCTTCTAGCCCAAAAAGACAATAACCAAAGCACTGTGGTCAAAACTAGTGATACATTAAAAGTAATTATTTTTCCAAGTTGGTGACCTCACAGAGAGAGGTTATAATATAGTGTGTAGTTCTCAAAGTTGGTTCTTGGACCGGCACCATCGCCATCACTTGGGAACTGATTAGAAATGCAAGTTCTTGGGCCACATCCTGGATTTACTGAATCAGAAACTCCAGGAGTGGGGTCTGGCAATCTGTGTTTTAGCAAGCTGACAAGGGATTCTGATGCCTGCCTAAATTTGAGAACTAGACTTTTTACTTCAATGAATATGGGTTGGAATGCAGCTCCATCACTTAATACATGTATGATGGTTTTGAACAAGTTACTCCCTCTCCTCACCCCCTTTTTATTTTTTGTATGGCATTTTAAAACTGCACATAGTAAAATTCCAAACCACATTAAATATCTTATTGAAAAATAAAAATTACCTTTCCCCCTGCTACAAGTCCCAGCCCTTCTCCCTAGAGGTAAACACTTTGAACAGATTCCTTTTTAAAAGTGTTTTTCTGGTGTTAAATAGTATTATCTTAAATAATAAGCATGTAATTGCATTCCTTGATTTATTAGCCTGATATGTAGTCTGTTACTGTCCCACTCTGAAAGGTGAGGAATTTGGTTCATACCAGTTGATATCACCTGATTTTGTTAAATTCTTGTTTTTACATAATCTAGATTTACACAATTTTATTTTGTAACTATAATTGTCTTTGGCTTTGTTTTTAGATTAATTTTAAGATATTAAAACAAAATAGCACTTGCAGTATTAGGTTTATGTGACTATTTTTCACTACAGGGAGTTCCTCCTATAGAAATGTCCATGCTACCAAACTTGAGAGGATTTTACAAACATAAATTTCAGTGCTTCTTTCAGGTTATAGTCAATTGCCATTGCTTCTTCTATCTCAAGTTTTCGTGTATAATATTCTTTTTTTTTTTTTGCTAGAATAACTTTTGTAAAGCACTTTTCATACAGATGTATGCAAATTATCTGCGTTTTTGTGTGTCTGAAAATGTATTTTGTTCTTACACTTGTAGTATGGCTAAGCATAAATTATAGGTTCCTAATCAGTTTCCCTCAGTATTTTAAATGCATAATTCCTGTTTCTTAAAGTTATTTTAATTTCTTCTTTATTCTTGGAGTTCTGAAATTATGATAATTCATTTCTCTCACTACTGTTTCTGCCACCCAATTCCTGTCCCAGAGGTAACTGCTACCCCTCTCATATGTATGCTTACAGAGTTATTTTATATACTAGTAAACACACACGTATCTTCTATATTCTTCCCCCCTTTTAATTTTTTTTTTTTTTTACAAATGGTAGTGTGCTTTCTTTTACTTAACATTATGTTTTGATGATTTTTTCAGATCACCACCTAAACGACTTCCACATTATTTTTATAGCTGTATAGTGTTGCTTTGTATGGATGTATCTTTATTTATTTAACCCATGCCTCTTTGAATGTTTTGAGTGTTTCCAATCATTTGTAATCACAAAAAATGCCACAGTAAATAAAGGAGTATAAATATCCGTAGGATAAATTCCCCAAAGTCATGCTGTTGGCTCAGTAGGAATGCAAATTTGTAATTTTGATTAATATTTCCAGGCTACCTCCATGAAAGTTTACCAGTTCATACTCTCAGCAGCAACATTATGAGAGAATGACTTTCTTCTCATCACTCCAATAGACCATGTTATCAAACTTCTCAGTATCACCAATCTGATAGAAGAACTAGTATACATTAGCATAATTTTGCTATACTTTTCTTTCATTATGAGTGAGGCTGAGTCTTTAAAATATGTTTAACAGCCACTTCTATTTCCTTTTCTGTGAACTGTATGTTGATATTCTTTCCTATTTTTCTATTGGTTTCTTTTTTTTTTGGTCTTGTTTTGTAGGAAATTTCTACATTTTAAAGAAATTAGCATTTTACGGTATGAATTGCAGACAGTTTCCCAAGTTGATATTTGTCTTTTGGCTTTGCTTGTGGTGGTTTTTGCTAAGCAGACTTCAAACAAAAAATTAGGTTATAGATTTTCCCAGTATTTTCTCTTATGGCTTCAGGATTTTTAATAATTAGAAAGACCACCCTCTCCCTAAAATTATGAAGGTATTCCATTAATTTTCAGTTTTATTTAATTTTAAAATGAACTTTTTTTTCAAGTTGGAATTTATTTTGGTATAAGATGTGATGTGTCTGTCCAATTTTATTGTTTAGATGGCTACCTCATTGTCTAACTAAAATTAAGAACAGTCCCTCTCTTCCCCATGGTTATAAACTATCACCTTTATCTAAAAGAAATGTTCATATGCAGTTGGTCTACTTCTATTGTGCCCCATTGATCATTTAAATGGTTTTAATCTCTATAACATCTTTTAATGTCCAGTAATGCTAGCTCCTTCTTATTTGTGTCTATTTTCTGAGGTTTATATATACAATTTTGCCTTATTCTTTTCCAGATAAACTTTAGACTCTGCTTGTGAGATGCAAACAAAATTTCTGTTGTTATTCTTAATGAGATCACATTACTTGGGGACACTTGACATTTTTATGATAACCAACCTACTAATCATAGAATATGGTTTGTCTTTCCATTTTTCGAACTTTCTTTTGCACTTTCTACTGACATTTGAAAGTTTTCTATTACAACTTTGTTATGTTTATTTCTAGGTATTTTGCATGTGTGTAAGACTACCTTAAATTGTGGTATTTTTTCATTTATTCTAATTGGTTATGGTTTGTAAATGGGATGACTATTTGTATACATTAATTTTAGACCTAGTCACATGTTTGCATTCTACTATTATTTATAAGTGTTTTTCAGTTGATTCTTTCCTATTTCAGAAATGTATCCAGAAACCAGCTGCAAATGATGGTAATATTAAGCATTTTCCAATTTTTATAGTTTTAATTTAACTTTCTCATCTGTTTTTGTTCTGCCAGTGCTCCAGAGCAATGGTAAATAATTGTAGGAATAGTAGACACTCTGGCTTTGTTTCAGACTTTAATGACAATGTTTCCAGTTCTCCATTATGTGGGATAGATATATTTGACCTTGACTTTTAAAAATTCTTTATTATCATTATTATTATTATACTTTAAGTTTTAGGGTACATGTGCACAATGTGCAGGTTAGTTACATATGTGTACATGTGGCATGCTGGTGTGCTGCACCCATTAATTCGTCATTTAGCATTAGGTATATCTCCTAATGCTATCCCTTCCCCCTCCCCCCACCCCACAACAGTCCCCAGAGTGTGATGTTCCCCTTCCTGTGTCCATGTGTTCTCATTGTTCAATTCCCACCTATGAGTGAGAACATGCAGTGTTTGGTTTTTTGTCCTTGCGATAGTTTACTGAGAATGATGATTTCCAATTTCATCCATGTCCCTACAAAGGACATGAACTCATCATTTTTTTATGGCTGCATAGTATTCCATGGTGTATATGTGCCACATTTTCTTAATCCAGTCTATCATTGCTGGACATTTGGGTTGGTTCCAAGTCTTTGCTATTGTGAATAGTGCCGCAATAAACATACATGTGCATGTGTCTTTATAGCAGCATGATTTAGAGTCCTTTGGGTATATACCCAGTAGTGGGATGGCTGGGTCAAATGGTATTTCTAGTTCTAGATCCCTGAGGAATGGCCACACTGTCTTCCACAATGGTTGAACTAGTTTACAGTGCCACCACCAGTGTAAAAGTGTTCCTATTTCTACACATCCTCTCCAGCACTTGTTGTTTCCTGACTTTTGAATGATTGCCATTCTAACTGGTGTGAGATGGTATCTCATTGTGGTTTTGATTTGCATTTCTCTGATGGCCAGTGATGGTGAGCATTTCTTCGTGTGTTTTTTGGCTGCATAAATGTCTTCTTTTGAGAAGTGTCTGTTCATGTCCTTCGCCCACTTTTTGATGGGGTTGTTTGTTTTTTTCCTGTAAATTTGTTTGAGTTCATTGTAGATTCTGGATATTAGCCCTTTGTCAGATGAGTAGGTTGGGAAAATTTTCTCCCATTCTGTAGGTTGCCTGTTCAGTCTGATGGTAGTTTCTTTTGCGTGCAGAAGCTCTTTAGTTTAATTAGATCTCATTTGTCAATTTTGGCTTTTGTTGCCATTGCTTTTGGTGTTTTAGACATGAAGTCCTTGCCCATGCCTATGTCCTGAATGGTAATGCCTAGGTTTTCTTCTAGGGTTTTTATGGTTTTAGGTCTAACGTTTAAGTCTTTAATCCATCTTGAATTGATTTTTGTATAAGGTGTAAGGAAGGGATCCAGTTTCAGCTTTCTACATATGGCTAGCCAGTTTTCCCAGCACCATTTATTAAATAGGGAATCCTTTCCCCATTTCTTGTTTTTCTCAGGTTTGTCAAAGATCAGATAGCTGTAGATATGCGGCGTTATTTCTGAGGGCTCTGTTCTGTTCCATTGATCTATATCTCTGTTTTGGTACCAGTACCATGCTGTTTTGGTTACTGTAGCCTTGTAGTATAGTTTGAAGTCAGGGAGCGTGATGCCTCCAGCTTTGTTCTTTTGGCTTAGGATTGACTTGGTGATGCGGGCTCTTTTTTGGTTCCATATGAACTTCAAAGTAGTTTTTTCCAATTCTGTGAAGAAAGGCATTGGTAGCTTGATGGGGATGGCATTGAATCTATAAATTACCTTGGGCAGTATGGCCATTTTCACGATATTGATTCTTCCTACCCATGAGCATGGAATGTTCTTCCATTTGTTTGTATCCTCTTTTATTTCCTTGAGCAGTGGTTTGTAGTTCTCCTTGAAGAGGTCCTTCACATCCCTTGTAAGTTGGATTCCTAGGTATTTTATTCTCTTTGAAGCAATTGTGAATGGGAGTTCACTCATGATTTGGCTCTCTGTTTGTCTGTTATTGGTGTATAAGAATGCTTGTGATTTTCGTACATTGATTTTGTATCCTGGGACTTTGCTGAAGTTGCTTACCAGCTTAAGGAGATTTTGGGCTGAGACAATGTGGTTTTCTAGATATACAATCATGTCATCTGCAAACAGGGACAATTTGAGTTCCTCTTTTCCTAATTGAATACCCTTTATTTCCTTCTCCTGCCTGATTGCCCTGGCCAGGACTTCCAACACTATGTTGAATAGGAGTGGTGAGAGAGGGCATCCCTGTCTTGTGCCAGTTTTCAAAGGGAATGCTTCCAGTTTTTGCCCATTCAGTATGATATTGGCTGTGGGTTTGTCATAGATAGCTCTTATTATTTTGAGATACGTCCCATCAATAGCTAATTTATTGAGAGTTTTTAGCATGAAGTGTTGTTGAATTTTGTCAAAGGCCTTTTCTGCATCTATTGAGATAATCATGTGGTTTTTGTCTTTGGTTCTGTTTATATGCTGGATTACATTTATTGATTTGCGTATATTGAACCAGCCTTGCATCCCAGGGATGACGCCCACTTGATCGTGGTGGATAAGCTTTTTGATGTGCTGCTGGAGTCGGTTTGCCAGTATTTTATTGAGGATTTTTGCATCAATGTTCATCAAGGATATTGGTCTAAAATTCTCTTTTTTGGTTGTGCCTCTGCCTGGCTTTGGTATCAGAATGATGCTGTCCTCATAAAATGAGTTAGGGAGGATTCCCTCTTTTTCTATTGATTGGAATAGTTTCAGAAGGAATGGTACCAGTTCCTCCTTGTAGTTCTGGTAGAATTCAGCTGTGAATCCATCTGGTCCTGGACTCTTTTTGGTTGGTAAGCTGTTGATTATTGCCGCAATTTCAGAGCCTGTTATCGGTCTATTCAGAGAGTCAACTTCTTCCTGGTTTAGTCTTGGGAGGGTGTATGTGTCGAGGAATTTATCCATTTCTTAAAATTCTTGATGAAAGTTCTGGAGATGGATGGCGGTGATGGCTGCACAACATGTGAACGTGCTTATGTCACTGAAGTGTACACTTAAAAATGGTTAAAATGGTAAATTTCATATCATGTATATTTTATCACAATAAAAAAGTAGCCAAGAAAAAAATAATTCTTGATGGAGGTTGACTTTCACCAAATGTCTTTTCAGCACCTATACAGAAGACAATATGACATTTTCCTTATTTTTTTTAACAAGAGGCAATATAGCAATGTGGAGAAGTGCACAGGCTCTGAGCTGCCTTGCCTATGTTCAAATCCTAGCTTTGTTACTCTTTAGCTCTCTCACCTTGAGGAGGTCACTTGAGGTTCTTATGCCTCCGTCTCCTTCTCTGTAACTCACAATAATAATAGTGCCTATCTCATAGATCTTCACTGAGGATTAAATGAATTTATATATATATGTATATATATGTGTGCATATATATTATACATATTATGTATATATACAAATATAAATTAAATATATATATATAGAGAGAGAGAGAGAAAGAGAGAGAGAGAGAGAGAGAGTACTTAGAACAAAAACCAGCACATAGGAAGTATTATATGAGTTAATATGATAGATTATTTTAATAGATTTTCCACATCCCAAGTATAAAACCTTCATTGGCAATGGAGAATTGTCCTGCTGAATGTCATATATCTATATTTCATTTAGAATTTTTCATTACTAAATCATATGTGATATTAGTATCTAGTTTTCTTTCTTGTGTAATCTTTGATTGGCTTTGATATCAACATTGGCTTAGTTTATAAAAAGAATATGGGAAGTTTTCTTGCTTTTTTATGCAGTGAGGTGTTTAAATCGTGTTTAAGTTATCTGTTCTTTAGATGTGTTATTCCTCCGTAAAGTCAACTAAGCCTAGTGCTTAGCTGACAACTTCTCAATTTTTTCTACTTAGATTTTCTATAATTCCTGGTGTCAGTTTGGAGTAAATAATATTTTCTTTGAAAATCATTCCTGGGAGGCTGAGGTGGGCGGATCATGAGGTCAGGAGATCGAGACCATCCTGGCTGACACGGTGAAACCCCCTCTCTACTAAAAATGCAAAAAATTAGCTGGGCGGTTGGCAGGCGCCTGTAGTCCCAGCTACTCCGGAGGCTGAGGCGGGAGAATGGCGTGAACCCGGGAGGCGGAGCTTACAGTGAGCCGAGATCGCGCCACTGCACTCCAGCCTGGGCGACAGAGCGAGATTCTGTCTCAAAAAAAAAAAAAAAAAAAAAAAAAAGAATAGAAGGAAAGAAAAAGAAAATCATTCCTGACATCCAGTATTCACGTGTACTTTTGGGCCTTGGTCAGGTGGCCTGGTCTGTGGGGAACTCTCCCTTTGCCAAATGAGGGGAGATTTACTTGGTTAGTGGAGTGATTTATTTATTTTCCTGCTGGAAGGCAATGCCTTGGTTGGGTTTATTTTCTCCACATCTGTTTTGGGAATCTGGATTTCTCTCATACTCTATTTTGCTTTTCTCTTAGACCTCTATACCCAAATCAGGGGCTCAGGACAGACAGGGTGTTCCTTTATTCAGACTTCAGTTCTTAGTGTTGGCTGGTGATATGGTTTGGCTCTGTGTCCCCACCCAAATCTCATCTTGAATTGTAACTCCCACAGTTCCCATGTACCGTGGGAGGGACCCAGTGGGAAGTATTTGAATCATGGAGGCAGTTCTTTCTCATGCTGTTCTCGCAATAGTTAATAAGTCTCATGAGATCTGTTGGTTTTAAAAAGAGAAGTTCCCCTGCACAAACTCTCTCTTTTTGCCTGCTGCCATCCATGTACAATGTGACTTGCTCCTCCTTGCCTTCCACCATGATTGTGAGGCCTCCCCAGCCACGTGGAAATGTAAGTCAATTAAACCTGTTTCTTTTGTAAATTGCCCAGTCTCGGGTATGTCTTTGTCAGCAGTGTGAAAACTGACTAATACTGCTGGCTAGGTGTCAGAAGTCTCTGAGGTCTCTTCCCTGTGTTGTCCACATTCTGGAGGGCACCCAGCCTGGCCTGGCTGTTCTGAATGCAGCACCATCATTGACTAGCTCTGTTCTTACTTCTTGGCCCATGCCTGCTCTTTGTGGGTGCTCCCTCTGTGTTTGAGTTCCTCTGGCTCTCTCTTGTAAAGAGCTACTTCTAGCCCTAGTGTTTTGGGCTATGGCTATCCCTGCTTAGTTTTCTCCCTTTGTCTGTTTCTAACTGATTTAAATTTTCTAGCATTTCCTCAGAGTTTCTGGGCTGCTTTTGGTTTCTTCTCTTGTTTGTATCACAGGTATGCCTTCCTCCTTGAAATACATCCATTTTCCTGTTATCTTCAGGATAACAGGCCATAATAATTATAGCTAACACTTACAATATGCTGCTTATCCTTCTAAGCCTTAGCAGTCTTAGCCTTCCAAGTGCTTGGATAGGCATTAACTAATTTAAACCTCACAAAACCCTGTGAGGGAGAAATTATTGTTATCTCTATTTTATAGATGAATAAACTGATGTAGGGAAAGAGTAAGCAAATAGCTGGGAAATTGTACTATGAACTTGGGCATTTGAGCACCTAAGTCCCTACTTTTAGCCACCATGCTGTACTGTGTCTTACTATCAAAAAGTTACAAGTTTTTGTCCCTTTACTTATACTCATGGGATGTCAGTTTACCTATCTGCAAAATTGGATTAGAAATATCTACCTCCTAGTTCTGTTGCAGGAATCAAATGTTTGGCATAGCGTGATACACTCCATACAATTTAGCCCCTTTTCTTTGATTTGGCTTTGGTTCAGAGTCACTGTAGACTTAGAATTCCTAGGCTCTTTTATCCCCCATGGTAGACCTTTCTCGCTGAAATGTGAATATTCAATCATTTGAACAGCATTTTCATTAATATCATGTGATCACATGTATCATCCCTCCATTTCACCATCCTCGCTGATATCAATGGTATATTTAGCTCCAACCTTCTCACTCTGCCATAATGTGTTTACATATTTCCTTATTTAGTTTTAGCACTTTACATTTCTATGTGTTTTCATTACATTTTATCTTCAATGATTAAATCAATGAAGTAATTTCTTCAAGATATAGCAGCACTCTTTATTAGACTTTCAATGTGCAATGAGAAGAGCACTGAGATCCCTTCTGGTGTTTGAAAACGTGTCCATTTCACTGACAGACCCCTTCCTTGTTGGAGAAAATCACACATGCTGTGTGTCTGTCTCTTTAATTTACACCTAGGGTACTCTAGGAGCTGGGAAGAAGGTCATCTGGATAAACTAAACTGATTAGAGATATTTCCAGTCTTCTGGCTGCTTGCCTATGAAAAAGGTGAGTACCACCCTGCACTTAGACTCTGCAGGACTGTTGAGGAGTAGAAAAGTGAGTACTTACTGCTCTTTTCCAGTCCAGGGCCATTTTGAGACCAGTGCCCCATGCAGTGTTTCTCAATCCTAGTTGCACAACAGTATCACCCAGGAGTTTTAAAAAATCCTGATATTCAGGAACATCAACCTTGAATTCCTGAAATGAATCTCACTTGGGTGTGTATTATTCCTACAATATATGTCTGAAATATTTTTCTACTAATTAAAGATTTTAACATTGAAAAAAATCCTGATATTCAAAGCCAGGTCAATTAAATCTGAATCTCTGAGGCTGGGCTACAGGCATTAGTATTTTATTTTTTTGTAGCTCTCAGGTGATTCAACTGTGCAGTGAAGGTTGAGAAACACTACTCTAACTCCTTTGGTTCTGTCGAATTTAGTATGACATTA
Source organism: Homo sapiens (assembly GCF_000001405.40). Lineage (NCBI taxonomy): Eukaryota > Metazoa > Chordata > Mammalia > Primates > Hominidae > Homo > Homo sapiens. Next base: position 20,709,568 of record NC_000023.11, read on the forward strand.
AGATGCTACAGGAAAGTATTAGCACTGATGACTAATAGGTGGGGGAAAAATCAATTTGCAAATCTGAATATTTTTCAGTACCCACCTGCTAAGGACAGAGGGATAGGAAATGATGTCTCTTCATCATGCCTTCTAGTTGGAGGGCAATCTGGCAGCTTTAAAAATCTTTGTTTTAAATAAGGTCATTCAGAGTGCAAATGAATTAGCAGTAATTTTGGGAAAAATAATCTTTTATTTCAACATGTTATTTTCTGAACTTTTCAACACGTGCTCACTTTATGTTATTTCAGCTGCCTTGACCTTATTTCTTTTTTGGGGTGGCTTTTTCCAGGTGCCTTTTCTTTCATCAGGGAGTGGGAGCCTGCTCACAAATCTGGCCCCAGATGTCTCTTATCCTCCAATACCTGCCTTGGGCTGTGCTTCTAGGTTCAGCTGTGAATACAAGTCTAGCAGACTTCCCAAGTTTTGAGAAAATTCTGTGTATGCCGTGTATCATTCAGTATGAGAGCTCAGGTGCACCCAGGGCCAATGTTTGTGGTCTGTTGTGAAAGGTAATGCCTCTATATCACATATTTTGAGGTAAACCATACTGCTTTTCAGCTGTAATGATTTGCTGTCTAAATATTTCTCAAATCCATCTCTTCCTCCTTATCTCTGAAGCAGGCCTACATGATCTCAAACCTAGATTATTATAAGTCTCCTGAATGATCTTTCTTAAATTGGAGTCATCTAAGATGTTGGCACGGTGGTTGGTCTCAAATGGAAATCAGTGTCTATTGTTCCTCCCATGCTTAAAATTAACCTTCTAACAGATGGCCTCCAATGATGTCCAAGTGTTTTAACATGTTGTTCAAGGCCCTGTGTGATCTCCCTTTGTCTACATCTCTACCTTCATTTCTTCTCACTTCTCACCTTGTACTTCATGCTTGGATCTCAGGGCAATTTACCTCACCTAGCCTTCCCTTTGTCCTTTCTGTCTGCAGTGCCTTTGCCTAACAAACTCCTGCTTTTACAGATTCACTCGAGTGTTACTACCTCTCTCTGGCACTCTCACAGGAGTAACTACTTCTCTGTGTTCCTAAAACACACTGGACATATTTTGACAATGATATTTACCAGATTGTTTTACACTGATTTCTTTGTGGATCTGACTTTCCTCTCTTAGTGAGTTATCTCCTTGAAGCAAGGAATTATGCCTTATTCATTTTATTTCCATAGTGCCTGAAGGTAGCTACTCAAAAAAATCTGTTGACTTAATCACTAGAAGCATGGATATAAATTTTACATTTTCTGTATACAATTAAAATTCTGTGTCTCCTGTTTGAGGCCCCTGGGAAGTCATTTTTCTCAGGTCTTAATAGGAAGAAAAGCTGAGCTACTCCTGTGAGATAAATTTGTCTTTATCTTATTCATAATAACATCATATAGTTGATCATAACCTTCATCAGACTTCAGAGTCTTTTCTCTGCCTAGGTGTAAGCTCCCTGAAGGCAGGAACCATATTCCTCCTGATCACTACCGTATTTCCACCCCTAGCTCAGTGCCTGTTACAGAAAGGATATTTGATACGTATATAGAAATGATAAATTTCATCTGAAATTACAAACCATAGTATACAATAGGGGAGGCCAAGAAAGTGACCATCTTAGGTTGGGTTCCCAAGAAGCAGAGCCTGAGGCAAGGCTTCAGGTAAAAGTGATTTAGTAGAAACTGTTTCTAGGAATAACCACCAAAGCAGGACAAGGAAGGGAAGGTCAAGTAAGTGTATGCTATCAAGTAATATACCACAGGCAAGGTTCTGGAAACAGTGTAGGTACACTTCAGAGTCTTCTATCCAGTGAGCAAGGGAACTGGAGTATATTTGTTCTCTCCACTAGTCAGACATGAGTTAGAAGGCTGTGGACGAAGGATATAAATTCTCAGGCATCTCTGGATTTCCATGCACACAGGCAGAGCAGGTTATGACAGCCGGAGGGCTGCTGGCCAACAAAAGACACACAGGTGCTGGCTGTTGAGAGGAAAAGCACACCCACCAGGAGCAGGTGTGCATGAAAATGGTATGAGCACAGCACTGTGAACACATGCTATAGTGATTATTATCTAAATCTAGACATGGAAATTTCCTCCAGGACTCTGGATTTCTCAGACCGTGCAGAGATCATTCATAGACCACTCCTGAAAAATCAAATGGCCTTGACTCGACCTGAAGCACGAAAAGTAGAAAGGAAGGGACCAAAGTTCAGTGAAAGCATTTTGAATATGGGAAAGTTGTCACATTTCCCTCAGTTATGAAAATCAGGCCCTTCAGTTGGGGGTCATGGGATCACAAGAGTTCCCAAGATGGCTAAGCTCATGTTTTAAAGCAAGGGATTCACCTGTTCTCCCATAGAGTAAAAACCCCTGGCTTGGAGCACGGAGACCATGTGGTATAAATAATCTCTGTTAGGAAGCCATTGAGTATATGAAAATCTAATAACTTTACTCGTTGCAGTCAGTTTTACTTCCTAGGCCATATGAATCACTTGGTCATTATGTTAAAATGCAGATTCTGATTTAGCAGGTCCTGGGAGGAACCTGAGATTCTGTATTTCTACATGCTTCCAGGTGATACTGATATTGCTGGTCCAAGGATCACACTTGGAGTAGCAATGTTCTGAGGCACAGTTAAAAATGAAAATACAACACAACAAAACCCACCACTAAATATGTGACTTGATGTTTAAAAAGAAAGAAAACTGAAAGAGGCTGCCACCACCTCTTTTTTAGCTTTATTCAGTTTTGCAGATAGAGCTGATATTCTTGTTTTCCAGAAGAACTTTAAAAAATATGTTCTCAGGGGACCAGTAATATATGGATTTAAAATCCACTTAGTGCACCATTTGCTAATCTGTCCCCTCCCCAAATGGACAAAGTGAGTTATTAAGGTTATTCTTTTAGCAAATTGTGTTTTACAGCCTCCACGTTACCCATCTGCAAGGCCTCAGAGATGGTAATGATGCAAAAGAAGCCTTGAAGTTTGCCTTCTTCAATGTGGGTAAAGGCTCATGTGGATGAAGCTTATGCGGGTTGGACTTCAGGCTATTTTCATAGGAGCTACTTTGCTTTCTGACTCAGATACCAGAGAATAAATTCTGCATCATGTTGGTGACAACTGTAGGATGTGACTGGGTTGATAGGTGCTCATTATAATGGGTAATTAAGTCTAAAGGCAGGAAAGCTGACCATAAGCCACATATTATTCCTAGTTCCTCTAAATTCTGCCACTCCTAAGCCCACTTGCAGGCTTTTGTCTCTTTTCCATAAACATTGATCACAGTGGGTTGAGCCACAGCTATTGTACATGGAGAGGACAAATATGCCTATTTTTCCCGAGGCTCTTCTCAGAAACAGGCTTATGTAGAGAACAGAAGGGCATTGAAGCCACCTGAAGTGGGGAGAGATAAAGAGAACAGACCATGACTCATAGATTTGAGCAGATAAGCCCAATTATTTGGCTGGGGAGTTTGCTGGATTTTCTGTGCCAACTTGTCCCAGCACTATTGCCATCTAAGGCTGGGAACTATATTTCCCAGAAAATTCTTTCCTGTATAATTCTGGATTAAATTTTTCCAGTGACAGGTATTTTTGTGAAATTTGGAAGGTGGAAATACAAGGTATAACTGTAGAGCTAACATATAGCAGCTTTGTGAAATGCAGTGGGTTTTGCTGATTCGGCAGCTAAAGATCTCTCTACAAGCTCCTATTTTGGTGGCCAGAATAGTGGCTTCCTGGATTTCCTCACTTCCTGCTTCTTGGCCCACTTCAGTGCTTCTGGTGAAGTCCTTAAACCTTCCATTCTCTGGCTACAGCCCCTTCTGTACCTTCACTTCTGCAACTTCTCCCATGTTCATATGAGTCCTGATTTTTATGTTAAACTCCTTATTCTGGTAATAAATGTGGTGCTGCTGTTTTCCTGACTAAACCCACATGGGCACAGGAGTTCTTAAATTTATTGGGTTTCTAGTGGATTAGCAAGCTATTTAAATGTTTTGATGGACTTGGGACAAATGGGGAGAAGAGCACTCACTCACAAGTTTATCAAAACATTTAAATAGCTTTCTAGTCTGCCAGAAATCCAATCAATTTGACAACTCTTGTGCCTATGGAGGTTTAGGGCCAGAAGTGTCACAGATTGCATCCCTGGAGAAGCAGACCCTGAGATGGAGTTTAGTAGGCAGGTTGTTAAAAAGTGCCTGTGGGATCAACACTTGTGGAAGGGAGGGAAAGGAAGCAGATGTGGGTAAAAGAGAAGTTAACTGCAATGCAGGCCAGGGGAAGCTGTGGCAAACTCCATGAGGAGGTCTGGAGGATATAGGGTTCATCATGGTTGTCCCAGTTATGGCCAAGCTTCAATAGTCCAGCACTAATCAGTCATTGGATATAGGCCACTGCAGGAAGGAGCATGAACTTGGGCAAGGGGGCTCTCTTCTTGTGAAGCAGGACATGAAAGGGCTGCCAGCCAAAGGCTGGTATGACAGTGCTCCCAGGAGCTGGGGCAATGAGTGCTTCTTTGAAGGGGAATCTGAACGACACATCTTAGGTTCACCCCAAGAAGTAAGTTAGGCTGAGTTCTAAATCAGTGTTGGAGCTGGAGTTGGGAGTGGGGAAAGGAGAATGACATTTGTGGTAGAGTGAGTAACATGCTTAAAGGCTTGACATTTCAAAAAACAAAGAGTCCCATCTGACTGAAGCATGAGGTGAAAGAGATTTAGGCACATTCCAGAAAGACAAAACATGATTCTTGGAAAATCAGGATCTGGATCCAGATGTTGAGCATGTCTGTGGTCTACTTGTTTCTGGGTCACTGGAGTAAAAGTTAAGTCTTTCTGGAGGCCAACCCAGACCATCAGTCCCACCTTTGTCAACTCCAAGCTTGCTACATCACTTCACATTTCCAAGTTCTCTCAACCATGGAGTGTAGTAGGCACAGGGCCACTATCCTTGGTGAATTCCTCCAAATTCAATGTGTTTCTTCATCTTCCTGATTAGCTGCCTGTCTCTGATCCTGTGCTTCCTAACGAGGACCACCCCAGGATGTGGCTCTTTTGTTGCAGTTCCTCAGTGTTTTCTGGACTTCTTTGTTTCATCGTAAGCAGGCTCCTTTTCTGTCTCTTATAATTTCCTTCAGCTTTTGCTGACAACCACACTTTCTTTTAATTAAAGATATTTTCCCCTGATGCAGTGCAAGAGTTCTCACTGCCTTGCTTGGTCTAAGCCTCTCCTAGTGTCATTTTATCTCACTCATTTCCTTAGACACAAACGTATGTCATGTAGTGGAAAGAATATGTGCTTTGGATTCAGATGGACCTGGATCAGAATCCCAGGAGCCTCACTTTCTACTGATGTGATCTTGGGCAATTTCTTTAACTTCTCTGAGTCTCAGTTTACTTATTTGTAAAATAGGGAGGGATATTACAAATATGGCATAAAACACGATGAGTTAATGTCCCTTTCCCTTTATAACCCAGAGTTTTAGAAACTGACCCTGAACTTGGGCTAGATGAGGAGGGCCTCTCCTTTTCTTGAGAGCTATTGGCCCTGTTGCTTTTGTCTTGCTTGTTTTCCTTCTCTCAATGGCCATCAGCAGAGTGCAGCTCACTTTCTCTGTTGGAGTTCATATTACCAGCTTTCTGACATTAATCTTAGCTGCATCACTCAGTTGTCTTTATTCCCCCGTCCAGTTCTGCTAACAGAATTACTTCAGGCATTTCCTAATCTTTGTGCGTAATCAGTAACTCTAGACATAAGCAGCACTAACTCTCCAAATGAGACATGCACTACCCAAGTAGTACTTCAAGTCTTGTGGAAGGAGAGAGAACATGTTTGTATTCTACAACCAGATAGGCCATGATGGTTCTAATTGGCCCTCCTGAGTGTTCTTGCCAGGTAATGTTCTTCAGAGTACTGCGAAATTACAGTCTAATTGAATTTCCCCTCTGATCCATTTACAGATTTTTATAAATGCAGTCTGGACAGATCAATGTTAATAGCTGCTGGTGCTTTGAAGCTAGACAAGTGGGAAAAACAAACTGGAGCTTTACTTTTCATGGGTATTGTTTAGATTTCCTTGGCACATTTCAGAGGATGCTGAAGCTGCAATTGAATCTTACTTCTTGCTGCTTTTATTAGTCATGGATTTCCAGAGAAACAGAACCAAGAGGCGATTGATTGATTGACTATAAGGAATTGACTCATGTGATTATGGAGACTTGAGAAGTCCCAAGATCTGTAGGTAGCAAGCTGCAGACCCAGGAGAGCCCATAGTGTAAGTTCTAGTCCAAAAGCCAGCAGGCTCAAGACTCAAGAGGAGTTGATTTTTCAGTGTAAGTCCAAAGGCAGGAAATGACCAATGTCCCAGCTGAAGTCACCAGGAGGAGTTTCCTCTTACTCTGACTTTTTGTTCTATTCAGGTCTTCAACTGCTTGAATGAGGCCCACTCGCATTAGGAAGAGCAATCAGCCTTTTTCAGCCTACTGATTCAGACATTAATCTTATCCAAAAGCACCCTCACAGGCATATCCAGAATAATGTTTGACAAAATGTCTGGGTACCCTGTGGCCCAGTCAAGTTGACACAAAATTAATTATCACACTACTTCACTCCCACCCCAGTAGTGGCAATTGCTTATGGAAAGTTTTCTCCCATGAGAGAAAGCCTTTTCTTTAAGTTGCAGGTGAGTTAAAAGTAAGCCTACCTTTAAAATATTCTTTGCTAATTAGAATTGAACCAGCAACATCATTTGCACAATCACTTCTGTTAGCATGGATGACTAATGCTTACCAATAGACAGGCAGCTTTGACTCCCCACCAGTTGTTGTTTTCTTATTTGCATGTCTACTGTGGAGACTGCATACTGGGAGTGATTAGAAGTCAATTGACTAATTCTCATCGGAAATATAACCATCAATGTGTCCTTTGAGATAATCTCTGTTAGGGGACTTTTAGTTGAAATTGGGAGATGTGGTAGATTACATTAATGGCTCCATTCTTCACCTCTTTCTGTATCCATGTCCTTTACTCATACCTTTGCTGTTTCTCCTATTAAAGAGACAGCATCTCTTTCCCTACTCTTTGAATCTCAGCTCAGTCATGTGACTCGTATTGGTCAATAGAATGAGATAGGAATTATGGTGTGCTAGTTCGGAGCTTGAGCCCCCAGAGCTTTCTGTGTTTTTGATAGCTCTTTCATACTTCTGTCATCAATGTGAGAAAAATACACTCAGGACATCTCACTGGTCCCAAGAGGTGGATGAGAGATACATGAAACAGACCTCTCCCCTAAGGTGCTTAGCCTAGTGCATCCTAGAATAGAGTCTCCAGATGACCTGCAGACATATGAGCAGACCAGTCAACCTGCAGATGCATGAGCAAGTCCAGCCAAGGTCAGATGACACATGACCTATCCTTTATTATGTGAGTTGTAATAATAAAGTGAACGTTCTTTCAAGTCACTCAGTTTTGGAGTGGTATGTTATGCAGCAATAGCTAACTGCTACAAGAGTGCTATTTTATACTCTGTGCTTCAGGAGTGGGGATTTCGAGTCAGTGTGCAATGGTCAATTTTTGTTTTATATTGCTTTCCTGGATTAGACACACATTTATCATCTGCATTTTTTTGGTCAATTATGATACTGCTGCTTGATCAACAGCTTTGTTCTCTCTCTCTCTGTTACTGCCTCTTTCTCTTCCTCCTTCCTCTATTTTTATATTTTGAGCACAAACACTAATTTCCTATCCTCCCTTGCAGTCATGTGTTGCCATGTGATGATTTAAAGCCATGGAATATATGTCTCTGTACCAGGCCTGTATTAGTCTGTTCTCATGCTGCTATGAAGAAATACCCGAGACTGGGTACTTTATAAAGGAAAGAGGTTTAATTGACTTACAGTTCTGCATGGCTGAGGAGGCCTCAGGAAACTTACAATCATGGTGGAAGGCACCTCTTCATAGGGCTGCAGGAGAGAGAATGAGTGCCGAGCAAAGGGGGAAGCCCCTCATGAAACCATCAGATCTCATGATAACTCACTCACTATCACGAGAACAGCATGAAGGAAACCTCCCCCATTATTCAATTATCCCCACCTTGGCCAGCCCTTGACATGTGGGGATTATTACATTTCAAGGTGAGATTTGGGTGGGGACACAGAGCCAAATCATATCAAGGTCTGATCATCAAAACCTCCTCTCTCTCTCTCTCTCTCTTCACACTCCCACCCCTTGTCTACTGGCTGGATGTTGATATTCAAGGACCTTAAAAGCCATATGTAAATTTGTCAAGGTCTATGTCATCCTGGTTCCTGAATAACTGCAGGAGTAGTGCCCCCTTCTGCCTAGGAGGAACAATAATATTGGACTGCTGTGTCAATGAGAACTAAATTTTAGGATGTTATACCACTGAAATGTTAAAATTCATTTGTTAGAGAGCTACCTTTACTAATATGCCAGTTAAATAGTTATGCTCAGGAAAACTTGCACTTTTGCTTTTATCTCCCTCTTCCCCACTCCCCTGTTAGTATATTACATATGAATTTTAGATCTTATTCAATATATTGATGTCCAATATGCTGATGGAAAAGGATGGGTATGAAATATTTAGTTTTGAAATCTTGAATCATACCCAGATACTACCCCACGTATGTGCTGGGTACGTACTGAGTCCTAAATATTGTAATATATCAAGAGCTTGTGAGCAGAAGGTAAGTAGAGACCTCAGAGAACAAGCATTTCTGAATTAGGAGGTGATCAGCAAGCTGACCCTAATAATTATGTTTTTCTGGGATTGGCAAAAGGGTGAGGCTAAGGGATTTTGAAACATGACAGTATGAAAACATACAGTTTTGTTCAAGATGTATTCCTTGTGAGTGAGGTTGCTAAAACTCCTGATTTTGATCCCGTGATAAGTACAATAAGCCAATATCAATGCACTTTCCTAAGTTATTGAGCCAGCCCAGATTCTCTTTTCTCTCTACCTCTGCAAGATCTCATTGTACTTCTCAAAGGGGATTCTATTTCCAGTTAAATACAGCCGACTTGACATTCACTGCATTGTCACAAACAGGTGCATTTGGAAGATAAGCCCAGTAGTATTTCATTTTTCTCTCTCTTGTTTGGATGCTGCCCTTCAATGAAAATGGAAAACTTCCTCTGTCTCTGTTAACAAAAGGCCTGTTTTCCTTGCCTTCCCCTCTGCATTAGAAAACACCAGATGTGTGTGAGGCAGTGGGAGGTCCAGTGCAGTTCTAGGATGGCTAGTCATTAGAAAGCAGTGAAAAGGAGTCTGAAAACCCAGCTTCCCAAATAATCCCAAACAAAACCTTTGTTTTCTTAACTACAAAGCTAATTTCTTACCAAATATAGTAGCAGCTATTTCCAATTAGAACTACAAACTAGAATATGTTGGAGATAGTATAGTGGGTATCTTGTCCATTTTCTGTTGCTGTAACAGAATACCACAGACCGAATAATCTATAAAGAAAAGCTTATTTGGCTCACAGTTCTGGAAGCTCACTTTTATAACAAAGCCACTCCCTCAACAAATCACCCACTCCCTCAATAAAGACATTAATCCATTCACGAGGGTGGAGCCCCCATGACCTAATTACCTCTTAAAGGCCCCACCCTCTCATCACTGCTGCTTTGGGCATTAAGTTTCCAACACTTTGAAACTTTGAACTTAGGGAGATATATTCAAACCATAACAAGGGCTCACCATGATTTTTTAATTATAGTAACTGTACTCCACTGGAAATGAAAGGATGCATTTTGCTATGTGAATTAGGGATATTGTAAATAATCTTTTCATATCACTGAAAAAATTCATACTCTTTTCTACTAGAATATGTGTATGCATCTATCTCTTCATACAGTGTTCTTTTTATAATAACACAAGTCATATTGGATTAGGGGCCTGTCCTACTTTAGTATGACTCATCTTAACTAATTATATCTGCAACAACCCTACTTCCAAATCAGATCACATTCTGAGGTGCCGGGTTTTAAAACTTCAACATATGCATTTTTGGGGAAGGGGGGGATCACAATTCAACCTATAGTAGATAGTATCTATCTCAGTAGGCTGTGAAGATTAAATAAAATGATGTCTAAAAAATGTTATCATGGGACTTCCGTGGAGTAGTGCCATGGTTCAGAAATGTTCACTCTTATTATTATTATTATTATTGAGAGTTTGCATTTTGTTGACTGGAAATGGCAGAAAATACCAAATTTTAGTCATTTTAAGAAAAGTAAGCTGGTTGGCCTCTATCTCCTCAATCTTAACTTTCCATTCTTTCTGCTGCTCCAGGTCAGTGAGAATAGTCAGAGATGGCTGGGGACAGTCCCATCCAGGGCATCACAGTGGGAAGCTCCAGACATTCAAAAGGCTGCACTTCCATTGATTATTTCTTTGAAGGAGGTATATATGACATGACCATTTGAGATGAAATCCACTTCAGACTTGGTGAATTGATTTCTATTTGGCTCCCATTGTACGTGACTTTGAGCAAATTAACCAACCACTAAAAGTCCTTCTAGGAAATCATAATGCTGGAAAGGAACTTAAACAATAAATTTTATTTTAACAAGTTTATTCAGGTTCACAGTCACAGCCACTCCAGACACATGAGAATCAATTTCATTTCAAGGGAAGTCTAGGGAAGGAGATTTTGTACCCTCTCTCGTTGTCAGCAAATGTTAAATTTAATCTAAAACCCTCAACTTTGGTTTAAACACAAGTTTTGTTCGTTTGTTCCCAGTTTACAAACAGAATAACTGGTCACTGTAAATTGTATTAGTCCTCTAGGTACACGAGTTGTTTCTTCTGTTTTGGGGGTCTCCTCTCTTTATACTACTGGCCATCTATTCACTCAGTTGGTATATATATATATATGTATGTATGAGTTGCACACATCTTCATTTCCAGGCTTCCTTCCTTCCACTCTCCATCCCCTCCCTCTTCCCTTCCCTTTCCTTCCCTTCCCTCCTCTCCTCTCCTCTTTTCTTTCTTTCTCTTTCTTTCTTTCTTTCCTTCTTTCTTTTTCTTTCTCTTTCTCTCTTTCCCTTCCTCCCTCCCTCCCTTCCTTCCTTCCTTCCTTCCTTCCTTCCTCCCTTCCTTCCTTCCTTCCTTCCTTCCTCTCTCTCTCTTTCTTTTATTAGAGATGGGGTCTTTCTCTGTTGCCCAGGCTGGAGTGCAGTGGCATAATTATGGCTCACAGCAACCTCGAACTCCTGGGCTCAAGCAATCCTCCTGTCTCTGCCTCCTGAGTAGTGGGATTACAGGCACACACCACCATGCCTGGCTTTTGCTTTTAGTATTATTTTCCTCTCCTGACCATAGGCAATTTTTATTTTAACATTCTACCAACATGTTAATCTAAAAACTGAGCTTGGATGACTCATATGCAGTTTTTCTCCCTTCTCAGATTCATAAGACTAGAGTGATGGCTTTTTCTCGTTTCCCTTGTGCTTATATTGATATCCAGGTACTAAAGATTCTTCCATTTTCCCCTTTTTCCATTTCCTCACCAACTCTGTAGTCAGTGCTGAAGTCCAGAGGTTGTTTGCACTCAGGAGATAGCTCCTGGCTGTCTCCAAGCTTCCCATTTCCCTACCACATTTCCCATAGCAGGAGAAAAAGTATACGTTCTTCTGGAATCCTGGCTCCTATTATTATGAACCTGCTATATTTCTGAATTGCCACACAGAAGTAAGACTTTAAAAGGCAAGATTACTCAACTTCTCCACACCAACAAAATAAACTGGCTCAATCTTTGAGTTCAATAATTAACCAAATATTTATTGATCACCTCTGTTGTTCTAGGCTTTGTTCTAAGTGCTAAGGAGCAGCTTGATGATGAAGAGCTACTGTCCTAGTTCCCATGTACTCATTTGTTCCACCATTAGAGCCTATGCAAATGCCATTGCCTACACCAGAAATGACCTTCCTCCTTCCTCCTCCCTCCTCCTCCTACCTGAGAGATTATGTCACTCATCCCCCAAATTAATTTTCTTCCTGAAGTTTTTCATGAACTGGCTGTGTGGCTTACTTTATTCCAGCCATAGCTGGCCCCTATTTTTTTTTTTTTGAGATGGACTCTTGCTCTGTCTCCCAGGCTGGAGTGCAGTGGCGCGATCTCGGCTCACTGCAACCTCCGCCTCCCGGGTTCAAGCGATTCTCCTACCTCAGCATCCTGAGTAGCTGGGATTACAGGCGCACGTGCCACCACACCAAGCTAATTTTTGTATTTTTATTAGAGATGGGGTTTCACCATGTTGGCCAGGCTGGTCTTGAACTCCTGACCTCAGGTGATCTGCCCACCTCGGCTCCCAAAGTGCTGGGATTACAGGCGTGAGCCACTGCATCCAGCCAAGCTGGCCCCTATTCTTAAAATGTCTGTGTAGCCATTCTTAGTAATATGTATGTGTTGTGAATACACATGGCTTCAGTTATGGTTAGCCCTCTGTATCCATTGGTTCTGCATCTGTGGATTCAACAAAATTCTGGTCAAAAATACTTGAAATCAAACCAATGAAAAATAATAATAAAGAAAATGTGCAGAGGTGCAAGGAGGAACTGGTACCATTCCTTCTGAAACTATTCCAATCAATAGAAAAAGAGGGAATCCTCCCTAACTCATTTTATGAGGCCAGCATCATTCTGATACCAAAGCCAGGCAGAGACACAACACAAAAAGAGAATTTTAGACCAATATCCTTGATGAATATTGATGCAAAAATCCTCAATAAAATACTGGCAAACTGAATCCAGCAGCACATCAAAAAGCTTATCCACCATGATCAAGTGGGCTTCATCCCTGGGATGCAAGGCTGGTTCAATATACACAAATCAATAAATGTAATCCAGCATATAAACAGAGCCAAAGACAAAAACCACATGATTATCTCAATAGATGCAGAAAAGGCCTTTGACAAAATTCAACAACATTTCATGCTAAAAACTCTCAATAAATTAGGTATTGATGGGACATATTTCAATATAATAAGAGCTATCTATGACAAACCCACAGCCAATATCATACTGAATGGGCAAAAAACTAGAAGCATTCCCTTTGAAAACTGGCACAAGACAGGGATGCCCTCTCTCACCACTCCTATTCAACATAGTGTTGGAAGTTCTGGCCAGGGCAATCAGGCAGGAGAAGGAAATAAAGGGTATTCAATTAGGAAAAGAGGAACTCAAATTGTCCCTGTTTGCAGATGACATGATTGTATATCTAGAAAACCCCATTGTCTCAGCCCAAAATCTCCTTAAGCTGATAAGCAACTTCAGCAAAGTCTCAGGATACAAAATCAATGTACAAAAATCACAAGCATTCCTATAAACCAACAACGGACAAACAGAGAGCCAAATCATGAGTGAACTCCCATTCACAATTGCTTCAAAGAGAATAAAATACCTAGCAATCCAACTTACAAGGGATGTGAAGGACCTCTTCAAGGAGAACTACAAACCACTGCTCAAGGAAATAAAAGAGGATGCAAACAAATGGAAGAACATTCCATGCTCATGGGTAGGAAGAATCAATATCGTGAAAATGGCCATACTGCCCAAGGTAATTTACAGATTCAATGCCATCCCCATCAAGCTACCAATGCCTTTCTTCACAGAATTGGAAAAAACTACTTTAAAGTTCATACGGAACCAAAAAAGAGCCCGCATCGCCAAGTCAATCCGAAGCCAAAAGAACAAAGCTGGAGGCATCACACTACCTGACTTCAAACTATACTACAAGGCTACAGTAACCAAAACAGCATGGTACTGGTACCAAAACAGAGATATAGATCAATGGAACAGAACAGAGCCCTCAGAAATAATGCCGCATATCTAGAACTATCTGATCTTTGACAAACCTGAGAAAAACAAGCAATGGGGAAAGGATTCCCTATTTAATAAATGGTGCTGGGAAAACTGGCTAGCCATATGTAGAAAGCTGAAACTGGATCCCTTCCTTACACCTTATACAAAAATCAATTCAAGATGGATTAAAGACTTAAACGTTAGACCTAAAACCATAAAAACCCTAGAAGAAAACCTAGGCATTACCACTCAGGACATAGGCATGGGCAAGGACTTCATGTCTAAAACACCAAAAGCAATGGCAACAAAAGACAAAGTTGACAAATGGGATCCAATTAAACTAAAGAGCTTCTGCACAGCAAAAGAAACTACCATCAGAGTGAACAGGCAACCTATAAAATGGGAGAAAATTGTCGCAACCTACTCATCTGACAAAGGGCTAATATCCAGAATCTACAATGAACTCAAACAAATTTACAAGAAAAAAACAAACAACCCCATCAAAAAGTGGGCGAAGGACATGAACAGACACTTCTCAAAAGAAGACATTTATGCAGCCAAAAAACACACGAAAAAATGCTCACCATCACTGGCCATCAGAGAAATGCAAATCAAAACCACAATGAGATACCATCTCACACCAGTTAGAATGGCAATCATTCAAAAGTCAGGAAACAACAGGTGCTGGAGAGGATGTGGAGAAATAGGAACACTTTTACACTGTTGGTGGGACTGTAAACTAGTTCAACCATTGTGGAAGTCAGTGTGGCGATTCCTCAGGGATCTAGAACTAGAAATACCATTTGACCCAGCCATCCCATTACTGGGTATATGCCCAAAGGACTCTAAATCATGCTGCTATAAAGACACATGCACACGTATGTTTATTGCGGCATTATTCACAATAGCAAAGACTTGGAACCAACCCAAATGTCCAACAATGATAGACTGGATTAAGAAAATGTGGCACATATACACCATGGAATACTATGCAGCCATAAAAAATGATGAGTTCATGTCCTTTGTAGGGACATGGATGAAATTGGAAACCATCATTCTCAGTAAACTATCGCAAGAACAAAAAACCAAACACCACATATTCTCACTCATAGGTGGGAATTGAACAATGAGATCACATGAACACAGGAAGGGGAACATCACACTCTGGGGCCTGTTGTGGGGTGGGGGGAGGGGGGAGGGATAGCATTGGGAGATATACCTAATGCTAGATGACGAGTTAGTGGGTGCAGCACACCAGCATGGCACATGTATATGTATGTAACTAACCTGCACAATGTGCACATGAACCCTAAAACTTAAAGTATAATAATAATAAAATAAACAAATAAAAAAAAGAAAAAAAAAGAAAATGTGGTACATGTATGCCATGGCATACTACACAGCCATAATAAAGAACAAACTCATATCCTTTGCAACAACATGAATGCAGCTGGAAGCCATTATCTGAAGTGAGTTAAAGCCAGAAAAGGAAACAAAATGCTGCATCTTCTCACTTGTATGTGGCAGCTAAATATTGGGTATTCGTGGATATGAAGATGGCAACAATAGACACTGGAGGCTGATAGAATGGGGAGGGAGGGAGGTTAAGTGCTGAAAACCTACCTTTTGGGTACTATTCTCAGTACTGGGGTGATAGGATCATTCATATCTCAAACCTCAGCATCACGCAATATACCCACATTACAAAGCTGCACATGTGCCCCCTGAATCTAACATAAACGTTGAAAAAAGAAAGAAAAATAATAATACAGCAATAAAAAATAATACGAATGAAAAACAATACAGTATAACAACTACTTACATGGCATTTATAATGTATTAGATATTACAAGTCATCTAGAGGTGATTTAGAGGATACAGGGGGATGTGAGCAGGCTATATGCAAATAAGACACCATTTTAGATTATGGACTTGAGCATCTGAGGATTTTGGTTATCTGCAGGGGTCCTGGAAAGCCATCCCCCATGGATAGCAAAGGACAACTGTATTTGTCTGTTCTCCTCGACTACGAGTTCAACTGTTAGGAGGGAGGACAGTTGCCTAATATGTCATAATAATAATGAACCCTTCACCTTTTTGAGATTGAATTGTCTGACTATATCTGTCAGGTCTAGTTGGGAGGCAGAAATCACATTAGCTGTTTTAACAGAGAGAACTTGATATAATAAATTGTTAGTCTGGTATTGGAGATCCAGAAAGGCAAAATGGGGACACAGGTATTTCAGAGGTTGTAACTGCTGCAAGTTGCTCTACCCCTAGGACTGGGGAACACGGGAAAGAAGTTGAAATGGTTAAAAGTTAATAACTTGGAAGAGGAGATGCTGCTCAGCTGGTGTTGATATCTCCAAGGGAGCAAATGTCACTTCCAGGGTGAAGAATCCTTGCTGGGGTGACACTGACAGAAACAGTAAGCAAATGTGGATGAGCAAGTCCCTTCTCCTCCTTCTATCCTCACAGCCTTCCTAGTGTGCTCCTGTTGGCAAAGTATAACAGGGAGCATCTGACCAAGCAGAAATGTACCAAGTACTAGCCCTTGATACCTCTGAGAGCAGAACTAAGCAGGGCAGGTTTGGAGGCAAGAGAGAAGAGTTTTATAATCAAAAGGCTTACTTGGGGGGCAATGGGTCACAGAAATCTAAAATTTTCAGACACTTAAACTGAATCCCACGCCTACCTCTGACCTTAATGCATTTTCTGTGCATTTTACTTGTCCAAAGAAATCCATTATGCTTGCAGTTTTTAGAGAATGAGTAATGTTTAAAATCAGCGCCCAGTAGGAAACTTTCAGAATTTGTTAATGGAGTTTTCATGTGTTCTCCTAAGCAGAGGTAGTTGGGGGTGTCCCACAAAGCTTAACCTTACCTGCTACACTGCACTACATGAAAACCATGTCCTGGGTGAGCCTGGGAGAGTCTGGTATCACCTCGCTTCGGTGAGCCTGGGATCGGGCATCTCAAGCTGAGCAACAAAAAGAAAATGTGTGCTTTTCTGCTGAGCCAAAGTGGCTGTTGGAGAATTTCACTGAGACTTCATTTGTTGGAAGTCTTTTTCATCTTTATGTTGTGTGTTAAGGGAAGGTGATGATTGTTTATTCTTTGTAATTTCTTCCATTTCTGGTTATGCTCTGTTCAGAAGACTGCAGTTTTCAATTACATAGGTAGGAGGTCTTTAGAATACTTTTAGAAAGACTTTTCTTAGTACAAAAGGGATACATGCTCATTGAAGGTAATTTATTAAACAGTGAAGCAAAAAGAAAAGCATAAAAATCACCTGTAGTTCCGCTTCCCAGAGATAATTACTGTTGATATTACAAATGTTGTGTTACATATCATTACGTATGTATATTATATATGTATGTGTGTTTTTATACACACACTTTAAAATACATACTTAAGAGTAGCATATATATTATTAAAAGGGGACAATTCTTCACTGCCTGTCTTAGTCTGTTTTCTGTTGCTTATAATAGAATCCCCGAAACCAGGTAAATTGTAAAGAAGAGGAATTTGTTTCTTACAGTTTTGAAGGCTGAGAAATCCAAGGTCAAAGGGCCACGTCTGGTGAGAGCCTTCTTGCTGGTAGGGACTCTTCAGAGGCTGGAAGCGGTATGGGACATCACATGGTGAGTAGGTGAGTGTGCTGGCTTAAATCTTTCCTCTTATAAAAAAATATCAGTCCCGATTCCATGAGAACCCATTAATCCCATTAACAAATTAAGAGCCCTTATGACCCAATCACCTCTTAAAGGTCCCACCTCTAAATGCTGCCACATTGGGAATTAAATCTCAACATGAGTTTTGGAGAGGACGAATATTCAAATGATAGCATTACCTATTTGGTAATCTTTCATTTAACAAGCAAGTTGCTCCTGTACTAAAATTTCTAAATTGTTGTCTGTAGTAAGCATTATGCCTGTTCAGTCCTCTCAGTTACATCCTGCTGGCTACAACACGGGAATAATCACACACACTCGTCTTATGTATCCCTTAGTTACTTAAAAATATTTGCTTCAGTAATTGTCTACACATCTCAACCATGATCTGGTATCCTGGAGAATAAAGAAATATGTAGATGGCTGAGAATTTTCAAAAGCATTAAGGCATCACAACTTAGATTGGTCTTAAGTCCTCTCTTATTGGTTAAGATTTTACTCACTTCTAGTCTTCATGAGGATTTCTCTATTTGAGGCTACACTGAGCATAAGCAAACAGTGAATCAGCAGGTACAAACAAGTTTTGATAACCTATCTTCCTCATAAAAGGCCTGCCCTACTGTTTCTATTCATTGTAGTTTTTTATGCACAGAATTTTGCTCCTAGTGTCTCCCTTAGCTACATAGCTCAAACGCTGAAAGTAATCATTATAAAGAGGAAAAGAAAGCAGGTCAAATTAATTTAAATAGCATAATTTATTTAACCCAATATATCCAAATATTATCATTTCAAAATGTGATAAAAATGAAACATATATTATTGAAATATTTACATTCTTTTTTTAGTATTGAGTCTTTGAAAACTGTTTTTTCTTTTAAAAAAACTTACAGCATATCTCTTTTTGTGCGCTAAATTTTCACTGAGAATACTTGATCTGAATCTAGATTTCATAAAATTTTCAGTTGAAAAAGTTGGTTCACATACTCAAGGGCTTTCAAACATACTTAAAAGTTTTCCAATAACTAAATCAGGTACTGAAAATCATCTTCCTTTAATATTTGCATCCACATTGACAAAATGATTTATTGTTTTGAGGAGAATTGTTTTGACTTTGAATAAAAAGGGTATCAGTTTGAAAACTACATCTGTCTAAATTAAGTATATTCCCTAAGTCTTCTTTCACCTCAGTATGATTAATAAGTTCAAAGGGGTATTGCATAAATTGAAAAACAGCTCTTATCAAATAGAAAAGAATTCTTCAAATTTTTCCAGTCGTTCTGTTTTGCAACCAACTTACCAATTACAATTTAAATCCTCTGCATATGCTTTCCACATCAGAAAAATGTGAAAAATCATTATTAGTGATTTCTATTATGAAAAGATTCGATTTCAACCTAAATTCTTATACCTGTCTAGCTTACAAATAAGCTTTTCTTTTTCTTGGAACTTCAAGTTGAGCTCATTCCTCAACATCATTAGCCATCAGGGAAATGCAAATCAAAACTACCATGAAATACCACTTCCCACCCACTAGGATGGCTATGTTAAAAAAGACAGATAGTAACAGTGTTGGCAAGGATGTGGAGAAATTGGAACTCTCATACACTGCTGGCAAGAATGTAAAATGGTGTAGCCACTTTGGAAAAGAGTTTTACAATACTTCACAAAGTTAAACATAGAGTTACCATATATGACCCAGCAATTACACTCCTAAAATCTAGAAGAGAAATGAAAACATGTCTACACAAAAACTTGTACATGGATGTTCATAGCAGCATTATTTATAACAGACCCAAAGTGGAAACAACACGAATGTCATCAACTGATGAATCCATAAATAAAATGTGGTGTATCCATATAATAGAATATTATTCAGCAATAAAAAGAAAGGAAATACTGATATATGCTACAACATGATGAACCTTGAAAGCATTAAAATAATTGAAAGAAAGCTGTAACAAAGGACCACATATTGTATGATTCCATTTATATGAAATGTCCAGGATAGGAAAATCTGTAAGGATAGAACATAACTTGGTGACTGCCAGGAGCTAGGTGGAGTGGAAAGCTGGGGAGAAATAGGGAGTGACTGCTAATGGGTGTGGAATAGTTCTGGGGGATAATGAAGTGTTCTAAAATTAGTTTGTGGGGGATGGCTATACGATTCTGTGAATATGTTAAAAACCCATTGAAGTATACCCTTTAAATGGGTGAATTGTATGGTATGTGAATTATATCTCAATAAAGCTGATGTGAACAGTTTAGTTTATTCATGTGCAATGTGATATCAGTGAAAAAATGTAAATCCCACTGCCATTTTTGTCTTTGATTATTGAATATTTGGCATGTATTCCTTTTCCTCTAAGAATATCTTAAATTTGATTTAAAGGTACTTTACAATAAATCTTTGCAAAGCTCGTTCACAACTTAGCCAATAAGCATTGGCAAAGAACAGAAGATCATTGTCTTCTATTTCTGTCAACAGTTCCATAAACTGGCAATGATTCATAGCATTTGCATGTGTACAGAACAATTTTAATAACTGTATCCATGACACTTTTCCTAGGTTTGCTTCAGAAAACTCAGCACAAATGTTTTAAGTATGTATCATACAGTGGAACAAAGCCATAAGGGAAACATCAGTCTTTAGTTTAAAAATTTAATAAAACCATATTTTTGAAACTAACATAGCTGGAGCATCATCTGTTATGATAGAAACTAATGCTTTTCATATCTCATTGAAATTCTTCTTTGACAGATGTAACATTAAAAAAATCTACATCATAAATTTGATTTTTAAGCTACTAATCGACATCATTTTTTTTGGGGGGGGGGGTAAATTTGTGAGTCTTTTGAGACAAAATGTACCCAAAACATTACTTAGGCAGTATCACTTACATCACCTGACTAATCTAAAGCTTTGGAAAGTACATAAAGTTTTTCAAAGTTTGAATCAATTCCTCCTTAAAATTGTTAGAAAGGCCTTAGTACTCCACGGGCAATTGTTCGGTAGCATAATTGACAAGCTTCTGCACTTTATAAAATATCATTTTTTGTCTTATTCTTCTAATTTTCTAACACAATTTCCACAACTCAAATATTAGATATCTTATTAGTTTTCTATTTTAAAATGGTTTTCTTTTGTTGTAAGGATTCAAACCATTATATATCTGGCCAAAGTTAGAAGTCAATTGAAAGTTGTTGTTGGTCATTTCTTTCTGATTTCAGGTGGCCAATTTCATTGATTCTTTTTTGACTATTGATAGAAATTTCTAATCAAATTCCCTATGTATTTGCTGAAGATGTGTTTTAGTGTTGTCCACTTCATTACCTTTTCAATTTTTTACACAATTATTTCATTTTACTCTGTGGCAGCAGGTTGCAATTCCCATTAATTTGTGACGTACCTTCTTTCAATTTGTTTCTTTCCTGTTCCTATCATAGTATCAGTTTCTGCCTCTTCTCTCAATGTTGTATCAGTTGTATGTCTTCACTTTAAACTTAAAAATTTGTCTATACTTTTTTTGGAGACTAGAAAAGTAATTAAATTGTATTATCATTAAGATAAACATTTCAATTTTAATACAAATTATGATTTACATAGATATTATTGTAACTCATGCTGTCTATATAAAATATTCAAGTAAGCATCACAATGACACATTGGTACATTCAAACTGAATCAATCCATTGACACTGATTACATTGGTGAGGTAATAATGTGTAATACTCTCTAGAAATGAGACACACGCCCACCATGTGCACTAAAAGACAATGATAATAGCTTATGTGATGCAATGGTTAATGTGAAATGTAGTCCTTTGCCTTTTCTACTTCATTGCTGGCACTATCATTATTATCATCTTTACTTAGAAAATTATTGCTTCATTATTTAGCCCTCAGCCTTGGTGTGACTTCCTCAAGGAAGATTTCTCTGCTTCTTCCACTAGGCTGCACCAGTCAAACTGTTTAAATATTACAAGAGTAGCAAGGTGCCAGCTTGAGTTTCAGAAGCTTGAAAGAGAGAAGCCTGATTATGACTTCCCAGGTGGTGTGGAGTTCCTCTTGACCCAGATAACTTGAAGGAAGAAGAAATTAGGCCCAATACGTGTAGCTCAATAAGTAATAGCTTAGGTATTCCAAGGACATGGGCATTTTGAGTATAGCATGGTGTTTGCCATTCAGATTTGTCCCTTGCATGAGTATAAGCCCCATAGAGAGCAGAGCATTTGGATGGCAAGTAAAACTGGAATCCTTAAATATCCATAGAACATTGAAGAAGCCAAGATCTTACCTAACAGAATGTTATCCACAAGGGATATACTACTGAGCAGCTCCCACGAAAACTCCAGTACATTGGTCCAGGACACAGTGGTTCTTGGTCAGAGTGCATATCTTCCTGAGTAAGTGTGAGATATCCATGGCGACTTCCAGAGAGCTCCAAGACATATTTTAAAGGAGTCCAAGGTTTTCAATGAGTATGTAGGAGTAAGATCCAGTGGAATCTGCACCACTGTTAATGTGCCTCCCTTTAAACCCTCGCTTCATCCTTTAATAACAGATTTTCAATGTGTGTGTCTGATCAGATGTGTGGATCCTAAGCTCTGTCTATTTATGTCTATTTTCCCTTCTTGACTTTTTAACCCCTGATGAATAGGGATTTTTAAAAATTAATCTTGGTATCCTCAGTGTCTGTCAAACGATGTGTCAGGATCACAGGAGATGAACAATAAATAGTTGTTAACTGAATGAATTAATGAATGAATGAACACGTTTTAATTGGAGCCATTTGAGGCAATGTCCAGTCTTATTGTTTGATCCAGAGAAGCTACTATAATCATGGACATTTCAAGCTATGCAGGAAGGGAGATTATCGATATGACAGACCAAGAGAGGGATATATTTTTCCACAGGATTGATTTGTCTAGATCTGTAAGTTTTCTACCTACACAAAAAAGTCATCCCTGATTCTTAATGATGGAAGGGAAGAAAGACCTTGTGTATATTGCCTGCACTAAGGCTTCGCTATCTGCACCAAATATATTTTGTTTGAGAAAGAGAGGACTCTATCTGCATTTCATTTTTGTAAAACCCCTTTCTCCTAGTATACAATGGCTTTGTAAAAGACCAAAAACAATATAAATGAAAGTCTTATTTTTAATTTTGTAAATGCCACAACAAAGGACAGCCATAATGCCTGTGCACTTTCTTACCCTACCTATGGATGTCTTTGAATCACAACTGTAAGGTTGCCTCAGCAATGATCTCAATTCCAAACAGACTCCATCTTTGTGCTTTGCACTGAGGTTGGAAGAAAGCCACATTCACAGGGATGAGTTTGATGATAGAATTGAAAAAGGTATTTTCCACATGATACCAGCCTGGTTCTACCAATTTGAATTCCCAGGTCTCAACAACTGCCAGGTAGTAACAGCTGTAGCTTTCTCTTGACAATAAAAATGGAGGATTTCTGCAAAACTGCTATGGATTATGAAGCAGCCTCATTTTCCACTGCTTCAGTAATTGAGGGCTTCCAAATTCTCTGTGGGTGTTAGAGCTTCTGTTTTCTAATGGTAGAGAAGGGAATGTTTTGTTTTGTCAGAATTAGCTTTTGTGGGGGCTTTCAAATACTTAGCTCTGAACAGGTTAGGAAGACAAAACTCCTCATTTTGCTGGGATTAGGTTACCGGTTCCTTGGTAATTCCTAGTTGGCCTATTTCTTTTGGATGACTTTGTTCTGCCAGAACATCACCTGTCTTAACTAAGCATAGTTAACATTTTAAAAATCATTTTATATCTCATTCATTAATTCATCCACTAGCTAGTTATTAATACTACTCTGTGCAAAGTACTGCAGGATCTCAAGATGTGTTAGAAACTGTCCCTACTCTGTAGTACTCTGAAATTCATTGAGCCATAAGAACATAGGCACAATAAGTATTCCAGAAAAATGAATGAGAAATACCTGCAAGGAAGTGTTATAAAAATGCCAGGAGGGAGGAATAATTCCTAGTTAAGAAAGCAGGGAAACTTTGTGTAAAATGTGGTATTTAAAAGGTGGAGGGGCCAGGCATGGAGCCTCTTGTTCATAATCCCAGCACTTTGGGAGGCTGAGGTGGGAGGATTGCTTAAGCCCAGGAGTTTAAGGCTGCAGTGAGCTGCGATTGCACCACTAAATTCCAGCCTAGGCAACAGAGCTAGACCCTGTCTCTAAAAAATAAAAATAAAATAAAAGGTCAAGGAATTTCACTTGGGTAGAATGGCATGAGAGGTGAGACTGGCAGTAAACCATGCAGGGAAGAATATGTAATGACTGGTTTGACTGATGTATAGATCCAGTGCTATGCTGGAGCTAGCTGGTACTGGGTGTGAGAGCCCATGGTGTGCATCTCTTCTCAACTTTGTGTTCAGTGATGTCATGCTGATAGCTCAAAATCAACCACGGTGGCGGGAATTTTTACACCACGGAAATTAGCAAATGCCACAAATCAGGGTTTTGCTCTTGTTTTTTGAAATCTGGTTTAAAAGCACACCACTGGATATATTGCATTATTATTCGTATAAACTCCCTGAATCTCGAACCCTTGCCTTGAGAGTTTAACGTTTCTGCCACTAGAGGCAGAAGATATTTCACTGCCCCATTGATTTTGGGTTTGGCCAGGTGATAGTTGCTTTGACCAAAAGGATGTCAGCAGATGTGATGTGAGCAAATGCTTGAAATGTACTTGCTTAGTTAGGCTTGTGCTTTGTCACTCTTTCCTTTCACCATGAGGAGGATATTTTATGGGCAACTTTCTATTTCCAGAAAAATGACAGATGCATGAAGCAGAGGTAAACTGAACTGATAGCAGAGCACCAAGCCCAGCAGAACCCATCCAAGATCAGCAGAGCCCAGAACACATGTAGATATGTGAGCCAGAAGTAAATGCTTATGTTTGCATGCAACTGAGATTTTGTAGTTGTTGTTTATGTAACAATAGCTAATGAATTGGATTAGGCTCCTATTTCTGCTATAATGAATTACCACAAACTTAGTGGCTTAAAACAACACAAGTTTATTCTCTTATAGTTTTGGAGATCAGAAGTTTTAGATGAATCTTATAGAAGTAAAATAAAGATGTTAGTAGGTCTGACTCCTGGAGGCTCCAGGGAATAATCTCTTCTTTGTCTCTCCCAGTTTCTAGAGGCTGCTAGAATTCCTTGATTCATGGCTGCCTCACTTCAAATTCTGCTGCTGCCTTCACATCCTCCTCTCTTATCTCTAACATTCTGTCTAGGACTCTTATGATTACACTGGACTCACCTGGATAATCCATGTTAATCTCCCCATCTCCAGATGCTTAGCTTAATCACATCTACAAAGTCCCTTTTACTAGGTAAGGTAACATTCACAGGTTCTGGGGGTTAAGACATAGACATTTTTGGGTACCATTCTTTAGCCCACTACACTGACATAGATGGAGAACAAAGCATATTTTCACCATTTCAAATGGTGAACATTTCACCACTGCACCATTTGGAATGGTGAAAATATGCTGCAAAGACATTGGGGTTAACTGGTGGGTGCTCAAGGTCACTAATGATGAATGGCTAGCCTTCCTCTGCCACTAACTAATTTTTTTGGTCCTTTTTCAATTGTCATTCTTACTGACATTTATCCACAACACTCAACATTATTGATGCTGATATTGTTCCTTGTCACCTAGGATGCTACACTGTCCTGATTTCTTCATTTTAGTGAATTAACAGCACCACTAATCAGAGTAGGGAGCCATGGGGCCTCTCATTTTAAAGAAGGGGAAAACACCAATGGTAGTTAGAAATAAAATAAGACGGTACATTTAGTGGGGAATGTGTTTTGGTTAGTAAATCATTGAAGACAAACAAACCAAAGACAGAAAAACAGAGTTAAGGTCCCAGTGGAAGCTGAAACTGTATATGCTCAACCCCAGATGCCTTGTTGCTCATCACTTTTCAGTAATACCATCACATTAATTTTTTTTTTAAATACAAATAATAAAAACAATTAGAAGTAAAACCATCATTGGTCTGGAAGGAGTGGGATATACATTTGGTGGAATCTATGATGGTTTTGATGTGGAGATTGATACACTTAGCATTGTGCTTGAGGAAAATTAGTTTGGTAGCCTCGGGTAGGATGAATTGAACTGGGGAGAAACTAGAAGAAAGGAGGCTAGAAAGAACATTAGTCCAGTGGAAAATTGATGAGGAGGATCTGAACCAAGGGCATAGCAGTGGAAAAGGAAGAATAGGGATGGTTGTTTTAGGAACTGAGTAATAACTCTATAGTTTCAAGCTTGGGTGAGTGTTGGTTGCCTGTAATAGATATAGAAAACTCAAGAAGAGGGGCTGGGCTGGGTAGGTGTTGGGGGTGATGAAGATTACAATACATGATTTTTTTGGTTCTTAATGGTGAATTTAAGGTGCTTTTAGGATATGCATTTTCTCTCTAGATCATACATTACTTGAGTCTGGTTATTAGTCTCATTAATTTTTGTACTCTCAATGTCTAACAGAGTAACTGGCATTTGTTAGGCTCTCAATAAATATTTATTGAAGGATGGAAGGAAGGTGGGAGAGGAGGAGAAAAGAGGTGACTGCCTGTTTTTCTCCCACTCTCCACTCTGGCTGACCTACCCTAGATGAGTGGCTTACAGGACAGGGAGTGCAGTTTGAAGACAGGTCCTCCAGTTGCTCTGATCCAAGACTGGGAAAATACTCTTCTGTCTTTTTTTCCAGACAAAGATTCCTTATAGGCAGCTCGGCCAATGAGCAGAACAGATAAATATGCAACCAGATGATACTTTACCAACTCTGACTTTATCAGTACAAAGTGAGAAAAAGCAGGTATGTGTTATTCCCAGAAGATATTGCAAGTGTGCAGGTCCAAGGTGTTCCTTATGCACTTCACCCATCTCTCATGATCTCTTCCTTTGCCTGAGGCGCAAACTCTTTCTAAACTTCTTCCAGACCACTGATTGCTTTACTTCTAATTATTTTGTGTTTTGAAAAATCAATATGAAGGCATTTCTCAAAGGGGCGACAGGAAATCTGGTGTTGACCATATACAGTTTCAGCTTCCACTGGGACCTTAATTAACTCTGTTTTTCTGTCTTCAGTTTGTTTGTCTTCAATGACTCACTCACCATAACACATTCCCCTCTACATGTACTGTCTTATTTTATTTCTAACTACCATCGGTGTTTTCCCCTTCTTTAAAGTGAGAGACCCCATGGCTCCCTATTATGATTAGTATGCTGTTGACTCAATAAAATGAAGAAATCAAGATAGTGTAGCATCCTAGATGACAAGGAACAGTATCAACATCAATAATGTTAAGCGTTGTGGATAAATGTCAGTAAGAATGACAATTGAAAAAGGACCAAAAGATTTGGTTAGTTGGAGGAGAAGGCTAGCTATTCATTAGTGACCTTTAAGAGTGCAGTTTCAATGGAGGTAGGGGTTAAAAATAGACTGAAATGAAGTGGAAGCCAAGGGAGGGACGGTACTCTTCCGAGATGTTTGATGTTCAAAAATAAATGAGACAGGATGGTAGTTTAAGGTTGTAGCTAAGATAGTTTTTGGAAGATTTGAAATCATGTTTTATAAATATTAGCCAATTAGTTAATTCATAACTGAAATTCCTAATTTATTTCACAACCAGTGAGTAAGGGGAACTGATTGTGAGAGGAACTGACTGAAATCTTGACAGGATTCAAGATGAAGTAATTTGTGTCACCAATAATTTGTATGTTGTTTCTTATAAAATAGAAATATCACAACATTTTAAACCAGATGCAATTATTATTTATTTCCTATATTAAAGAAGTTTTGAATTAATACATTTTCGTCTATAAATCTTTATGGAGCTCCATGCTATTTTTCAGCAATGAAGAACTGAGGTGGCACAGATATTTATTTGAACACACATGATGAATGTAATTCCTCTTCAAAAGCTTTAAACAAAATAAAGTACAAATTAATCTTGCCATTTCTTTGGTTAGCTTTGTACTTAAAAATAACAAATAAACACCTTGTTTATTATTTTCTACTGCTTCAGGGAAAGTTGGTTTCTCTGATTTAAATTTGAGGGAAGGTTAAATGAGAATGCAACCTAAGATTGAATTTGTGAAGTTTTCATCAAATTAGCTCTGTTCTACTACAGAAAAGTCTTTCTCAGTACAATATAATTGCCAAATAAGTTATAGTTGGTTTCATGTTAAAAGAGATGAACATTGATTGAATATTGATGTTAGAAGAAATTGAACACTTGTTAAAAGATGAACATTTTCCTTCTGGAAAATACTAATTTAAAAAACCATTATTTCTTCTCACTCTGTGAGGCTTGTTAGACACTCCATGAGGCTTGAAGCACAACGAAGTTTTAGAATTATTAAATGTGGTAGAATGAGTGGAGCCTGGGTATCTGGAAGCAGAGATCTTATTCTGACTCTGCCATACAATTTTGGGCAAATGATTTCTGAGCTTTACTTTCTAAGTTTTCAAAATAAGAGGATAGGACTAACTTATCTCCAGATTTAATCCCAAGACTAAATATCTTTAACTTTGAATTATTCATTTGTTACCTGGTAAAGACAAATTGTTATGAAACATCACTCTCTGTTTTTCCCCTTTTGAACTCTTGGTAAAAATAATGAACTGTCAGCCTTACCCAAAGCAGCTGAATAGGAAAATAGAGACATTATAGAAATATCAATAACAATTAAGATTTCTGCTCATACTTGCACTCTTATGTCTGCATTAAATGAGACTGAAGATTATAATTTTGGAAGGGATAACAAATTACAGATTATTTCCATTTTGATTAAAATCAATAACATAAGAGCAACTTGACTTTGCTTGAGAGATGTTTTAAACAGAGTTTATTTGATCAGCCTCAGACATAAGTAAATTAGCAACCATAAGAAAAAAGAGGTATGCTTGCTAAGAGAACATTATGATCTGACTTCACTTATCCACAAGGAAAATCAGTGCACTTTGTACAATTTCCTTTAAGGAATGCTTTTTCCTCCAATTTGGTTGTTTCAGTTGGGACAACATCAGATGGCATCTGACAGTGGTTCAGAAAAGGGAATATGATTAATTTGGAAGGGAAACTACTTTTGGGTCATTTCTTATTTTTTTACTTTTATTTTAAAAAAGAAAGACCTCCTCAAATATTAATGATAACAATTTTGGAAACCCACTAACATACCCTTAACACACAACCCAACTGGATTTCTTTACCTATGCCATTTCTTCTATTTGGAAGACCTATTTCTTTCACAAGGCAACTTCCTTCCTTCTCTTCTAAATCATTTTCTAAATACATTTCCTCTCTGATAGCACATTGCCATCCTTGCTCCTGCTCCTGACACTTGATGAGTTCTAGGCCTTCCAGATATACCTGTATTCATTAATTATGCACATGGGTTTAGAAAGCAAGAATTGGCTTGTATTCACAAGCCATGGTGGAGAACGCTGGAGCTGTGAAAAGTAACCACCGATGCTGGGATAGCAGCTTTCTTAGAACCTTTTAAATTCCTTGTGGGCAGTCAAATGGCCCTGGACAGCTATTTTGTTTGGTCATTTCTTTCATTTTTAATTTTTTGGCCATTTCTCTCTCACTTCTACCCTTGTTAAGTGGTTTCCAGGTTGCTCCTGTGTCATCCTCTACTCTAAAATCCAATCAAACTCCAAATTGTGTTGATTTTACTACTCATCACCACTAGGCTCCATTTGCTTCTTTCCATTTCTATTATTTTCACCCTCATCCAAACCACCATCATTTCTCACCTGGACTGTTGTTATAATGTCCTTATTTGTCTCCCTGCACTCATGATTGCTGCCTTCTTATCTATTCTCCCCATTACAGCTAGAGTGTTATTAAAAATAATAATCATAACAAAACACAATTATACGTTCCCTTCCTCCTCGTTTAAAATCATTCAATGGCTTCTTACTGTGTTTAGGCTAGAAAATGAAATCTTTCCAAGGCCAATATTAAGGTCACATCTGTCCCAGTTCACCCAGTTTAATACCTGTTTATGCCTTTTGTCCTGGCTTAAGTATCAATGCTGCTTTCATTTTCAAA
Source organism: Homo sapiens (assembly GCF_000001405.40). Classification (NCBI taxonomy): domain Eukaryota; kingdom Metazoa; phylum Chordata; class Mammalia; order Primates; family Hominidae; genus Homo; species Homo sapiens. The sequence goes on from NC_000023.11 coordinate 20,739,211, forward strand.
AGTGTCCTGGTTGCCCGGTAAGTCATGTGATCCCTGCCAGCCACCCCTAGCTCTTTGCATGCCACTCTCTCCCTCCTTCACTGGGTCCAGCCCCACTGGCTCCTCTCAGTGTCTTAGATTTTTTTTCTTACCTCAGAGCCTTGGCACATGCCTTCCTGAAATGTGTTTTCTTCTCCATCAAGATAAATGTTACTCATCCTTGAGATCTCATTTGATCTCATTTTAAATGTCAAGTCCTCCCATTATATGCTCTTATAACTCTCAGTACTTTCCTTCAAAGCATTTGCCGCCTTTGTAATCACATGTAAATGTGTGTCATTATTCAAGTAATGTCTGACACCCCTTCCCCCTGCCACAAGACAGCAAAGGAGGTATCTGTTTTACTCTCATTAAATTGCCAGTATCTCCCACAGAACCTGGCACAGACTATGCAATCAGTATCTGTTTGTGGAATGAATAAGCTGGTGAACATGCTCAGGGCACTCTGTATATAACACCTCCTACAAGGTCTAGATTATGATTGAAATTAAATCATTGCAAATATGATTAATGTCTTATATAAGGTCTTCTTAGCTCACAAGAATATAAACTCCAAGACAATAGGGCAATAGGGGCTATGACTGGGAGGCAGCGGATTGCTCGGTTCAAATCCTATGCCTACCACTGGCCAGTTGTATGGCCTTGGGCAAGTCACTTAACCTCTGTGCCCCATGTTCAAAAAGGGGATGACAGTGATACCAATCTCATAGGCATGCGTGTGAATCTTATAAACAAGAACAGTGCCTGGCACATTGTAAGTACCATGTGAGGGTACTTTTCATCACTGAACACTCTATCTTTGGTACATAGCATAGTACTGCGCTGTTACATATGTATGCTAAATAAATGTTTATTAAAGTATTTGGGAGACTAAATCCCCTGCTGTTTGATGTGTCTAAAGCCACTCCTGCATTTACCCAGTCATTGAGCGCAAGTGAGAGCAAGTGCTGTGGCTGTATTTTTATTACGTCTTAAGATAGATCTTCATTGTTCTCTGAGGGTTTTAGAATCATGCTAGAGAATTAACTGTCTTGTCTCATTTACTCTTACTTATAATGTCCTTTTCATGGGAAAAGGTCTCCAATGAGGTCTTCATGGTCTGGTCTCCAATGAGGGATCCAATCTAGAAGGTGTTCTGAGGTTTATTCTTCTATGAGAAACCCAATCTCTCTTTCCATTCAGCTATGAACACTGTTCTTGGGCCAAGGATACACCTAAACTCTCTCTCATCAGAATGAGATTGTTCTTCTGAAAAACCCTCACTCTGAGGGCTTAAGGGGTTGTTCTAAGGGCTCTGATACCTTTATAGCAGGGGTGGAAACTGTTCCCTAGGCTCTACTTTCCAAGCATTGTCCTGCCATAAAGGTCTTTCAGGCCCTCAAAGACCTGCAAGTGGCTCCCTCCACTGGCACTCTAGGTATTAACACAACTACCTACTTAACAGTGATTATATGCCATAGGCCTATGATATTAGTTATTTATTACAAATAAATATATTATAGATCTTAGACCTATAATATAAATGATGATATTTATCTTCTGTAGAGTAGTGCTAGTGTTATTTCTGTGATTGCTCCTACGTATAATATGATAAATACCATACAGTGGTTGGCATGTAGCATGTTGCTCCAAACTGTGTGGGTGGAATATAATCTTATATAAAAAATGAATTTTTATTACCCCTTACAGCCTGAGACTCTGCCTCGAGTTTATCATCATGTCTAGAGATCCTCTTGTTTGAATTAAATTTCCTCAATTGTTTACCCTGTGCCGATTGATCCCATTAGATAGAAAGAGGACGTTTTTCACAGAAAGGGGTGCAGCTTGAGAAGGAGCTGTAGTTACCAGTTATCCTTTCTCTGTTATCAGGGATGTTCTTGCCCCTATTGTAGTTAGCAGACATAATACACCACAACTCTATTTTTGATACTGGTCATGTGTGAAAGTGAGTAGAAGATTGTCTTAGTTGGGTTCCAACAGAGGCAGACTGTAAGACAAGAACTGAATGTACGTAGTCTATTAAGGAGGTACAGGAACACTGGCTGATGGTGGGGAGGTAATATAGGGAAGGAAAGATAGCCAATAAGAGATGCCTTTTAAAAACCAGTTACCATGGTTGTCAACTAAAATTTACTCCCATTGGGAAGCTTTGGAAATGGAGTAAAACACACATCTCAGCATAACCCACCCCAAAATCTGGGTATCTGAGGTATTTATACCTCTATACCCATCAGCCATCAGTTTAAGGCTGCCCTGAAGGAATGTTCGTTCTCAGACACTGTTGTGTGAGTGTGTGTGGAGGTGGGCACAAAGCTGTTTCTGGCAGCCCCAGATCAGCCCTCTGGCAAAGATGTACATACCAGCCATTGGAAGTCAGGCTGGTATGCACTGATATGGTAAGGTGATCAGAGAGGATGCGGGAGGAACTTTGACAGCATCTGTTATATAACCAAAAATCTTTTCAATGGGCTATCCTTTTGAAGAACACATGGCAAGGTAGATATAATGTGACTGTGGAAGAAAGACCCCTCTCCTATTCTCAACACTACTGTGACACCAGTTTCTTTATTTCTAGCTCTTCTCATATACACTGTGCCACTTTCCTCACTGCCACTTCTCTTTTATCTCTTTATCCCAGGCTTGGACTCCATGTGGTCTCTTGTTTTCCACCTCCTACTGGCATACTTGGCCTGCTTACATCTCTTTTCTCCTCTTGGTTTTTCCCAAATCGAACTCCTAAGCCTTCTGAACCTTCTCTCAGAACAAACACCATATAACGGATGATAACATGATTATTATTGCAGAGATGATAACATTTGTTGACTGAATGCTCCACTGGTCACTGCTCCCGGCTGTAACAAAGGCAGCTGAGGAACCACTAAGTCAGGATAATGAGTGATCAAAACTGAAGGGCTCTTTTCGGCCTGGCTTCCTTTATGCCCATCCGACTGTTGGCCTCACATGGCTCTGCTCTGGATCTGTGCCATTCTGCCTCATTTATCTGGCACTGCCTGGAGGAAGACTGCCTCTTGTGTCAGATGAAATTGATGATGATTCTTGGCTAGGAAAGTAAGATTCCTGAATGATTAGGACACGGAGGCTCAAGTTCATATATGAAACTCCTTTATCCAGGCCTTCTAATCTTCATTCTACTTTTAGGACTGTGACTTCTGTTCAAATGCCATTGGGTTTGATTTTCATCCTTTAAGCATGCTGTCATATCTGTTTGCTCAAGAATGCTGACCCTGTTTAGAAATTACAGTTGCAATGTTACCCGATGCACATACAAATAGTACACTACTCAGCTCACTACAAATATATAGTGCTCACTTGCTTCTCAATGCCTAAAATTTCTTAACAAAAAATAATTCCTTTCAAGCTACAATTAGAGAAAGGAAGCGGAAGCTAGAGAGAGAAAGAGAGAGAGAGAGAGAGAGAGAGAGAGAGAGAGAGAGAGTCCAAATTGTAGAATACTTCTGAGAGGGGTAATTTGTTGACTTGCCTGTATTTTTATTTTAACTTTTACCAAACTAATAGATTACTTTAATTTTAAAAGCACAATTAGCATTACAAACCTTGTAAGAAAAAAATAGCTACTACTCTACCACTCTCTATCCTCAAGAACAACTCCTTAGAGAAAACTACTTTGTCAAGTCTTTTAGTTATTTTTTCTATTTGCCTACATAATTATATACAAAATGTTTATAGTATGATTTCTTTATTGATTTTATACATTGTAGATTGACTTCCTACAATGGATCAGAATTTAGTACTCTTACACACATCCACACACCAGTGCAGTCCCTCTCCTTATTGTCCCAATATAGTCACATCATAACTTTTCATTAAATTAACATTCTGTATTAAACATTATGACTACTTTAGTCCATTTGTGTTGCTAAAAAGGAATATCTGAGACATGCAATTTATTTTAAAAGAGGCTTATTTCAATTATGGTTCTGCAGCCTGTGCAAGAAGCATGGCATGGTGCCAGCATTTGCATCTGGCGAGGGGCTCTGGCTGATTCCACTCATGGCTGAAAGCAAATGGGAACTAGCATGTGCAGAGATCATGGGGTGAGAGATGAGGAAGTGCCAGGCCTTTTTCAAAAATCGATTCTCCAGGGAACTAAGTGGGATCCCACTCATTCCTGAATGAGAATGGCACCAAGCCATTCATGAGGGATCCATCTCCAGGATTCAAACACCTCCCACTAGGCCCCACCTCCATTAGGGATCAAATCTCAACATGAGACTTGGCAGGGCAAAACAACCCATATCCCACCATAGCAATGACTATGTAAAATTGTTCACAGCTGAGACAAATAGTATGCAATAATTCCATTTCCTTCATTATAATTTTTTTCTCTAGGTAATGGTTACACTTTCTTTCTGTTTACTTAGTTTTACATGAACCAATCACTAATTCTTTCCAAACTCTGAGATCATGTCCTTTGCAGCAACATGGATGGAGCTGAAGGCCATTATCCTAAGTGAACTAATGCAGGAACAGAAACCAAGCACCACATCTTTTCACTTATAAGTGGGAGCTAAACACCGAGTACACATGAACACAAAGAAGGGAACAACAGACACTGGGGCCAATTTGAGGATAGAGGGTGAGAAACAAAAAACTACCTATCAGATACTATACTTATTACCCAGGTGATGAAATAATCTGTATACCAAACCCCTGTGACATGGCATGTCATGCAATTTATCTATAGAACAAACTTGCGCATGTACCCCTGCAACTAAAATAAAAGTTTTAAAAAGTCCTCTCCCACAGAGCTATAGGTGCTTCTCTACCAAAGATATCAAGCAATCTATCAGTTCCACCTCTCCTCCACTCCCTCACAAGTCATCTGTCCCAGAGTCTCCTTTTATCCTGATTCAATCTGCACTAGTTGTTCTGTAGAACATCTATGCGGCTGTTTTCCTATCACAGTTTCCTCTGTTCATAAGGAAGTTCTGCTTTCTGTCTTCTCTGTTGAATACCCTCTTTCCTGGATCCCAGGCCCTCCACTTTCCCTTGTGTTTGTTAAGCAAGTCCTGGAGTAGCTTTCTGCAAACACATTTTAGAACTTTTTCATGACTGAAAAAACACTTATCCTTCTGACTCTTGAATGTTAGTTTGGTTGAAACTGAAATTCCAGAATGGAAATAATCTTCCATCAAAATGTTGTGGGCATTGCTCCAGCTTCCAGTGTTGCTGCAGAGAAGTTAGATTGTAGACTGATTCCTGATTCTTTGTGTGCAACCTTTATTTTTCTGGGATTTTCTAGGGTTCTTCTGTTTATCGCTGTTAGTCTAGCTTTTAAAATGATGTGCCTTGTGGATATTTAGCTTTTGTGTTCTATACTGTACTTGGCATTTGGTGAACTCTTGTACTCTGGAAACTTATTTTTTTATTATTTGAAGGAAATGTTCTAGCATTACCTCCTTTATAATTTCTTTACCTCCTTTTCACCTATTTTTATTTTGAAATTCTTAAGAGTCAGATGTTGGATGTTCCAAGCTGATCATCTCACTTTCTCATCTTCCCCTTCCTACTTTCTAGGTCTTTCTGTTTTCCTTTATGAGAGATTTTCTCATGTTTATCTTTCAATCCATCTATTAAATATTTTCTATTCTGGCTATCATAATTTTAACTTCCAAAAGCTTTGAAGCATTTTGTCATTTCTTTTGTAACATTATATTATTGATTAATAGATGCAAGGTTTTCTTTTATCCTCCTATTATTTTTGCATTATTATTGCTCTTATTTTAAAATTTCTTTTTCTCCATTTCTTTTTGGTATGTTTGTTTTGGTCTCTGACAGTTATGTTAGAAGCTATTCAAAACATCTATTATCTTAAGATGTTTTTTCATATTTAAGAATAAAATGCTGAAAAGCTAATGAAAAGCTCTGTGTGATTAGAGAGGGTCCAGCCATTTTGTTGGGGAACCCTCAAATATAAGCATCTATAATCTTTTCTGTTGGGATTGTTTCTTCAGAAAAGAATTTTCTAATTTCCTGCCTGGAAGTTTAGAAACCTGTCTGAGAGTGTTCTAGAAGACAAGAAAGGGAACTTTTAATATTTCAGTCCTGCTTCTCTTCTATACCCTTTATTGTACCAGGCTCTGGAGCCTCTCAGGCTTGGCTGTTCCAGAGACAAAACCTCCTGGCTTCTGTTGGGTTGTGGAGTGGAGATGGCTAGCTGGGCAGGGTTATAGAGAGGATCTGAGGAGTCTACTTTTCCCTCATGCACATTTTCAATCAGTTTTCCTATATTTCACCCTACCTTCTGAGGTATTTGTGCCTCTGATTTCTCAGCCATTCTAAGACTCTACAGGGAAAATTAGCTTGTTTCTTGTTGGCATTTTGCTTTGTAGACACATTGTTTCAGCTTTCTGCTCTAGATGTTGCCCTTATAGAGATGGTCAAACCTATTCTCCCAGCACCACATCTGCATTTCTGCACAAAGCAAAGGAACAAGGGAGGCAGGTAGGACAGACAATTTCCTTTTAAAGAGGGGATATGGAGGTATATACATCCTCTTGTTCACATTCTATTGGGACAATTTAGTATCATGGCCACACTTACCTGCAAGGCAAGATGGGAAATGTAGTCTCTAGCTAGACAGCTATGTTGCCTGATAAATCTCTATATGTTGTGGGAGATTATTAAAAGGAAGAAGGGGAGAATGGATACTGGAAATGATAAGCAATTTTTGACACAGATAGAAATAGTGTAATTTTCTTCAGCGTTACAGTGGTCCCCCCGCCCGCAAGGCAGAGGTCTTCTAAAAACAGACATGTAGTCAGCAGTATGTGTGCTTCTATCCCTCTTCTGCCCAGGGTTTATAAGTGGGCAATATTGATAGTCTTTACTCATGATTCCTCACACTTCTAGCTTCCTTGAAAGCAATTCATTTTGCCTTTCTTTTTCTTTTTTTTTTTTTTTTTTTTTGAGATGGAGTCTCACTCTGTCACCCAGGCTGAAGTGTAGTGGCGAGATCTTGGCTCACTGCAGCCTCCGCCTCCCAGGTTCAAGCGATTCTCCTGCCTCAGCCCCCTGAGTAGCTGGGACTACAGGCCCACACCACCACGCCCTCCTAATTTTTGTATTTTTAGTAGAGATGCAGTTTTGCCATGTTGGCCAAGCTGGTCTCAACCTCCTGACCTCAAGTGATCTGCCTGCCTCAGCATCCCAAAGTGCTGGGATTACAGGCGTGAACCACTGTGCCTGGCCTCATTTTGTCCTTTTGACAGAACACAAATAAAGAGATAAAGCTTCTGGCCACTTAGGGAATTTTATTAGGCTGCATCTACTCATAATCTGGTTAGGGGCAGGAGCTTCTCTTCTCTGTGGTTAGAGAGGGTTGGAACACAGCTTCCAAACTGGTACCTATTTTTATGCTACAAGAAAGAATGTGCTATGTTTAATACAAAATGGGAAACATTCTTTGTGTACTGCTTAGAGCAGCCAAGTATTTTCTGTATACTCTACAGCAGTGCTTCTCAAACATGAATATATATATAATCTGGAGACCTGAACAGTCTAATTTGGTAGGTGTGGGCAGGACCCAAGAGACTGCATTTCCAACAATCTCCCAGGCAATGTCAACTTTGCTATCCAAAGGTTATACTTTGGTTAGCCCAGGCACTAAGTCCTTCCTCTGTTAATATTCAGCGACTATTCTCTGCTTGGGGTTAGATGGCTCAATTTGGACACAAAATCCATATATGTCTAAAGGAAGCAACAACAAATGCATTTCTACTGATAAACATAAGCAAAGAAATTTTATAGATTTTTCTGGTTTTTGCTGTACTTAGGAATTCTGAGCAAACAGCAAAACCGAATGATAAACAATGATGGGTGGGTTACAATCCTACAGGGAACTGCTTTGCTGTGTGAGTAAAAAAAAAAAAAAAAAAAAAAAAAAAAATCATAATTGCCTAAAGCATCCAAAAAGAAAAACTTCAGCTGGCTACTCTCTTGTCTTAGGATTTAAATTGCTTAATTGATGAATTTGAAGATGTACGGAAAGAGCAACACATTTGAAGCTGTTTTAACCAGCTGGTCTCTGGTTTTAGTGTATATACACTTAGTGGTAGTTCTAATGACTGTGGTGGCTGCTGGGTTTTGGAGGCTGTAGTTCAATATACGGAACCTTACCTACCAGTGGAGGCAGGCCAAGGTCAATTACTTTTTCTTAGCAAACTGAATTATAAAACAAAACAAAATGAAAGCCTTTTAACACCTGTGTTGTTTGCTGCTTTGCTTTATGTTGAATGCAGGTCTTGCTGGGTGACTCATTCTCCAAGCCTGCCCCCTTCGGATTACCTTGTCAGAGGTACTCATTTCTACCTAAAGACATTGTTGGGTGCAAGTCTCACATTTTTATTTTCAATCTTTACTTTCTATTCTCATATGGAGCAATAGGAAGGAAGGGATGTATGCATTTGATTGTGGTAGAAGGAATTTTGATAAGTCCTTACTGTTGGAAAAACTGGTTTTATCTGTTTCCCACAAAGCAATCTTTGAGTGGATGCTGAAGAGAAGGGTCAATGAAAGAAAGCAACACTCTCAGCAGCCTTGCAAAAAGTTTTGGAGTTTGGTGGGGAAACAGAGTGAGGGGTTCATTTCTTTTGAATTTTTAAATTGAATTATAATATAGAAAACTGCAAAAGTAAATAACTATGCAACTTGATGAATTTTCACAAATTGAACACTAAGGTAACCAACATCCATATAAGTAGAACATTACCAGAACCTAGAGGCCTTGCTCATGTCCCCTTCCAGTCACTTATACTGCCCTCCCAACACAAACAAGGAAAACCATTAATCTGACCTTAAGTATCATAGATTACTTTTGCTTGTTTGTGAACTTTATATAAATGGAATTGTCCTCTATACGCTCTTTTGGGTTTTACTTCTTTGGTTCAATATTATGTTTATGCGACTTTTGCATGTATTTGCTATGTGTTTTTGCACATAGCTGTAATTTGTTCATTTTCATTGCTGTGTATTATTTTTGTATGACTACAACACAATTTACTTATATACTTTTGATGGTCCTTTGTTTTGTCCCCCTGCCCCCATTTTGTAGCCACTACCACAAGTGATGCTGCTATGAATATTGTAATACATTTATTTTGGTGAATATAGGTATTCACTTCTGTCAGGTATATACCTAACAGAAATGGAATGGTTGGATTATAGGATAGATGTACGTTCAACTTCAGTAGATACTGCCAAACAGTTTTTCAACTTGGTAGGCAACTACCTTTTTGAGCAGCATTTCAGGTAGAAAGCTTTTCTGGAGGAGGCTTAGACACTAGTATGGAGTAATCAACTGGTAAGGTGATTTCTAAATAGAACATGGGAGACAGGTGAGGTGCTGGAAATAAGGAATTATTTCTCTCTATGGTTTGTATTTAGATGCTAACAATTTACAAAACAGAACGGAGCTCAAGCAGCTGAAACACAGAGCAAAGGGGAAGTGCTCTATCTCTTGAGTGGCTTAACAAATAGCAGGTAATAAAGTATTGTGACAATCTGAACGGATTTATGATAACTATGTACTTATATTCACTGTTAATCTTGTTAGAATGTGATACCAGACAACAGAATGCTTAAACACTTGACCCTTATAATCACATTACCTGGATTTAAATTCCAGGTTTTTTGTCCTTGCGTTAGTTTGCTGAGAATGATGGTTTCCAGCTTCATCCATGTCCCTACAAAGGACATGAACTCACCATTTTTTATGGCTGCATAGTATTCCATCGCAAGGACAAAAAACCAAACACCGCATGTTCTCACTCATAGGTGGGAATTGAACAATGAGAACGCTTGGACACAGGAAGGGGAATATCACACACTGGGGCTTGTCGTGGGGTGGGGGGAGGGGGGAGGGATAGCATTAGGAGATATGCCTAATGTAAATGACGAGTTAATGGGTGCAGCACACCAACATGGCACATGTATACATATGTAACAAACCTGCACGTTGTGCACATGTACCCTAGAACTGAAAGTATTATATATATATATATATTTATATATATAGTATATATATATTTATATATATACTATATATATATTTATATATATTATATATATTATATTATATATTTATATATTATATGTATTATATTATATATATTTATATATATTATATATATTATATTATATTATGTATATATTTATATATATCATATATATTATATTATATTATATTATATATATAAAATAAATTTCAGGTCATCACTCATTTGTTATGTGATTTTTTTTTTGGTTTTAAATTCAACTGAATTTTAATTGATGATTTTATAACTGTCACAAAAAGAAATTGAGATTATCTTCCCAAGAATCTAAAATATTTGACAAAAAAGTAAACTAAAATTAGGATGGCACACATTAATTTGTAACATAGGTACATAGTATTTAGTAAACCTCTTTTAAGGCTAATATTTGTTTCTTTTCTTTTTTTTCTAATTTTAATTTTTAAGTTTTGTGGGTACACAGTAGGTGTATATATTTCTCGGTTACATGAGATATTTGATACAGGCATGCAGTGTGTTACCACATCAGGGTAAATGGGGGTATTTATCACCTCAAGCATTTATCCTTTGTGTTACAAAAAATCCAATTATACACTTTCAGTTATTTAAAAATGTACAGTTAAATTATTTTTTATTATAGCCACCTGTTGTGCTATCAAATACTAGGTCTTATTCATTCTTTCTAACTATCTTTTTGTACCCCTTAAGCATTCTCACTGCCCCCAACTCCACCCTTCCCAGTCTCTGGTGAGCATCTTTCTACTCTCCATTTCATGAGTTCAATTGTTTTAATTTTTAGCTTCCACAAATAAGTGAGAACATGTGAAGTTTGTCTCTCTATGCCTTACTTATTTTACTTAACATAATGACCTCTGGTTCTGTCCACGTTGTTGCAAATACAAGATCTCATTATTTTTTATGGCTGAATAGTACTGCATTGTGTACATGTACTGCATTTTCTTTATCCATTCATCTGTTGATGGACACTTAACTTTGCTTCCAAATCTTGGCTATTGCGAATAGTGCTGCAAAACCATGAGCGTTCAGATATCTCTTCAGTATACAGATTTCTTTTCTTTTGGGTATATACCTAGGAGTGGGATTGCTGGATTTTATGGTAGCTTTATTTTTAGTTTCTTGAGGAACCTCCAAACTATTCTCCATAGTGGCTGTACTAATTTACATTCCCACCAACAGTGTAGAAGTGTTCCCATTTCTCTACATCCTCACCAGCATTCATTATTTCCGGACTTTGTGGATAAAAATCATTTTAACTGGGGTGAGATATCTCATTGTAGTTTTGATTTGCATTTCCCTGATGATCAATGGTGTTGAGCATCTTTTCATATGCCTATTTGCCATTTGTATGTCTTCTTTTGAGAAATGTCTATTCAGATCTTTTTCCCATTTTAAATCGGATGATTAGACTTTTTCCTATAGAGTTGTTTGAATTCCTTATATATTCTGGTTATTAATCCCTTGTCAGATGGGTAGCTTGCAAATATTTTCTCCCATTCTGTGGGTTGTCTTTTCACTTTGTTGATTGTTTCGTTTGCTGTGCAGAAGCTTTTTAACTTGATGTGATCCCATTTGTCCATTTTCGCTTTGGTTGCTTGTGCCTGTGAGGTATTATTCAAGAAGTCTTTGCCCAGACAAATGTCCTGGAAAGTTTCCCCAGTGTTTTCTTTCAGCAGTTTTATAGTTTGAGGTCTTAAGTCTTTAATCCATTTTGATTGGATTTTTGTATGTGGCAAGAGATAGAGATCTCGTTTCATTCTTCTGCATGCAGATGTTAAGTTTTCCCAGCACGATTTATTGAAAAGACTGTCCTTTTCCTAAGGTGTGTTCTTGAAACCTGTGTTGAAAATGAGTTTACTATAGATGTATGGATTTGTTTCTGGGTTCTCTATTCTGTTTCACTGGCCTATGTCTCTATTTTTATGCTAGTAACATGCTGTTTTGGTTACAACAGCTCTGGGGTATAATTTGAAGTTAGGTAATGTGATTCCTACAGTTTTGTTCTTTTTGCTTAGGATAGCTTTGGCCATTCTGGGTCTTCTGTGGTTCCATATAAATTTTAGGATAGTCTTTTCTATTTCTGTGAAGAATGTCATTGATATTTTCATAGGGATTACATTAAATCTGTGAATTGCTTTGGGTAGTATGGACATTTAACAATATTGATTCCTCTAAACCATGAACATGGAATATCTATCCATTTTATTGCATCTTCTTTAATTTCTTGCATCAGCAGTTTATAGTTTTCATTGTACAGATCTTTCACTTTTTTGGTTAATTCCTAGGTGCTTAATTTTATTTGTAGCTATTATATATGAGATTACTTTTTAAATTTCTTTTTCAGAGTGTTCAATTTGGCATATAAAAATGCTACTAATTTTTTATGTTGATTTTGTATCCTGAAACTTTACTGAATTGGTTTATCAGTTGTAATAGTCCTTTTTTGGTGGAATCCTTAGGTTTTTCCAAATATAAGATCATATCACCTGCAAATAAGGATAATTTGACTTTCCCCTTTCAAATTTGGATGCTTTTTATTTCTTTCTCTTGTCTAATTGCTCTAGCTAGGACTTCCAGTACTATATTGAACAACAGTGGTGAAAGTAGACATCCTTGTCCTATTCCCAATCTTAGAGGAAAGGCTTTCAGTTTTTCCCCAATCAATATGATACTAGCTATAGATCTATCATATATGGCTTTTATTATGTTGAGGTATGTTCCTTCTACACCCAGTTTTTTGAGGGTTTTCATCATGAAGAGATGTTGGACTTTGTCAAATGCCTTTTCTACATCAATCGAAATGATCATATGGCTTTTGTCCTTCATTCTGTTGACATGATGTATCACATTAATTTATTTTCACATGTTGAATCATCCTTGTATCCTTGGGATAAATCCCACTTGGCCATGATGGATGATCTTTTCAGTGTTTTGTTAAGTTCGCTAGTGTTTTATGGAGGATTTTCTCATCAATATTCATCAGTGATATTGGCCTAGAGTTTCTGATGTATCTTTTTGTTGGTTTTGATATCAGGATAATACTGGCCTTGTAGAATTTAGTTTGGAACTATTTCCTCCTCTATTTTTCAGAATAGTTTGAGTAGGATTGGTATTAGTTCTTCTTTAAGAACTAATATTTGCTAGAATTCAGCAGTGAAGCCATCGAGTCCTGGGCTTTTATTTTTGGGAGACTTTGTATTATGACTCTGATCTTCTTACGTGCTATTGTTCTTTTCAGGTTTTGGACTTCATGGTTCAATCTTGGTAGGTTGTATGTGTCTAGGAATTTATCGATTTCTTCTAGATTTTCCAATTTATTGCCATATAGTTGCTCATAGTAGCCACTAATGATCCTTTCAGTTTCTGTGGTATCAACTGTATCATTTTCATCTCTGATTTTATCTATTTGTATTTTCTCTCTTTTTTGTCAATTTTGTTTATCTTTTCAAAAACCAACTTTTTGTTTCATTGATTTTTTGTATTGTTTTATTCATTTCAATTGTATCTATTTATGCAATCATCTTTATTATGTCTTTTCTACTAATTTTCAGCTTGGTTTGCTCTTAATTTTCTTGTTCTTTAGGGTGTATTCTTAGGTTGTTTCTTTGAAGTTTTTCATCTTTTTTGATGTAGGCAGCTATAGCTGTAAAGTTCCCTCTTAGTACTGCTTTCACTGCATCCCATAGGTTTTGGTGTATTGTGTTTCCATTATCAATTGTTTCCAGAAATTTTTCAATTTCCTTCTTAATTTCTTCACTGACCCACAGGTCATTCCTGAGCATATGGTTTAATTTCCACATGTTTGCATAGTTTTGAAAATTCCTCCTGTTATTGATTCCTAGTTTCATTCCATTGTGGTCAGAGAAGATGCTTGACGTTATTTCAATTTTTTGAATGTTTTAACACTTGTTTTGTAATCTAACGTAGGGTCTTTCCTTGACAATAATACACGTGCTGAGGAGAAGAATGTGTATTCTGTAACCATTGAATGAAATCTGTGCATATGTATTAGGTTCATTTATTCTATGGTGCAGATTAAGCCTGATGATTCATTGTTGATTTTCTGTCTGGGAGATCTGTCTAGTGCTGGAAGTTGGGTGTTGAAGTCTCCAGCTATGATTGTATTGGGGTCTATCTCTCTCTGTAGCTCTACTAATATTTGCTTTATATATCTGGGTTCTCCAGTGTTGGGTGCATATATATTTAAAATTGTTATCTCCTCTGGCTGAATTGACGTCTTTAACCTTATACAGTGACCTTCTTTGTCTCTTTTTATTTTTGTCTAGAAATCTATTTTGTGTCATGTAAGTATAGCTAGCCCTATTGTTTTTTGGTTTTCATTGGCGTGGAATATCTATTTCCATCCCTTTATATTCAGTCTATGTGTATTTTTATAGACAATGTGTGTTTCTTATAGGCAACAGATTTTTGGTTCTTATTTTTTAATCCATTCAGTCACTTTATGTCTTTTGATTAGAGAGTTTAGTGCATTCACATTCAATACTATTATTAATAAGAACTTACTCCTGCCATTTTATTATTTGTTTTCCTGTCTTATCTTCCTTCTTTCCTTCCTTCCTGTCTTCCTTTCAGTGAAGGTTATTTTCTCTGGTAGTATGATTTAATTTTTTGCTTTTTATTTTTTTGTGTATTCATTATATATTTTCTGATTTGAGGTTACCATGAGGCTTGAAAATATTATCTTATAACCCAGTATTTTTAGCTGATTACAACATCACACTGCTTGCATAAACAAACAAACAAACAGACAGACATGCTAAAAGAAAACTAATAAAAGCTCTATACCTTAACTTAATCCCCTGGGTTTTTTAACTTTTTGTTGTTTCTACTTATATCTTATTGTACTGTCTGTGTTTTGAACAGTTGTTATAGATATTATTTTTGATTGGTTCATTTTTAATCTTTCTACTTACGATAAGAGTAGTTTACATACCACAGTTACATTGTTATAATATTCCGCATTTTTCTTTATACTTACTGTTACCCGTGAATTCTGTACCATCAGATGATTTCTCATTGCTCATTAACCTCCTTTTCTTTCTGATTGAAATACTCCCTTTAGCATATATTGTAGGACAGGTGATAAAATCCCTCAGCTTTTGTCTGGGATATTCCTTTTTATTTGTTTGTTTTTGAGACAGGGTCTCGCTCTGTCACCCAGGCTGGAATACCGTGGCATGATCTTGGCTCACTGCAACCTCTGCCTCCGGGGTTCAAGTGATGCTCATGTCTCAGCCTCCCAAGTAGCTGGGATTACAGACATGCACCACCACGCCCAGCTAATTTTTGTATTTTTAGTAGAGACAGCGTTTTCCCATGTTGACCAGGCTGGTCTCGAACTCCTGGCCTCAAATGATCTGCCTGCCTCAGCCTCCCAAAGTGCTGGGATTACAGGTGTGAGCCACCATGCCCGGCCCAGATATCCTTTATTATTGTTATCTTTCGTGTTTGAAGGATATTTTTACTGGATATACTATTGTGAGATAAAAGTTTTTCTCCTTCAGCACTTTAAATTTGCCATGCCACTCTCACCTTGCCTGTAAGGTTTCCACTGAAGAGTCTGCTGCCAGATGTATTGGAGCTTTATTGTATGTTATTTGTTTATTTTCTGTTGCTGGTTGTAGGATCCTTTCCTTGTCCTTGATCTTCAGGAGTTTCATTATTACATGCCTTGAGGTAGTCTTCAAATCTGCTTGGTGTTCTATAACCTTCTTTTACTTGTGAAGTGATCTGATTGTCTGGGGTAACACCCAAAGTTCTAGGTCTCATGGCCATAAAGATCAAGTATGTGTACACACAAAGGGTGAGGTTTAGAGCAGAAATTTAATAGGCAAAAGAAAGAGAATAGCTCTCTGATACAGAGAGGGGTCCTGGAAAAAAGGGCTGCCAATGTGCAGTGAAATGCAGGGGTTTTTATAGACGAGATACTGGGGAGGTGGTACCTGATCTACATAGGGCATGAAAAACCAGTTAGGACTAGGTGTGCCATCTGCACAGGGCAGAAATCTCTGGCAGTCCCCACCCCAATCTTTTATTATGCAGGCAGGTAGCCACTCCATATTGCTTATTTCTTTCTTACTGTGCATGTGCTTAAAGAGAGAGAAGGTGGAGCTCCCATAGTGGACATGCCTGGCCCCAGGTGGCCCTTTCTATCTGGGTAGCTGCAGGCATCTCTCCATGCAAGCTTCCAGCTTCCTTATCTACGTTTGCAGCCTGATCTTCCAGGCTGCTCTTTAGAAGAGAAGTGATTTCTTAGGCTGCTTTTTGTTAGAAGGGAAGTTTTGCTGAGGACTCTTTCGCCCTCACTATCTGCCTAAATTTTCTTTGGATCTCCTGAATCATTTGGTCTCTACAATCAGCAGGGTTTGAAGCCAGCCAGGCTTTTATGCTTCTCTTCATGGTGACACATTCCCTGAAGCCCCAGATAGATATAGAGGTGTCACTTGTAAGCCAGGGACTGGCATCAAAAAACTAAAAAGTCTACCTGGTGTTCTATTATACTGAAGCTGAGTTGGCAAGCATACCTTGAGAAACAGCCATTCCCATGCTTCCCTTCCCTTTCCACAGGCAAAGGAACTTTATCCTGTGGCCACCACCATCACAGGCCCATGGTGAGTACTGCCAGGCTACTGCTGACATTCACTTAAGGCCCAAGGGTTCTTCAGTCAGATTGTGGTGAATGCTGCCAGGCCCAGGACTCACTCTTCAGGGCAGTGGGCTCCCCTCTGGCCCAGGGAAGCCCCAGAAATGCTGTCGAAAGCCAAGGCCTGGAATCAGGGTCCCTATGTGCCCACTTGATGCTCTACACCTCTGTGGCTCAGCTGGTACCTAAGGTGCAAGACAAAGTCCCCCTTATTTTTCTCTTTGCTTTTCTCAAGCCAAAAGTATCCCTCCCCATAGCCACCACAGCTGGTAATGTGCTGAGTCTTACATGAAACCAGGAAGTCTCAGAGTCTCACCCAAACCCCATGGCATACTACCTGGGTATTGCTGCAGGTTATTCAGGGCCCAAGGGCTCTTTATTCATGAGGTAGTGGGTCCTGCCTGGATTGGGTCCTTCCTTTCAAGGCAGCAGGTTCCCTTCTGGACCGGGGTGTGTCTAGAAATATGATCTGGGAGCTAGGGCCCAGAAAGGGGTCTCATGATTCTGACTGGTGCCCTATTCTACTGTGGCTGATCCAGTGTCCAAAATGCAAAGCAAAGTTCCCTTTACTCTTCCCTCTTCTCTCCTCAAGCAAAAGGAAGGGGTCTCTTTTGGAGCCACAAGCTTTGCAGCCTGGGGTTGGGGGAGGGGTACTGCAAGCACTCTCTTAGCCACCTCAGCTGGTGTCTCAGTAGGTTATGTGTCCCCAAAGTCCACCAGCTCTGAGTTCAGTTCAGCACTTAGGACTTCCCTAGGAGTTGCAGGCCCTGTGGCCCAGATTGCCTTTTAAGTTTATTTAGCACCCAAGAGCACTTTAGCCAGTGGTGGTGAGGCTTGCCAGAACTCTAGTACCGACTGCTGGGATTGGCAATTTCCTTCTGGCTAGGGCTGGTTTAAACACTCCCTCTGTGCACCCAGATTCATAAAGCAAGTCCTTAGTGACCTACAAAGAGGCTTAGACTCCCACACAATAATAATGGGAGACTTGAACACCCCACTGTCAACATTAGACAGATCAACGAGACAGAAGGTTAACAAGGATACCCAGGAACTGAACTCAGCTCTGCACCAGGCCGACCTAATAGACATCTATAGAACTCTCCACCCCAAATCGCCAGAATATACATTTTTTTCAGCACCACACCACACCTACTCCAAAATTGACCACATAGTTGGAAGTAAAGCTCTCCTCAGCAAATGTAAAAGAACAGAAATTATAACAAACTGTCTCTCAGACCACAGTGCAATCAAACTAGAACTCAGGACTAAGAAACTCACTCAAAACTGCTCAACTACATGGAAACTGAACAACCTGCTCCTGAATGACTACTGGGTACATAACGAAATGAAGGCAGAAAAATAAAGATGTTCTTTGAAACCAGCGAGAACAAAGACACAACATACCAGAATCTCTGGGACACATTCAAAGCAGTGTGTAGAGGGAAATTTATAGCACTAAATGCCCACAAGAGAAAGCAGGAAAGATCCAAAATTGACACCCTAACATCACAATTAAAAGAACTAGAAAAGCAAGAGCAAACACATTCAAAAGCTAGCAGAAGGCAAGAAATAACTAAAATCAGAGCAGAACTGAAGGAAATAGAAACAAAAAAAGCCCTTCAAAAAATTAATGAATCCAGGAGTTGGTTTTTTGAAAAGATCAACAAAATCGATAGACCGCTAGCAAGGCTAATAAAGAAAAAAGAGAGAAGAATCAAATAGACTCAATAAAAATGATAAAGGGGATATCACCACCGATCCCACAGAAATACAAAGAGGTCATTCACGTCCCTTGTAAGTTGGATTCCTAGGTATTTTATTCTCTTTGAAGCAATTGTGAATGGGAGTTCACTCATGATTTGGCTCTCTGTTTGTCTGTTATTGGTGTATAAGAATGCTTGTGATTTCTGTACATTAATTTTGTATCCTGAGACTTTGCTGAAGTTGCTTATCAGCTTAAGGAGATTTTGGGCTGAGACAATGGGGTTTTCTAGATATACAACCATGTCATCTGCAAACAGGGACAATTTGATAATATGAGGCCAGCATCATCCTGATACCAAAGCCTGGCAGAGACACAACCAAAAAAAGAGAATTTTAGACCAATATCCTTGATGAACATTGATGCAAACATCCTCAATAAAATACTGGCAAACTGAATCCAGCAGCACATCAAAAAGCTTATCCACCACGATCAAGTGGGCCTCATCCCTGGGATGCAAGGCTGGTTCAACATATGCAAATCAATAAATGTAATCCAGCATATAAACAGAACCAAAGACAAAAACCACATGATTATCTCAATAGATGCAGAAAAGGCCTTTGACAAAATTCAACAACACTTCATGCTAAAAACTCTCAATAAATTAGCTATTGATGGGACGTATCTCAAAATACTAAGAGCTATCTATGACAAACCCACAGCCAATATCATACTGAATGGGCAAAAACTGGAAGCATTCCCTTTGAAAACTGGCACAAGACAGGGATGCCCTCTCTCACCACTCCTATTCAACATAGTGTTGGAAGTCCTGGCCAGGGCAATCAGGCAGGAGAAGGAAATAAAGGGTATTCAATTAGGAAAAGAGGAACTCAAATTGTCCCTGTTTGCAGATGACATGATTGTATATCTAGAAAACCCCATTGTCTCAGCCCAAAATCTCCTTAAGCTGGTAAGCAACTTCAGCAAAGTCTCAGGATACAAAATCAATGTACAAAAATCACAAGCATTCTTATACACCAATAACAGACAAACAGAGAGCCAAATCATGAGTGAACTCCCATTCACAATTGCTTCAAAGAGAATAAAATACCTAGCAATCCAACTTACAAGGGATGTGAAGGGCCTCTTCAAGGAGAAATACAAACCACTGCTCAATGAAATAAAAGAGGATACAAACAAATGGAAGAACATTCCATGCTCATGGGTAGGAAGAATCAATATCGTGAAAATGGCCATACTGCCCAAGGTAATTTACAGATTCAATGCCATCCCCATCAAGCTACCAATGACTTTCTTCACAGAATTGGAAAAAACTACTTTAAAGTTCCTATGGAACCAAAAAAGAGCCCACATTGCCAAGTCAATCCTAAGCCAAAAGAACAAAGCCGGAGGCATCATGCTACCTGACTTCAAACTATACTACAAGGCTACGGTAACCAAAACAGCATGGTACTGGTACCAAAACAGTGATATAGACCAATGGAACAGAACAGAGCCCTCGGAAATAATGCCACATATCTACAACTATCTGATCTTTGACAAACCTGACAAAAACAAGAAATGGGGAAAGGATTCCCTATTTAATAAATGGTGCTGGGAAAACTGGCTAGCCATATGTAGAAAGCTGAAACTGGATCCCTTCCTTACACCTTATACAAAAATCAATTCAAGATGGATTAAAGACTTAAACGTTAGACCTAAAACCATAAAAACCCTAGAAGAAAACCTAGGCATTACCATTCAGGACATAGGCATGGGCAAGGACTTCATGTCTAAAACACCAAAAGCAATGGCAACAAAAGACAAAATTGACAAATGGGATCCAATTAAACTAAAGAGCTTCTGCACAGCAAAAGAAATACCATCAGAGTGAACAGGCAACCTATAAAATGGGAGAAAATTTTCACAACCTACTCATCTGACAAAGGGCTAATATCCAGAATCTACAATGAACTCAAACAAATTTACAAGAAAAAAACAAACGACCCCATCAAAAAGTGGGCGAAGGATATGAACAGACAGTTCTCAAAAGAAGACATTTATGCAGCCAAAAAACACATGAAAAAATGCTCATTATCACTGGCCATCAGAGTAATGCAAATCAAAACCACAATGAGATATCATCTCACACCAGTTAGAATGGTGATCATTAAAAAGTCAGGAAACAACAGGTGCTGGAGAGGATGTGGAGAAATAGGAACACTTTTACACTGTTGGTGGGACTGTAAACTAGTTCAACCATTGTGGAAGTCAGTGTGGTGATTCCTCAAGGATCTAGAACTAGAAATACCATTTGACCCAGCCATCTCATTACTGGGTATATACCCAAAGGATTATAAATTATGCTGCTATAAAGACACATGCACACGTATGTTTATTGCGGCACTATTCACAATAGCAAAGACTTGGAACCAAGCCAAATGTCCAACAACGATAGACTGGATTAGGAAAATGTGGCACATATACACCATGGAATACTATGCAGCCATAAAAAATGAAGAGTTCATGTCCTTTGTAGGGACATGGATGAAACTGGAAACCATCATTCTCAGCAAACTATCACAAGGACAAAAAACCAAACACCGCATGTTCTCACTCATAGGTGGGAATTGAACAATGAGAACACATGGACACAGGAAGGGGAACATCACACTCCGGGGACTGTTGTGGGGTGCGGGGAAGGGGGAGGGATAGCTTTAGGAGATATACCTAATGCTAAATGACGAGTTAATGGGTGCAGCACACCAACATGGCACACGTATACATATGTAACAAACCTGCACATTGTGCACATGTAACCTAAAAGTTAAAGTATAATAATAATAAAATAAAATCAAAAAAATAAAAATAAAAAATAAATAAGTACTCCCTCTGTGGGTGGGTGTCAGCTGAGTTCAGCCTGGTTTTACTTTCTGCTGTGGCAGGGCAGCACTGAGTTCAATGCAAAGTCTCATAATCACTGTGCTGTCCCTCTCCCAAGTACACAGATTCTCTCTCTGTGCCATGGGGCTGCTGCTGGAGGATGGGGAAAGGGTGGCGTTGGAGATTCAAGACTGTCTTTCCTACCCTCTCTAGTGCTTTTTTCAGTGATATGACGTTAAAACCAAGTACTATGAGTGACCACCTGGTTTTTGGTTCTTATAAAGGAACTTTTTTTGTGTGTAGTTCTTAAATTTGGGGCTCCTGCAGAAGAGACAATCAGTAGAGCCTTCTAATTGGCCAGCTTGCTCTTGCCCCTGCTGTGTGATTTTTGAGCAAATCATTTCACCTCTCCTAGTCAGTTTGCTCATCCACAAAATATATATATTGAATACCCACATTTCAGAGTCATTGGGAGTATTAAATAAGATGACAAAAGTAAAACTCTTAGCAAGTCTCTGGCAATAACCTTAATAATATATAGATAATAATGATACACAACATTTATTGGGCATTTACCATCTGCTGAGATCTTTATATCCATATGTCATTTGAACACCAAAACAACACAGTGAGGTAGGTTTCTTTCTTATTCTTATTTTTATTTTTCAGATGCAGAAGCAGATTCAGAGTAAAAAACTGAAAAGCCCAATGTCAAACTTTACTATGGACTAGTTTGCTGTGAGTTGCTGTCTTCAAGCAAATAAAATGGATGTTACGAAGTATCCACATAATTGGAACTCTCATACATTGTTGGTGAAAATGTAAAACAGTACAAGCACTTTGAAAAATGATTTGTCAGTTTCTTGTAAAGTTAAGCATATACCTATACAACCCAGCTATTCTACTTCTATATATTTACCTAAGAGAAATGGAAACACATATCCACAAGATGACTTGTATGCAAATGTTCATGGCAGCTTTAATTATAAGAAGAGAAAACCTGGAAACAATGCAAATGTCCATCAATAGGTAAACAGATAAACTGTAGCATACCTACAAAATGGAGTACAACTTAGCAATGAAAAGGAATGAACTACTGATACATACAACAATGTGATGAAACTCAGATACATTATGGGGAGTGAAATAAGCTAGACAGAATAAGAATTATACAGTATAATTACATATATATAAAATTCTAGAAAGCAAACTAATATAGAAATGCAAATTGATCTATAGTGATAGAAAGCAGATCAATGAGTGCCTGGAACTGGGGATGGAAGGAGAAATGGACTGCAAAGGGGTACCGTAAGGAATCTTTGGGTGGGGAGGTGGAAATATTCTATATCTTCATTATTGCGGTGGCTTCCCATATATATATATGTGTGTGTGTGTGTGTGTGTGTGTGTGTGTGTGTGTGTGTGTGTGTGTGTGCATGTAATAAAATGTATGGAAATATACGCTTTAAATGAATGCAGTTTTTTGTATATAAATAATAAATAAAACTTTTTTATATAAAAAAAGGGTTTCTCGGGGCCCAGCATTGACTTTGAATCTCACTCCACGATAATGGTAAAATTGTGGCAGGGCCATTGGTGCTATAATGCAGGATGAAATTGACAGTTTTACTGGGGTTAAGGAGGAAAGTATTTTTGCGTTATGTAATTTATTTTCAGACACCTGCTGCAAAGAAGTCCCCAGCTTCTTATGGGAGAAAAAGGCTTATCTATTGAAGGAAACAAGAAAATAAAAGAGGTATTCTCTGTGATGTAACCCATGGTTCTGTCAAGTAGTGTCCAGTGTTTGCATTTTATACATTTTGCTGTGCATGTGGGAAGATTAGAACTGATTACAAGTGTCTTCCAGCCCATGTGTGTCCTTTGCCCTCTGATAATACTTATGCACATGCCACACATTTTTATTTTCCAAGGGTAAGCAAAATGCTAGAATTCTTTCTCATAGGAAATTCAAATTAGCTCATAAATATTGCATTATGGATTAGGTACTTTACCTCTAAATAACTTGTGCCTTTTTATGGCTTATTTTGAAGAAAGAGATGAACTGTGATGCTGAATTCCATACAAGATAGGCATAAGGTACTTGTGCTTCAGATGCTGTAAAAAGGCAGTTGGAATAATGCTTTCCTTCCCTTCAAATCCTGTCTAGAACAACTACCATATGGCAGTCATTGCAGTTTTGTCTTGAACATTTTGAGAAGAAGGGTTAGATCCACAAAAGATGAAAAAAATGACAAGTATAGAGGAGCTATTAAGTGCCAAGCATTACATCATTTGCTTTACAAAAGTTATTTTATTAAAGAGTCCCAATAACACTGTAAGGTCTTTAGTATTGGCCTCATTCTATGGATAAAGAAACTGTGGCTTGGAAGGGTTAAGGGACTTATCAAGAGCCCCTGAGGCATTTATTGATTTGGCAGAAGTTGAGAGGTTGAGAAACTGCACAGAGGATTTAGAAATCTAATGGATTGAGGGGACAAGAGCTAAAGTTCAGGGCCCCCTAAGGAGGAGGAGCCCCCTTATAAATACACATGTGTTTTAGTTGGAACCCTGTTTAAAAATAACCTTAACTTTTATTTTAGATTCGGGGGTACATGTACAGGTTTGTTATGTTGTATGATGCTGAGGTTTGGGTATGATTGATCCCATTACCCAGATAGTGAGCATAGTACCCAACAGTTAGTTTTTCAACACTTGCCCTCCTCCCTCCCTCCACCTTGTAATAGTTCGCAGTGTCTATTATTGCCATCTTTATGTCTATGAGTACCCAATGTTTAGCTCCCACTTATAAGTGAGAACGTGTGATATTGGGTTTTCTGTTCCTACATTAATTCACTTAGGAAAAGGGTCTCCAGCTGCATCCATGTTGCTGCAAAAGACATGATCTCATTCCTTTTTGTGGCTGCGTAGTATTACGTGGTGTATACATACCACATTTTATTTATCCAATCCACCACTGAAGGACACCTAAGTTGATTCCATGTCTTTGCTAATGTGAATAGTGCTACAATGAACATATGAGTGCTTGTGTCATTTAGAACGCTTGAAGGACTACACCTTAGGTAAAAGAGTGAACTCATAATAGACCAGCTCTCATAATGATTGAAGCTAAGTTTCAAATCAGCTCAATCCTAGACAAAAGTACAACAATGTTCCCCTACCCTAACTTCTTGCCAGAAGCAAAAGTAGATCACTCTGGAGGAAGATAACGCCATTCAAAGACTCAACTTCCAACAACTTCCAAACACAATGTCTAATATTCAGTTAATAAAACTGAAACCAAACATGAAAAAGGACAATAATTTATTTAAAAGGAAAAAGAAAAAAACAGGAGTTAGTAACAGATCTTCTGGAGATCCAGATATTGAGTTATTAATCATATACTTTAAAATAACTTTAATTAATATGTTTAATAAATTATATGACAAGAGGAGGAATCTCAGTAGAAATCTGGAAGCTGTGAGAATCAATTGGAAATTCTAAAATTGAAAAACACTGAAGTTAAGAGCTCAAGAAATGGGATTTATATTACTGCTTTAGAATTTGTTAAATTTTATATATTTCTTCCAGCTCTCAAATGCTAATGCATGCAGAGGTTAAAATAACTTTTATTGTTTTAGTTCATCCAAAATAATCCAATTTTATAGTGAAGCTTCTGAATGTTAATTTTTCATATTTTGAGCATTGGAACTAATTGCATTAATGCAACTATACTTGAATGGGAAAATAAAATGTGTAATCATAAACACATTTAAAAATAACTATTTTCTTTATCAAGGCTTCAGAGGTTTGTCTTCTCTGTCTGGTATTTTGCTGTTGGTTTCAGCACAGAAATGTGAATTACTTCACACAATGCCACTGCAAGGATAACTCCTCATGATTTCTGGATTCATTTCATTATCTTGCTAACAACACTAACTGATAAGGAAGGCAACTGTGAGCTCCAAACCTTGAAATCAGCTTTTAAAAAAAATTTAGCTTTACAAACCTTGGAGAAGTGCAGTTTTCCACGATTACCTTTTAAATCCATTCAATGATTCTATTAATCTCTTTCCTAATTTAAAAACTAGAACCCATGAATGATTTTTAAATCAAAGTTATGTCCAATTCCTAGAATCTTTATGTTCAGAGCTAGCTTTATCTACTAAACCAGTCTTGTAGACATAATCTCAAAATCATACCATCCTCTCCACTTTTCCCCCAATATAATGGCTCTAGTTTACAGATTCTAATGTCAACTAGCTGAATCAGGTGATGGCAATTGATGCACTCTATTAGAGGCTCATAATCTGATTGAAGATTATATTTGAGGAACATCATATTATTTAGTCTTCAAAACAAACCTGATGATTAAGAATTCTTGTCTCCATTTTAAGGATGGGTAAACAGGGGGGTTTCATATATTTTTATCCTTCCTATGGACACCTAGCTAATAAGAGACAACCCTGGAATTCAAATCTGGCTGGGAATAGAGAAATCCTACCCTAGTGCTGGAATACCAATTTCTACTCCACTGTCAGATAATCACTAGAAATACATTTTTGCTGCTAGGATCTATATTTTTGAGAGAACTTTAGATTCCCTTTTATAATGGTGAGTGATTAAATGGCAGTGAAGAATACAGTTCTGTAGACCATGTTTTCATTTTGAAAACCATTTTTGGTCTAGAAATCCAATTCGAATGATGTGTTGCTTTTCTAATGGTTTATGATAAATGTTGGGAAATCCTGTGGTCCAGAGCTGGGCAAGTTGCATTGCCTTGGGTGTATGCATCAGGGGCCTAGTGGTCTGACAGAGGACAAGTACCAGTTAGCTAAAGAATAAATCCAATCTGTGCCCTCAAGGAGACTGAAACCTAGTAGAGGGAATGTGATTTTCCAAATACATATACAAAACCACAGAAACACAGACATAAACATGTAACCTAGAATCATTTTAAAGACCAGTTTATATTTTTACCTTGGGGAATAATGGAGTTCTTGAGGCATAATATGGGGGTATAATATGCATGAAGTTTTCTAAGTCTTAAAGTCACAAGGGGATTTTGTTAGCCACCTACTCACACCCAGCATAATTAGATCAAGAAATGTCCCAGGAAGTAATAATAACGATGTTGTTGTTCCTACAGAGAAATTATTGGGATGTCTGAAGATCATACTCTACTCACAAGGCCAAGCCATTTGCTGCTTACGGTCAACTCAGCTTTCTTCCTGAACAGGACCATTGCTGAAAGCTTCCTCAACATTGAACTATGTGCTCTTTAATTTCCTCAAAAGAAGAGGCTGCAAAAATGCAAGCATGACTCAAACTTGGAGAGTCTTTAAAAAAGAACATGGCAATAAAAAAAATACTTTGGCAATATTTTTCAGGGTCAATGGCATGGAGTGCACCTTGATGTAAGATGTCCTATAAGAAACAGCAGTGGAGGAGATACGTGGGACTTGTTAAAAGTGTATAAGAGGACACCCTTACAGAATCAGTGTCCCAGTATATCTAGGAGGGGGATTGGATGTAATAAATACCTTTATTATTTTGGTCTCAGATTTTTCAGCAGCTGAGGCTAAGGGGAGAGGACATAAACAGACTTCTCAAGAAATGGATAGAATTGTTCAGAGAAAAAAAAACCTTCTGGACAAGGTGGGCCTTCAAATATAACATGGTGGATGCCAAAAAGAAAGATGCTTGCTTCATACACTGATATCCCATGCAAAAGTTCAGAGAAAGGGGAGAACTAGAGGGCAGGACCAGGAAGAAAGAAGACTTCATTGCAGCAAAGAGCAGCCAGCTGATGAGGCCATTCCATAGGGCAGGCTGGATACAACTATTTGGTGTTTGCACTCATTCAGAGAGCCTCAAAGAATTATTGGCAGTTTTAAGGCATAAATAATGATAGGTAAGAATATATTGGAGATATATGATAGACAAGGAGATCCTTCTCAGATAATGCTATATCTTGGCTATTAAATTCCAATTAGCCACAAGTTTGGAGCTAGAATCTTCAGGTTCAGAATTAGTTTTATCTATCAAGCTAGTCTTGCCAACATAACCTTATCATCCTTTCCTTTTCTCAAGTATAATATTTCTAGTACAGTTGCTAATGTAAGGAAAATATGTTTTAAATTTTAATTAAACAGGAAAAATTATAAAACATCTACTTTTGCCCATTACAAAGTAACTGGACCTTGACTTACTTTCATATCAACAACAAATAAACATTGGAAAAATAGATGCAGCAACTATTTTTAGGCAATGAACAACAGACAGTGCAGTATTGTGATCCTTGCAAAAAGAAAAATTCACAAAATGAACTCCACAGTTATCCACCTTTTTGCCTGTGAATACTATCTTGCCTCACACTGGAAGATGGAGCACGAGCAGAAGCAGAAATTGGAGTTCTGGGCTGCTGAAGATACTGGAATTTGTGAGATGATAGAACATAGAGCTGAGAAGAAGGGTGGCAGTAGAAGTTTGCATGGTCCTTGGCTAAGAGCTGGGCTCCACACAGGGAGGGCTTGACTTTGCTAGGCTTATCAGAAATTGTGGAGTTGCTTATAAAGGAAAAATACCAGAGGTCATGAACTGCTGGAAGATGTTGGTATTCTGGCCTAGCCAGAGAGAAGAGATCCCACTGAGCATCTCAGGCATTCAGATCAGACCTCATAATGCAAACACCTTAGAAATAAGGACCATGTCCTAGAATAAGGGACCGAAAGTTTAAAAGAGCCATCCTAACAGGATAAAACTAAAGCCAACAGGACCTAACATTTTCACCAATAATTAAAGCGTTTCCAGAACAAAATTCAATACATAATCTAGACTGTATACAATTTATTAGTTACTCTATTCAGCATATAAAAAGGCAGAAAAAAGGAAAAAACTATGTTCCATAATCAGGGAAAGTGGGAGTCAATAGAGACATACCATGAGAGGATACAGCTGCAGGAATTATCAGACAAGGAATTTAAAGCAGCTGTTATAAACATGTTCAACAAGTCACAGGAAAGATAGCCATAATGAGTAGACAGATGGGGAATATCAGCAGAGGAATGAACATTATAAAGAAGGAACATTATCAGCAGAGGAATGAACCAAACAGATATTTTATAATTCAAAAATATAAGATCAGACACGAAAAAAAAAAATCAATGAATGGGATTGACAGCAAAATAGAGAGTGCAGAAGAAAGGATTGTTGAAGCCAGATCAATAGAAATTCCCTGCTTGAAAGAAAGAGGAAAAAAACCTCCACTGAGCTTCAGTGACATGTGGAACAATATCAAGTAATTTAACATGCTTAGAATTGGAGACAGAAGAAATAATAGAGCAGAGAAAATAATTTCAAGAAATGATGGCTAAAATTTTCCCAAATTTGTTGAAAAAAATTACTTTTCTGATTTAAGGATCTCAGTGAAATCCAAACAGGATAAAAACAAAGATACCTATACCTGTGCACATAATAATCAAACTGAAACTGCTGACTTCTTATCAGAAACAATGGAGGCCATAATTCAATGCAATGGCATCTTTAAAGTGATGAAAGAAAAACATAGAACAAAACAGAATTCTATATCCAGGGAAAATATCCTTCAAAAAAGAGAATTAAAAACCAGACATTTTCAGCTAAGAGAAAGTTGGGAGAATTTGTCCCCAGCAGTTTTACACTAAAAGAAATGCTAAAGGGAGTTACTTAAGCTGGAGTAAAATGACACTGGATGGAAACTCAGGTTTACAAGATGACTTACCAAAAATAGTAAACAAGTGTTGGCAATTACACCTCAGTAAAGCTGAAGAAAAAAAGTTCATGTCTTTCTTACTCTGAATCTCTAAAAAAAAAAAAATAGACTATTGAAGGCAAAATAACAAACATGTATTGTGGTTTTTATTATATTTATATAAATGTAAAATACATAACATCACAAAGGATAGGGGAGATGAAATTTTGCATTATAAAGTTCTTATATTTTACATCAAGACTTAAACTATTAATTTGAGTATATTGTGATCAGTTAAGTGAAATCCAAACAAGATAAAAAGATACCTACACCTGTGCACATAATAATCAAAGGGTGATTTTCCTTCCAATGGGACTTTTGACAATTTCTGGAGATACGTATTTCGTTGTCAAAATTGGAGGGAAATACTACTGGCATATAGTAAGTAGAAGCCAGGGATGTTGTTAAATATTCTGCAATGCACAAGACAGCCCCCACAACAAATAATTATCCAGCCAGAAATGTCACTAGTGCTGAGAGTGAGAAAACCAGCTCTAAAACAAGCATTAAAAAAAAATGCAAAGAGGTATTTTACAGGAATTAAGATGGAATGACAAAACATATTTGATTAATCTAAAAGAAGTCAGAAACAAAGGAACAGAGAAACAAAAAACAGGAGAATTACAAAATAAGATGGTAGGCTTAAACCAAATCTTACCAATATTTACATTAAATGTAAAATAATTCAACACTCCAAGAAAAAGGTAGAGGATGACAGACTGTGTAAAAAAGTAAGACCCAACTATAGGCACTCTAAAGAGATGCAGTTTATATACAAACATAGGTTAAAAGTAAAAGGATGGGAAGAGATACATCATACATACACAAAGTAAACATCAAAAAGCTTATGTGGCTATATCAATACAAGAAGAGCAAACATCAAAACAAGCAGTGTTAGCAGAAATAAAGAGGGTCGCTTCAGACTGAAATCTCAGGACACACACTCTTAAGTAACAGAGCTTTAAAATGCTTGAAGTTAGAACTGCAGAATAAAGAGAAAAAGAGACAAATTCACAATTACATGTGGAGAATTTTATATTCCTTTTTCACAAATTAACAGAACAAGTAGACCCCCTAAATCAGTAGGAATACAGGAGCTTTGAACAGAACTGTCAATTAACTTGACGTAACTGATATATATAGAAGACTATACCCCCAAACTGCAGAATACATATTCTTTTCAAGTGTCTGAAATAGTCACCAAAATAGACCATATGCCAGGCCATAAAAGGAGTCTTTATTTGAGAAGACCAGAATCCTTCACTGCATGTTCTTTGATCAAAACAGAAATAAATTATACACCAATAATAGCTGAAAAAAATCCCCACACATTAGGAAATTAAACAACACACATCTACATATACTATGGATCAAAAAAGAAATCCAAAGGGAAATTAGCACATATTTAAAACTGAATAAAAATTAAAATACATTATACCAAATTATGTGAGACCCAATCAAAAGCTGTGTTTAGTGGAAAATGTACAGTTTTAAATATTTGTATTTGAAATGAGAAAGGTTTAAAAGCAAAGATCAAAATTTCCTCTTCAAGAAGCTAAAGTCAAGTCTAGGTTCAGTGACTCACACCTGTAATCCCAGCACTGTGGGAGGCCAAGGTGGGAGGATTGCTGGAGGCTGAAGTGGAAGGCTTGCTTGAGCCCAGGAGCTCAAGACCAGCCTGGCCAACACAGGGAGACTCCATCTCTACAAAAAAGAGTTAAGCAAGAAATTAAGGTCGTAATAAACAGAGGGAAGGAATAAAATGAGAAAGATAAGAAAAAAATCTATGAAATACAACACAGGCAAATAATAGAAAAATTAACAAAGGCAAAATTTGATTATTTCAGTAAATAACAAAATCATAACATTCTAGGAGGATGATCAAGAAAAAAGAGGAAAAACAAATTGTTAATATCACAAATAAAAAAGTACATCACTAAAAATAATAAGGACATTAAGGGGATACTAAGGTAATACAGGTGAGTACCCCTTATATGAAATGCTTGGGACCACAAGTATTTGGCATTTTGGAATTTTTCAGATTTTGGAATATTTGCATATACATAATGAGATATTTTAGGAGCAAGACACAAGTCTAAACATAAAATTCATTTATGTTTTATGCACACCTTATACACATACCTTGAAGGCAGTTTTATACAATATTTCTTTTTTTTGCACAAAACAATGTTTTATACATGAGGTTACATGTAAAATTTTCCACTCGTGGCATCATGATGGTGCTCAAAAAGATTCAAATTTTGGAGCATTTTGGATTTCAGATTTTTGGAGTAGGGATGTTTAACCTGTATTATATACAAATTTTTTTCATCTGAGTTTACATTTTTGATAAAATGAAAAATCCTATTAAAGTTTTTTTTGAAAAATTCAAATTACTAAATTGACAACAGAAGAAATAGAAAATCTGAATTGTACTATATCTAAAGCACAGGCAACTGAAGAAAAGTTGACAAATTGGATCACATTAAACTAAAAATCTTCTCCATAACAAAGTAAACAATCAACAAAGTGAAGAGACAACCTACAGAATGTGAGAAAACATTTGCAAAAAGCTGAATAAACTGACAAGGGATTAATAACCAGACTATATAGGAACTCAAGCAATAGCAAAAAAGCCAATTATAAATCATTCTGTTATAAGGACACATGCACATATACGTTTATTGCAGCACTATTCACAATAGCAAAGACGTGTAATCAACTTAATGCCCATCAGTAATAGACTGGATAAAGAAAATGTGGTGCATATACACCATGGAATACTATGCAGCCATAAAGAGAATGAGATGATGTCCTTTGCAGGGACATGAATGGAGCTGGAGGCCATTATCCTTAGCAGACTAACACAGGAACAGAAAACCAAATACTGCATGTTCTCACTTATAAGTGGGAGCTAAATGATGAGAACACATGAACACATAGAGGGGAACAAGAAACAATGGGGCCTATTGGAGAGTGGAGGATGGGAGGAAGGAAAGGATCAAGAAAAATAACTAGCCTGTCCTAGCCAAGGGAAGCCATGACAGATGGTACCTGGAAACTCGGGACACTCCCACCCTAATACTGTGCTTTTCCAACAGTCTTAGCAAATGGCACACCAGGAGATTATATCCTGCATCTGGCTCACTGGGTCCCATGCCCATGGAACCTTGCTCACTGCTAGCACAGCAGCCCGAGATCAAACTGTGAGGCAGCATTGAGGCTGGGGGACGGGCGTCTGCCATTGCTGAGGCTTGACTAGGTAAACAAAGCGGCTGGGAAGCTCGAACTGGGTGGAGCCCACCACAGCTCAAGGAGGCTGGCCTGCCTCTGTAGACTCCACCTCTGGGGGCAGGGCATAGCTGAACAAAAGGCAGCAGAAACTTCTGCAGACTTAAACGTCCCTGTCTGACAGCTTTGAAGAGAGCAGTAGTTCTCCCAGCATGGAGTTTGAGATCTGAGAATGGACAGACTGCCTCCTCAAGTGGCTCCCTGAACCCCGAGTAGCCTAACTGGGAGATACCTCCCAGTAGGGGCTGACTGATACCTCATACACCCGGGTGCTCCTCTGAGACCAAGCTTCCAGAGGAAGGATTGGGTGGCAATATTTGCTGTTCTGCAATATTTGCTGTTCTGCAGCCTCTGCTGGTGATACCCAGGGAAACAGGGTCTGGAGTGGACCTCCAGCAAACTCCAACAGACCTGCAGCTGAAGGTCCTGTTAGAAGGAAAACTAACAAACAGATAGGAATAGCATCAACACCAACAAAAAGACATCCACATCAAAACCCCATCTGTAGGTCACCATCATCAAAGACTAAAGGTAGATAAAACCACAAAGATGGGGAGAAACCAGAGCAGAAAAGCTGAAAATTCTAAAAATCAGACCGCCTCTTCTCCTCCAAAGGATCACAGCTCCTCGCCAGCAATGGAAAAAAGCTGGATGGAGAATGACTTTGACAAGTTGACGGAAGTAGGCTTCAGAAGATCGGTAATACCAAACTTCTCCGAGCTAAAGGACGATGTTCAAACCCATCACAAAGAAGCTAAAAACCTTGAAAAAAGATTAGACAAATGGCTAACTAGAATAAACAGCATAGAGAAGACTTTAAATGATCTGATGGAGCTGAAAGCCATGGCACAAGAACTACGTGATGCATGCACAAGCTTCGGTAGCCGAATTGATCAAGTGGAAGAAAGGGTATCAGTGATTGAAGATCAAATGAATGAAATGAAGGGAGAAGAGAAGTTGAGAGAAAAAAGAGTAAAAAGA
This sequence comes from Homo sapiens, assembly GCF_000001405.40. Classification (NCBI taxonomy): domain Eukaryota; kingdom Metazoa; phylum Chordata; class Mammalia; order Primates; family Hominidae; genus Homo; species Homo sapiens. The sequence goes on from NC_000023.11 coordinate 20,772,629, forward strand.
AACGAACAAAGCCTCCAAGAAATATGGGACTATGTGAAAGGACCAAATCTACGTTTGATTGGTGTACCTGAAAGTGACAGGGAGAATGGAACCAAGTTGGAAAACACGCTGCAGGATATTATCCAGGAGAACTTCCCCAACCTAGCAAGGCAGGCCAACATTCACATTCAGGAAATACAGAGAACGCCACAAAGATACTCCTCGAGAAGAGCAACCCCAAGACACATAATTGTCAGATTCACCAAGGTTGAAATGAAGGAAAAAATGTTAAGGGCAGCCAGAGAGAACGGTCGGGTTACCCACAAAGGGAAACCCATCAGACTAACAGCAGATCTCTCAGCAGAAACCCTACAAGCCAGAAGAGAGTGGGGGCCAATATTCAACATTCTTAAAGAAAAGAATTTTCAACCCAGAATTTGATATCCAGCCAAACTAAGCTTCATAAGTGAAGGAGAAATAAAATACTTTACAGACAAGCAAATGCTGAGAGATTTTGTCACCACCAGGCCTGCCTTACAAGAGCTCCTGAAGGAAGCACTAAACATGGAAAGGAACAACCGGTACCAGCCACTGCAAAAACATGCCAAATTGTAAAGACCTTCGATGCTAGGAAGAAACTGCATCAATTAACGAGCAAAATCACCAGCTAACATCATAATGACAGGATCAAATTCACACATAACAATATTAACCTTAAATGTAAATGGGCTAAATGCCCCAATTAAAAGACACAGACTGGCAAATTGGATAGAGTCAAGACCTATCAGTGTGCTGTATTCAGGAAACCCATCTCACTTGCAGAGACAGACATAGGCTCAAAATAAAGGGATGGAGGAAGATCTACCAAGCAAATGGAAAGCAAAAAAAAGCAGGGGTTGCAATCCTAGTCTCTGATAAAACAGACTTTAAACCAACAAAGATCAAAAGAGACAAAGAAGGCCATTACATAATGGTAAAGGGATCAATTCAACAAGAAGAGCTAACTATCCTAAATATATATGCACCCAATACAGGAGCACCCAGATTCATAAAGCAAGTCCTTAGAGACCTACAAAGAGACTTAGACCCCCACACAATAATAATGGGAGACTTTAACACCCCACTGTCAACATTAGACAGATGAATAAGACAGAAAGTTAACAAGGATATCCAGGAATTGAACTCAGCTCTGCACCAAGCAGACCTAATAGACATCTACAGAACTCTCCACCCCAAATCAACAGAATATACGTTCTTCTCAGCACCACATGGCACTTATTCCAAAATTGACCACATAGTGGAAATAAAGCTCTCCTCAGCAAATGTAAAAGAACAGAAATTATAACAAACTGTCTCTCAGACCACAGTACAATCAAATTAGAATTCAGAATTAACAAACTCACTCGAAACCGCACAACTACATGGAAACTGAACAATCTGCTCCTGAATGACTACTGGGTACATAACGAAATGAAGGCAGAAATGAAGATGTTCTTTGAAACCAATGAGAACAAAGACACAACATACCAGAATCTCTGGGACACATTTAAAGCAGTGTGTAGAGGGAAATTTATAGCACTAAATGCCCAAAAGAGAAAGCAGGAAAATCTAAAAATCGACACCTTAACATCACAGTTAAAAGAACTAGAGAAGCAAGAGCAATCACATTCAAAAGCTAGGAGAAAGCAAGAAACAACTAAGATCAGAGCAGAACTGAAGGAGATAGAGACAAGAAAAACCCTTCAAAAAAATCAATGAATCCAGGAGCTGGTTTTTTGAAAAGATCAACAAAATTGGTAGACTGCTAGCAAGACTAATAAACAAGAAAAGAGAGATGAATCAAATAGACATGATAAAAAATGATAAAGGGGATATCACCACTGATCCCACAGAAATACAAACTACCATCAGAGAATACTATAAACACCTCTATGCAAATAAACTAGAAAATCTAGAAGAAATGGATAAATTCCTGGACACATACACCCTCCCAAGACTAAACCAGGAAGAAGTTGAATTCCTGAATAGACCAATAACAGGCTCTGAAATTGAGGCAATAATTAATACCTTACCAACCAAAAAAAAGTCCAGGACCAGATGGATTCATAGCCAAATTCTACCAGAGGTACAAAGGGGAGCTGGTACCATTCCTTCTGACATTATTCCAATCCATAGAAAAAGACAGAATCCTCCCTAAGTCATTTTATGAGGTCAGCATCATCCTGCTACCAAAGCCTGGCAGAGACACAACAAAGAAAGAGAATTTTAGACCAATATCCCTGATGAACATCAATGCAAAAATCCTCAATAAAATACTGGTAAACCAAACCCAACAGCACATCAAAAAGCTTATCCACCACGATCAAGTTGGCTTCATCCCTGGGATGCAAGGGTGGTTCAACATACGCAAATCAATAAATGTAATCCAGCATATAAACAGAACCAAAGACAAAAACCACATGATTATCTCAATAGATGCAGAAAAGGCCTTTGACAAAATTCAACAGCCCTTCATGCTAAAAACTCTCAATAAATTAGCGATTGATGGCACGTATCTCAAAATAATAAGAGCTATCTATGACAAACCCACAGCCAATATCATACTGAATGGGCAAAAAACTAGAAGCATTCCCTTTGAAAACTGGCACAAGACAGGGATGCCCTCTCTCACCACTCCTATTCAACATAGTGTTGGAAGTTCTGGCCAGGGCAATCAGGCAGGAGAAGGAAATAAAGGGTATTCAATTAGGAAAAGAGGAAGTCAAATTGTCCCTGTTTGCAGATGACATGATCGTATATTTAGAAAACCCTACTGTCTCAGCCCAAAATCTCCTTAAGCTGATAAGCAACTTCAGCAAAGTCTCAGGATACAAAATCAATGTGCAGAAATCACAAGATTCCTATACACCAATAACAGACAAACAGAGAGCCAAATCATGAGTGAATTCCCATTCACAATAGCTTCAAAGAGAATAAAATACCTAGGAATACAACTTACAAGGGATGTGAAGGACCTCTTCAAGGAGAACTACAAATCACTGCTCAACGAAATAAAAGAGGACACAAGCAAATGGAAGAACTTTCCATGCTCATGGATAGGAAGAATCAATACTGTGAAAATGGCCATACTGCCCAAGGTAATTTACAGATTCAATGCCATCCCCATCAAGCTGCCAATGACTTTCTTCACAGAATTGGAGAAAACTACTTTAAAGTTCATATGGAACCAAAAAAGAGCCCGCATTGCCAAGACAACCCTAAGCCAAAAGAACAAAGCCGGAGGCATCACGCTACCTGACTTCAAACCATACTATAAGGCTCCAGTAACCAAAACAGCATGGTACTGGCACCAAAACAGAGATACAGACCAATGGAACAGAGCAGAGCCCTCAGAAATAATACCACACATCTACAACCAACTGATCTTTGACAAACCTGACAAAAACAAGCAATGGGGAAAGGATTCCCTATTTAGTAAATGGTGCTGGGAAAACTGGCTAGCCATATGTAGAAAGCTGAAACTGGATCCCTTCCTTACACCTTATACAAAAATTAATTCAAGATGGATTAAAGACTTAAATGTTAGACCTAAACCCATAAAAGCCCTAGAAGAAAACCTAGGCAATATCATTCAGGACATAGGCATGGGCAAGGACTTCATATCTAAAACACCAAAAGCAATGGCAACAAAAGCCAAAATTGACAAATGGGATCTAATTAAGCTAAAGAGCTTCTGCACAGCCAAAGAAACTACCATCAGAGTGAACAGGCAACCTACAGAATGGGAGAAAATGTTTGCAATCTACTCATCTGACAAAGGGCTAATATCCAGAATCTACAAAGAACTCAAAGAAACTTACAAGAAAAAAACAACCCCATCAAAAAGTAGGTGAAGGATATGAACAGACACTTCTCAAAAGAAAACATTTATGCAGCCAAAAAACACATGAAAAAATGCTCATCACCACTGGCCATCAGAGAAATGCAAATCAAAACCACAATGAGATACCATCTCACACCAGTTAGAATGGCAATCATTAAAAAGTCAGGAAACAACAGGTGCTGGAGAGGATGTGGAGAAATAGGAATACTCTTACAGTGTTGGTGGGACTGTAAACTAGTTCAACCATTGTGGAAGTCAGTGTGGCGATTCCTCAAGGATCCAGAACTAGAAATACCATTTGACCCAGCCATCCCATTACTGGGTATATACCCAAAGGATTATAAATCATGCTGCTATAAAGACACACGCACACATATGTTTAGTGCGGCACTATTCACAATAGCAAAGACTTGGAAGCAACCCAAATGTCCATCAGTGATAGACTGGATTAAGAAAATGTGGCACATATACACCATGGAATACTATGCAGCCATAAAAAAGGATGAGTTCATGTTCTTTGTAGGGACGTGGATAAAGCTGGAAATCATCATTCTCAGCAAACTATCGCGAGGACAAAAAAGCAAACACTGCATGTTCTCACTCATAGGTGGGAATTGAACAATGAGAACACTTGGACACAGGAGGGGGAACATCACACACTGGGGCTTGTCGTGGGGTGGGGGGAGGGGGGAGGGATAGCATTAGGAGATATGCCTAATGTAAATGACGAGTTAATGGGTGCAGCACACCAACATGGCACATGTATACATATGTAACAAACCTGCACATTGTGCACATGTACCCTAGAACTTAAAGTAGAATAATTAAAAAAAAAAAAAAAGAAAATGTGGCACATATACACCATGGAATACTATGCAGCCATAAAAAAAGAATGAGTTCATGTCCTTTGTAGGGACATGGATGAAGCTGGAGACCATCATTCTAAGCAAACTATCGTAAGGACAGAAAACCAAACACCGCATGTTCTCACTCATTGGTGTGAATTGAACAATGGGAACACTTGGACACAGGGTGGGGAACATCACACACCGGGGCCGGTCATGGGGTAGGGGAAGGGGGGCGGGATAGCATTAGGAGGAACACCTAATGTAAATGACGAGTTAATGGGTGCGGCACACCAACCTGGCACATGTATACATATGTAACAAACCTCCACGTTGTGCACATGTACCCTAGAATTTAAAGTATAATTAAAAAAAGAAAAATAACTAATGAGTAGTAGGCTTAATATCTGGGTGATGAAATAATCTGTACAACAATCCCCCAAGACACAGGTTTACCTATGTAACAAACCTGCACATGTACTCCTAAACTTAAAATAAATTAAAAAAAAAAAGCAAAAAATGGGCAAAAGATCTGAATAGACATTTCTCCCAACACACTAATGGCCAACGACTATATTAAAAAAATGTTCAACATCACTAATCATCAGGGAAATGCAAATCAAAACCACAATGAAACATCATCTCACCCCATTTAAAATGGCTATTTGAAAAAAGACACAAAATAACAAATGCTGGTGGGGATGCAGAGAAAGAGGAACACTCATACACTGTTGATGGGAATGCAAATTAGTACAAGCACTATGAAACACAGTATGTGGGTTTCAGAAGAAAGGCAACTTGAAATGTTCCCAATGCGTAGTATTGATAAATACTCGAGATGATGGATGTCCAAATACCCTGACTTGATCATTACACAGTTTATGCATAAAACAAAATGTCACATGTACCCCATAAATATGTACAAATATTATGTATCAATTAAAAAAACTAAAAATTGAACTACCACATGATCCATCAATTCCACTGCTGGGAATATATCCAAAAGAAAGGAAATCAGCTTATTGAGGAGATATCTGAACTCCTATTTTTAATGTGCACTATTCATGATGGCTAAGCAATGGAATCAATCGAAGTTCCCATCAGTGGATGAGAGGATAAAGAAAACGTGTTACGGGCCCGGCGCGGTGGCTTATACCTGTAATCCCAGCACTTTGGGAGGCCGAGGCGGGCGGATCACAAGGTCAGGAGATAGAGACCAACCTGTCTAACACGGTGAAACCGCGTCTCTACTAAAAATACAGAAAAAGTAGCCGGGCGTGGCGGCGGGCGCCTGTAGTCCCAGCTACTCAGGAGGCTGAGGCAGCAGAATGGCGTGAACCCGGGAGGCGGAGCTTGCAGTGAGCCGTGATTGCGCCATTGCACTCCAGCCTGGGCGACAGAGCAAAACTCCGTACCCGCCCCCCCAAAAAAAGAAAAAAGAAAATGTGGTATATATACACAATGGAATATTATTCCACCACAAAAATAGAATGAAATCCTGCCATTTGTAAAAACATGAATAGATCTGGAGGACATTATGTTAAGTGAAATAAACCAGGCACAGAAAGACAAGTATCACATGTTCTCACTCACATGTGGGAGCTAAAAAAGTGGATCTCATGGAAGCAGTGAATAGAATGGTCGTCACCAGAGGTGAAGGATAAAGAGGGTTTAGTTGATGGGTACAAACATACAGTTAGAAAGGAAAAGTATGATCAAGTGTTTGGTAGCACAATAGGGTGACTATAGTTAAAATAATGTATTGTATATTTCAAAATAACTAGAAGACTAGATTTAGAATATTCCCAACACAAGGAAATGATAAATGTTTGAGGTAAATGTTTGATGGATATCCCTATTACCAAGATTTGATCATTACACATTACATGTTTGTTTTTTAAATGGTTTAAAATTATTTTAAAAATCTGTGGGCACAGAGTAGGTGTATAGCATGTACCCCATAAATATGTACCATAAATATGTATCCATGAATTTTTTAATTTAAAAATGAAATTCCTGATAAAAATTATTCACACAAAAACTTCAGACCCCTATGGCTTACCTGTGGATTCCATCAAACATTTAAGGAGGAAATAATGCCAATTGTTTGTAAACTGTTTCAGAAAGTAGAAGTGGAAAGAATACCTCTCAACTTAAAACCAAGGCCAGCAAAAAAACTAATAACAAAATTTCACAATATGTTTGAAGAAAAGAAACTTACAGACTAATATATTTTATGAACCTAGATGCAAAAGTCCTTAACTAAACAAAAGTGAATTGAACCTAACAATATATAGCAATATATAAAAAGGACAGTATGTCATGATTAAGTGGGATTTATCTCAAGAATATAAGATTGGTTTAATTTATAAAAATCAACGTAATTAACCATTAACAGAATAAGACAAAAAAGATAATATTATCTCAATATTATTGATGAAAAACAGTATTTGACCAAAATTGTACATCTATTTATCAAAAACCTAGGACTAAAGGGACCTTTGTCAATCTGATTAAGGATATCTGCAAAAAAAACTACAGCTAACATCCTAGCTAATGGTAAAATATTGAGCATGTTCCCTTAAGTTTGGGAGCAAACTAAAGATATTATCTGTCACCATTTCTACTAACCAATGTATTCGATGGAGGTCCTGCCCAGTGTGATAAGGCAAGAAAAAAAAACAGCATACAAATTGGAAGGGAGAAGTAAAACTATTGTATTTGTAGACAATATGATTTTTACATTCAAAATCTTGTCATCTAAAAACAACTGCTAGGACTAATTAGTGAATATATCAAAGGCACAGGATACAGGGTCAATATTAAAATCCAATTTTATTTCTAGATACTTGCAGCAAGTCATTGAATAATAAAATTTAGGGATTCCAATTGTAATAGTGTCAAAAAACATAAATACTTATTAGTACATTTCACAAATACTAGCTAAACCACTACACTGAAAACAAAATATTGCTGGAAAAAATTATAAAAGGCCTAAATAAATGGAACAATATACCGTGTTAAATGGATTGTAAAACTTGAAATTGTTAAGATGTCATTTTTGTCCAATTTGATCTATAAATCTGATACTACTCCAATCTGAATACTAGCAGGCTTTTAAAAATAGAATTTGAAAAGCTGATTCTAAAATTTATATGGAAATGCAGAGAACTATGAATAGTCAAACAATCCTGAAAAAGACACAAAGGCTGGGCCCTTGCACCTCCTAACTTCAAGGCTTACTATAAAGCAATATTAGTCAAAGTGGTGTCATATTGGCAAAAAGGTAGACAACGAATGGAAGAAAATAAAGAATGCAGAAATAGAACTACACTTATAAGTCCATTGATTTTTAATATATACACTAAAGCAACTCAATGGGAAAACTAACCTCAGTGTATGATTCTTGACAAACTGGATATCCGTACAGAAAATAATGAACATTGGCCCCATACACAAACACCAACTCAAGTTGCACTATAGACATGAATGCAAAAGGTAAAATTATAAAGCTTCCAGAAGAAAGTTACTAGAGAATATTTTTGCTATCTGGGGGAATGAAAAGATTTCTTAGGGCATAGAAATCAATAAATGTAAAAGAAAACAATTGATAATTTAGATTTCATCAAAATTTAAAATTTCTGCTTATTAGACAGTTAAGAAAATGTGAAGGCAAGCCATAGTCTGGTAGAAAATTTTCACAATACAAACTGGGCACGGTGGCTCATGCCTGTAATCCCAGCACTTTGAGAGGCCGAGGCAGGCGGATCACCTGAGATCGGGAGTTCGAGTCCAGCCTGACCAACAGAGAGAAACCGTGTCTCTACTAAAAGTACAAAATTAGCTGGGCGTTGTGGTACATGCCTGTAATCCCAGCTACTTGGGAGGCTGAGGCAGGAGAATTGCTTGAACCCAGGAGGTAGAGATTGCAGTGAGCCCAGATTGTGCAATTGCACACCTGCCTGGGCAACAAGAGCGAAACTCTGTCTCAAAAAAAAAAAAAAAAGAAAGAAAAGAAAAGAAAAGAAAAGTTTCACAATACAGAGATCTGACAAAAGACTTGTAGTAAAGATATTTAAAGAATGCTTTTAATGCATATATAAAGCATATATAAAGGCAGTCAGTCCAATATAAATGGTGAAAATACCAGAACAGACACTTAAAAATGGAAGATACACAAATGCCCAATAACACATAGAAAAGTGTTCAAATTTATTAGTTATCAAGGAAATGGAAGTTAAAACCACACTGAGCTTTTAAAACCATTATTCAACCACAAGAATGGTTAAGTTAAAATGACTGACAGCGCCAAATTTTGTTAAGGATATGGGGCAACTCATATATTACTGGTGGGAATGAAAAATAATAAAGTCACCTTGGAAAACTGCTTAACAATCTTTTATACAGCTAATTATACATTTACTATGTGACTCAGCAATCCTACTCCTATATATTTATTTGAGAGAAATGAAAGCATTGCTCCAAAAAACCACTTGTTCAAGAAACTTCATAGCTACTTTATTCATCATAGCCTCAAACTGGAAACAACTCAAATTGGTAGTATCATCATACAGTGAAATATTCCTCAGCAACAAACAAATAGTGAGCTAGGGATACATGAAGCAACATGAATGATCTCAAAATCATTATGTTGAGTGAAAAAGGAGAGTGCATACTTTATGTCAAGAACAGACAAACATAATCAATAATAAAAATTAGAACAGTGATTGTCTATGAGAATGTGGGAATTGATTCAAGAGGGCATGAGGAAATTTTCTAAAGTGATGGAAATGTTCTGTATTTTGACTGAGATATTGGTTGCATGAGTGTACACATTTGTCAAAACTAATAAAATTGTTCCTTAATACAATTAATATTTCACTGTATGTAAATTTTACCCCAATTAAGAAAATCTTTAGGGAAAGTTTATTTTTTGGCCATTGGTTCATTAGTGATGAACCCTGCAAGCCAGGTTAATGAGTTTGGACTTTATCCTGTATGTGACAGGTCTTCACTAGAGATTTTTAATCAGGCACTGAATACATTTATTTTTTAAGGAACACATTTCTGAGAAAAAGTGTAAAAGACAGATTGGAGAGGGGAGTATCTGGAGGCTATTGCAAGTCCAGGCAAGAAGTGGTGAAGCATGAAACTAGGGCAGTGGAAGTGGGTGTGAGGGAGTTGACAGATGGGAAAAACATCACAGAGTCAATATCAATGGAAATACATAGTGAAGTTGGTGAGAGATACAGAGGAGTTGAGGATGGCTTGCCATTTGCCAAAGCAAATATCATAGTTGAGTTTTTATTAGGGAAGAGGCATGAAGGGCAGGAAATACGTTGTCCTAGATGAGGTCAAATTGCCTGCAGGACACCCATGTGGAGTTTTCCAACCAGCACTGGCAAGTATGGATATGGAACGTAAGAGAGTGACCATGACTACAATCAAGGGTAGAGATAAAAGTTAGGGGGCTGGAGAAAATAAGCAGAGTGGGAGAGGAGAAGAGGGTTAAAGGCAGTATTACATAAGGGATCTCAGACTTGGTAGCTTGTACTAAGCTTGCCAGTTCAGAGAGAATTGTGCAAAGCTTCTAAACAGTAAAAATATGACCTTCTCACATTCACAAAACCCTAAATGCCCTCACGTTTAAATCCTACAGACTTCTGTCATTTTACCTCCTTCCTACCACTGATAACACCTAAGAAGAAGGACAAAGGAAGGTAGGTTTGATGATAACTAATTGGTGTCAATACTCAACACCCTGTCAGGAGCCACTGTTGGCTTGAAGGAATGTAACAGAGGTCATAATACAGGGCAACACAAGTGGCACATTTAACTCACTTTGGGAACTTGGAGCTGAGAGTTGCAGAATGTTAAGTGGCAGGCAGCATTTTGTGACTTTTCTATTTTAGTGACATCTTATTAGTCATTTAAATATCGATGAAAACCCAGGTAAAAACCTTTTTGCTTTTCTTTCTGCTGATGGTTGTGGCAGCAGCTGGTAGTGGTGGTGGTGAGTCCTTCAAGTGGCATTTATAGTGACAATGGTTGAATGGGTCCCTTAGTTCCATGAGTCCTTTTGGTAGTCCCCTTCCCCACAGCTTCAGATTGAAGAAGCAGGCAACAGAACCTACAGAACAGCTAATTTTAAGGTAAAACCAGGGAACTGGGCTCAGTGAAGTTTAGAGAAAAAGAGATGGGAAAAATGAGGAAATAAGAGCAGACAAATGCTAGGAAAACGCATCAACGCAGAGTGTGGTCAACAATATTGAATACTGCCAAGAGGTCAGTAGGATAAATACTTGGCATTGACAATTCCATTTGGAAGTTAGGGTGCTGTAGAAGAGAATTAAGGACAATTTCCTTATGAAAGCCAGATTGCAAGGAACTGACGAGTGGAGAATAAAGTGTAGGCATCAAGCGCACCTCTTATTTTGAAAAGGTCACAGGAAAGAAGAATGTGTGTTGGGGGGGCGGGGAGGGGGTGAGTACAGTGTCTTGCAGAAGAACCATCCCTGGGAAGAAATTATTTAGGAAATTAAAACTGCAGTATGCTTAATGGATAAGGTGAAAGATCAAGTGGAAAATCAGACTGAAACTGAAGAAAGGAGAAAGAAATACAAATGTAGGGAGCAGAAGAAAAAATATGAAAGCCAACACATGGCCTGTCCCTCAAATTCCAGATACACCATGGATCAGGACAGGAGGAAGCTCTCTTCATTGACAAGGTTCTTAACTTCTCTACCTTCCTTCTTTCACTCTAGGTTACATTGACAACTATCTGCTATTCAATTACTCCTGAGTGGTCCAGGCAACCCTCAAACTCAACATACTTGTAAATCAACAATCATTATTTCCAAAACTTATTCTCTCTCCTGCTTTTCATATTTCAACTAATCACACCCTCCTCCTTGCATTGATAAATAAAGTCCTACATCTGTATGTGGCACACCAGAAGTATTCAAACTTCGTAAGACTCGAGTTAGATAATAAACATTCTATAGCTCTAGGGACCAGGTTCTCTGATTCAACCACCCGGCCTCTAACTACTCTCAAAGAGCCTGCGGCACTATTCACAATAGCAAAGACTTGGAACCAACCCAAATGTCCAACAATGATAGACTGGATTAAGAAAATGTGGCACATATACACCATGGGATACTATGCAGCCATAAAAAATGATGAGTTCATGTCCTTTGTAGGGACATGGATGAAATTGGAAATCATCATTCTCAGTAAACTATCACAAGAACAAAAAACCAAACACCGCATATTCTCACTCATAGGTGGGAATTGAACAATGAGATCACATGGACACAGGAAGGGGAACATCACACTCTGGGGACTGTTGTGGGGTGGGGGGAGGGGGGAGGGGGGAGGGATAGCATTGAGAAATATACCTAATGCTAGATGACGAGTTAGTGGGTGCAGCGCACCAGCATGGCACATGTATACATATGTAACTAACCTGCACATTGTGCACATATACCCTAAAACTTAAAGTATAATAATAAAAGAAAAAAAAAGAGCCTGTTTTCAATAGCCTGGGGCCTATATCCTCGCCCATGGAGCTTCACAACCAATGCAGACCTCAACTTACTCCTACAGAAGCTGGAAACTTCCATTTTGACTTGATCTGTCTTGAAAGTGCAATCCATCTGGGTCTTGGCTGATGCCTGAAGGCCCGCTTCATTTACCAGTGGAATGATTAACTTGGTAGAACTATAGACTGCTAAATCCACATACTTTTTTTTTTTTAATTGACACAGAGTCAGTCTCACTCTGTTGCCCAGGCCAGAGTACAGTGGCATGATCTCAGCTCACTGCAACCTCTGCCTCCTGGGTTCAAACAATTCTCACGCCTCAGCCTCCCGAGTAGCTGGGATTACAGGCGCCTGCCACCATGCCCAGATAATGCTTGTATTTTTATAGAGACGGGTTTCACCATGTTGGCCAGGCTGGTCTCCAACTCCTAACCTCAGGTGATCCACCCGCCTTGGCCTCCCAAAGTGCTGGGACTATAGGGGTGAGCCACTGTGCCCGGCCTAAATCCAAATACCTTTTTTTTTTTTTAACTTTTATTTTAGGTTCTGGGGTATATGTGCAGGTTTGCTATATAGGTAAGTTATGTGTCATGGGGGTTTGGTGTACAGATTATCTCATCACCCAGGTAATAAGCATAGTACCCAATAGGTAGTTTTTCAATTTTCTCCCATCTTCCAACCTCCACCCTTAAGTAGGCCCCAGTGTTTGTTGTTCCCTTCTTTGCATCCATGTATTCTCAATGTTTAGCTCTCACTTATAAGTGAGAATATGTGGTATTTGGTTTTCTGTTCCTATGTTAGTTCGCTTAGAATGATGGCCTCCAGCTCCATCCATATTGCTGCAAAGGACATGATCTCATTCTTTTTTTATGACTGTGTAGTATTCCATGGTGTATACATGCCACATTTTCTTTATCCAGTCTACCACTGATGGGCATTTAAGTTGATTCCATGTCTTTGCTATTGTGAATAGTGCTACAAGGAACATACGTATGCAGGTGTCTTTATGGTAGAATTATTTCTAATACTTTAGGTCTATACCCAGTAATGGGATTGCTGGGTCAAATGGTAATACTGTTTTAGGTTCTTTGAGAAATTGCCAAAGTGCTTTCCACAATGACTGAACTAATTTGCATTCAGCATTACCTTTTTTCCGCAACCTCTCCATCATCTGTTATTTTTTTATTTTTATTTTTTATTATACTTTAAGTTCTGGAATACATGTGAACATGCAGATTTTTTACATAGGTGTATATGTGCCATGGTGGTTTGCTGCACCCATCAGCCCATCATCTACATTAGGTATTTCTCCTAATGCTATCCCTCCCCTAGCCCCCCAACCCTGACAGGCCCTGGTGTGTGATGTTCCCCTCCCTGTGTCCATGTGTTCTCATTGTTCAGCTCCCACTTATGAGTGAGAACATGTGGTGTTTGGTTTTGTATTCCTATGTTAGTTTGCTGAGAATGATGGTTTCCACCTTCATCCATATCCCTGCAAAGGATATGAACTCATCCTTTTCTATGGCTGCATAGTATTCTGTGGTGTATATGTGCCACATTTGCTTTATCCAGTCTATCATTGATGGGCTTTATCCAGTCTATCATTGATGGGTTGGTTCCAAGTCTTTGCTATATTTATTGAACAGTGCTTCAACAAATATATGGGTGCATGTGTCTTTATAATAGAATTATTTATAATCCTTTGGGTATATAGCCAGTAATGGGATTGCTGGGTCAAATGGTATTTCTGGTTCTAGATCCGTGAGGAATCGCCATATTGTCTTCCACAATGGTTGAACTAATTTACACTCCCACCAACAGTGTAAAAGCGTTCCTATTTCTCCAAAAACTTCCTATTAAGACACATGTACTCTAAAACTCTACTAGAAAAAAACACAAAAACATCTTCCAAAATGTTCACTGCTAGTTTCTTTAGATATGCACAAGTTACAAAGTATAAAAGACAATATATTTATGCTCCCGGATGAAGAATTTAACAATATTAAACATAAATCTGAATAACTCAAAGTACTGAGTATAATTTTACTAAGCAACAAATCTTGAAGTATAAATTCATGCTCATTAAAGGACTAGAGAGTTTTAATTTTTCATACAAAGTTAAGGAAGACACTATTATACATTAATTTCTAGCTACAATGCTTAAAGTGCCCATCAAATTATTTTTCTTTTTAAGTAGTTTTTAAAAAATATTTTTCAGTTACATTATTCAACATATACATTTCCTTGATGTGCTTCCCTTTAATATAGATTTATTGTGCCTAGACGCAAACGTTAACCTGCCTTATTTTAAATATATATTTTTTAAATTATGTCTCAGAGTACATCTGTTCTCCATAATTCAACGGTTTTAACATTTTAGCTTTATTCTTCCCAAATAGGCAAAATTCCTTAAAACTGGGATCATTTTGATCTATTTTGGTTTTAAAAATATATTCTTACGGCCCTTGGTCACCCCTCAATATATGAAGCCATGAGTCTTTTGACACACTCACATCTCCAAAATATTCTTTGCCCTCTAACTCCCATTCCAAACTCCTAGAAAAACAAACTTTCCCATGAACCTTCAAGAACTCTCTTTTATGGGTACAACTTTCCCACATTCAAATCCTCTTCTTGGAGATTTCCTCCATCTTCTTGTTGATACTGACAGCCAGGGCTTTCCCCAAAGACTCAGCTTCACCTAAAATCCTCTCAAGTGGGAGCAACTCTTTTTTCCACACCTCTTCAGTTCCCATGCTGCTTTTAAGATATTGTTCTTCCATATTTTTGGAGAAGCACTTCCCATTGATGTTCATGCCATTGGCTTATTATGGAAGAATGAAATTCCCCTCTGTTTTTAGTTATTCTGTATGGTCACTTATTTTATGTGGAAAATGACTTTTCAGTGAGAACCCTTTAGACCTGTTCCTAGTTGTAAGAGGATCTACATCATCTTTTATAGTGGTTAAGCAATTAATACTAGATCAGTACAGTTATAATGAGAGTTAATTATTCCAAGGACGATGAATAAATTAAACCCCCAGTGGTTAATCAATGTTAAATACGGAATCCAGAATACACAATAATTCACCATGAACCATTCACAATTTTAAGTGAAAAAAATTGGCTTTCTACCCAAACATCTTAACAAATGTAGTTTCTGAAACCAACAATGATATTCTCAAGGTTATGAGTCAATAGTTCTTAGAACTATTTTTAAAAATCTCTCAATGTTATACAGAGCCTTTCTGCCAGTTTTAGTAATTATAACTAGACAGAAATTTGACTTCATGATGAGAATATATTGCATAAATATACATTTAACTCAAATTTTATGCTAGTTGGTTTATAGTTATTCCCTAACCTTGATTCTTCTCTGTCTAAATAAAAGCTAATGGCTAACCTAGTGCATTGTCTGTACAAACTACTTGTGTTAACGGCTTCTTTAACGTTTCCCATTAAGAGCTGCTAAGGACTTAGAGCCATGAATAATTTTAATACAGGCTGAACAAAGTTAATGTGCATATATATAAATTCTGATATATATATATATATTATTAAACATATAATATATATTTATATATATTCATTTTAATTGCCACAGAATAAACCATTCTTTCCCCTTCCTCATTGTTGTCATCTACCAAATCCCCTCCCTTCCCTGCAATCCATTGAAGATATTAATGTAAGCGTTACTGACTTCCTCTGTACCCAAACACCTGCCATTATCCTGGACAGTATGTAAGCCACAAAGATGCAGTGTTATGCAATGAGCTGTGTCCACTCAAAGTTAACATGTTTGAAGTCCTAACCCCCAGTACCTGAAAATGTGACTGTATTTGGAGATAGGGTCTTTAACGCAGTAATTAAGGTTAAATGAGGCAATTAGGGTGGGCCTTAATCCAATATAACTGGTAACCTTATAAGAAGAGGATATTAGGACACAGACACATACAGAGGGAATTCCATATGAAGACACAGGAAGAAGACAGTCATGTAAAAGCTAAGGGGAGAACCCTCAGAAGTAACCAGCCCTGCTGACACTTTGAATTCAGACTTCTAGTCTGAATTGAGAAAATAAATTTCTGTTGTTTAAGCTACCCAGTCTGTGATATTTTGTTTTGACAGCCTTAGCAAACTAATACATGCAG
Organism: Homo sapiens; assembly: GCF_000001405.40. NCBI lineage: Eukaryota > Metazoa > Chordata > Mammalia > Primates > Hominidae > Homo > Homo sapiens. The sequence goes on from NC_000023.11 coordinate 20,789,031, forward strand.
TATCTAGTATGTGCCAGACATGTTTTAAGTGATTTACTTCTATTAACTCATTTAATGTTTACGAGACCTATATGAAGTGGGCAGATGAGGAAAATGAGGCACAGAGAAATGAAATAGCTTCCTAAACTAACGTAGCTAGTGAATGGCAGAGTTTAGAAGCCAGGTTGTCTGATTTCAGTAAAGAAGCTATTGATCATGGTGCTTGAAGCCTGCATGCACTGGATATGCTGTTAGTTTTTATTTAGCTGGAAAGGCATAAATGTTAGAGGCTATTTACATAAGTTATCCGCTGCACTTTGCTCTGTTGGGTGACTTCAGTATCTATGTGGAGTTTTAGCCCCTCAGTTGCATAACCTCAGGTTCACCTGTGACTACAGTCCTATTACTCTTCTTCCATTTAGGGCCAAGGGGCGTTAACAGTTATTCTTACTAGAATGTGTCCATTTACTTCAGTGTTACTCTTTAACCCATTGCAACATGGTTGCTTTGCCCACCATGCCCCTGAAACAGCCATTACTAAGGTTACTTGCAACTTCCTTTCTGCTGAATACAATAAAACACTTTATATTTTATTTTGCATTTTTGAACAGGTAGTACATACACATATAAAACAATACTTTAAACATATAAGAGTAGAAGTGAAAAGAAAGTTTCTCCCTCCCGTTAGTGTTTTCCAGCTTAGTTCCCATCTCAAGAAGCAATGGCTATCACCAGTTTTTTGTGTCTCTTTCTAGACCTATTTTATGCAAAGATGAATATAAGTGGTTTTTAATTTTTACAAAATCATAAGTTGAGCATACTAAAACACTATTCCATTCTTTATTGCTTTCACATAATGACAGAGGTCTTTCCATATCAGTACATATAGAGCTCACTCATTCCTTTGAACAACTGCATAGAATTGTATTAATTTTATTAAATAGAAGTATTATGATTTATTTAACTCATCTTCTATAACACTTAGATTGTTTTAATATTTACAATCAATATTGTAATATATTTCCTCAAACACATGTGTCAAGAATAGGTTGGGTAATACTTAGAGGTGGAATTGCTAGGTCAAAGCAATTTTTGTTAATGTTGCTACATTAGACTCCATAGCAATTTTACCAATTTACACTCCCACAAGAAATATTTCAGAGAATGTTTCCCAGTGCCCTCTCCAACATAGTGTATTGATAGTGTCTTCTTCAAGTTTTAACTTGCATTTAAAACATTTTAAGTGAAGTTGAGCAACTGTTTGTATATTTGAGACATATAAGTTTCCTTTCAACTGGCAGTTCCTAGCAATAAACACTGAGCATGATCTTACATGATTCCTGTTCAGAGTTGAATGACAATGATCACTGTGTCTTTTTTTCCCCTGGATGTGCCCTCTTTTATTGGCTTTCATAACACTGCTGTTGCATTTTTTCTTCTTCCTTACTGACTACTTGTTTTCAGTGTCCCCTGTGGGGCTCTCTTCCTTTGCATATCTTTTAAATGCTGTTTTTTCTGGGCCCTGTCCTATACAGAGCAGGGACTAGAGTGAGGCGAGCAAGACTCCTAGGGCACCAAGTAAGAAGGTTCTCACTCTCAGGGTCTTCAAATGCAAGTCCAGCACTTGTACAACCCAGAGAGTGCATGCAGGGAAGTATAGGTAAGCATAATAGTAAGTATCCCCTGGCAGTTGCCTGCAATTTTCCCACTTCATTTGCTGTTTCTGGAATATTTCTTTAAAACTGTTTTTTTTTTTTTTTTTTTTTAGCTTTAAGCGATAAGCACTTCTGATATTAAAGAGAAAATGAGAGATTTGGATTCCTAGTAACTGTGTGTTATGTAACTCTAGGTGAGTCATTGTTCTGTAATAAAAGAGGATAGTCTCGAAGCTTATTACAGGCTGTCGAGGGTGGCAGTAGATGAAAATGATAACACAATTCATTTTCCCTTTTCCATTTGTGAGAAAAGGAACATATTATGATACTATATGGCACATAAATTTGAAATAATTCAATTCTTGAGCATGGGTTTGGTAAAGACCTCAGAGTGTACATTTACTAATTATATTATGGCATGTAGTTTCATAATGTTATAGATTAATGGGGTGTTTCAAATAATAGTTTTCTTACATTGTTTCTGAATGCTACAGGTTCTTTTAAATACAAATAATTAGAATGATTCTGGAATTTGTTTTTATGTTACAGGTTTGGACTCTATAGGTTAATATTTATACTGCTGTTATATTTTCTTAGACACCAAAATGACCAAAATTTGGAGAATTAGACATGAGAAGTGATACTCAGTATGATGGTTAATTTTGTGTCAACTCAACTGCTTCATATATGTTCAGAGTTGAATAAACACTATTTCTGGGTGTATCTGGGAGGGTGTTTCTGGACAAGATTAGCATTTGAATTGGTGGAGTGAGTAAAGCAGATGGCCCTCCCCAATGTGGATGAGAATCATCCAGTTCACTGAGGGTCCAAATAGAACAAAAAAACGGAGGAATGTTGAATTAACTCTGCTGGTTGCATGAGCTGGACCATCAGTCATCTCCATCCCTGAGTATTCCACGTTCTCAGGCCTTCAGACTCATACTGGAATCTAAACCATTGGCACTCTGGCTCTCAGGCTTTTGAGCTATACCACTGTCTTTTTTGGATCTGCAGCTTGCAAATGGCAGATCAGGGGACCTCTCAGCCCCCATGATTGCATGTGAGCAAATATCTTATAATAAGTATCTTCCTAGATAGGTAGATAATTGCAATATGTTCATACTTATATAGATCTATCTATCTATATCTATCACATATATATCCTATTGGTTCTGTTTCTCTGGAGAACTCTGCTAGGATAGCAAAATTCAAAGGGTCAGGTTTTCATGACCTTTTAAACTAGATTGTCAGATTAGATCATATATTACATATACTAGTGCTTTTTAAAAAATATAGTTTCTGAGGCCGGGCACAGTGGCTCACACCTGTAATCCCAGCACTTTGGGAGGCCGAGGCAGGTGGATCATGAGGTCAGGAGATCGAGACCATCCTGGCGAACACGGTGAAACCCCGTCTCTACTAAAACTACAAAAAAATTCCCCGGGCCTAGTGGCGGGTGCCTGTGGTCTCAGCTATTTGGGAGGCTGAGGCAGGAGAATGGCATGAACCCGGGGGGTGGAGCTTGCAGTGAGTGGAGATCACGCCACTGCACTCCAGCCTGGGCGACAGAGCGAGACTCCGTCTCAAAAAAAAAAAAAAAAAAAAAATATATATATATATATATAATGTTATATATTATAAATAATTATAACTAGACAGAAATTTGACTTCATGATGAGAATATACTACATAAATATATATTTAATTCAAATTTTACGCTAGTTGGTTTATAGTTATTCCCTAAACTTGATTCTTCTCTGTCTAAATAAAAGCTAATGGCTAACCTAGTGCATTGTCTGTATTATATAATATATATAGCTTCTAAAATTCAAACAGCAAGTGGTTAATATTTAATAATTTATTATAATAAAGGATTGATTTAGCATAAGTTTCTATCTGATCACCTTTTGATATTTTTTATTAATATTTAGTCACTAAAATCTATTGCTTAACTTTATCTTGATTCTCCCTCCAGAACTAAATAAACATTGTGAATACCTTCTTTGAGCCAGATGGCTTCCAGACCATATGACTCTCCTTTCTTATGATTTCCAAGAAGTTTGATTTGAAAAATTCTTGCAAATGGTTTTACTTCCTTTTAAATTCTTCTCATTCTGCAAGTTGATCTTTTGTAATTTAAGGACTTTTAAATTTTTCTATTTTTTGCTTATTTAATGGGTGCAATATCTTCTCCTATTTCCTAAGAATATTATGACAGCTTATTGAACTTTTACTTTATTTGCATAGTGTATGCTTTTTTCAGGTCGTATTTTCTCTTTGTTGGCTTCGATCGCTCACTCTTTTATATTCAATTATTTCCAGAATTGGGTAAACTTTTATTGTCTTTCTGTTTTCAAGATGGGAGACTAAAAGCCAATTGGGAGGAGCTCTGTTTCTAAAAACATTGACTAGCTTGTGTGAAAACAACATCCTGAAGAAAAGAACTGGCAAAACTGGATAAAACATGAGAAACATCTTTTTAAAGGCATGAGAGTCACCAAAACAGTGAGGACATGTAGAGCCAATATTTCAGAGAAAAAAAAAATAAGCCCAGAGAGGAAAGATAAACAGATTTTGTGACAATTTGAATGACAACAAAATAGATCCTAGAACATACTATGGAGGGATAGCCCAGGTAAACACTCTTGGCCTTCATTTCTGACCCCAAAAGGCTCCCAAAGAGTGAGGGCAAACCAGGATTATACCAGCTCTCACAAAGTCAGAAGTTTAACTTTGAATCAGCTGAGTCTTTGATTGGATCACAGTGGTCTTTTAGACCAGCTGACTGCCAGAAGCAAGAATAAATTCTCTGTGGAGGAATAGAACATCCAGAGCATCAAATTATCTCTAAAAATGTCATATACATCATCTAGCATTCAGTGAAAGATAATCATGCACATAGCAACATGAATTGATCAAAAACTAATATAAAAATAAACACACAGTAAAACTGGAAAATGTAGTTACCAGGCATGGGCTTTAAAATAGCTGTGATTAGTATTTTCAATAATTTAAGTGACAAGATGAATATCAGCAAGGAACTGGAAAATATAAAGTATTATCAAATGGAAATTTAAGAAGTGAAATATGAAATATCTGAAATTAAGAACTCAATAGATGGATTTAATAGCACATTAGGCATAGCTTAAAAGACAATAATAAAATGGAAGGTAGATCAGAAGAAAATATCTAGACTTAAAATGGAGAACAGAAGGATGGACAATACAGACAAGGGCATAAGAGACACATGAAACACAATGATAAAGTCTAACCCACATATGATTGAAGTTACAAAAGGAGAGAGAGCATAGAGCTGAAGTAATGTTTGAAGAGGCAGTTTTTGAAAACTGATAAAAGACTTCATGTTATAGATTCAAGAAATGATGCAAGTCCAAAGCAGGAAGAAAATAAAAAAAAAACTATACTGAGGCATTTAGTACTAAAACTGCTGAAAACCAAAGTCCATGAAAGTATAATTTTTCATATGATTTAAAATATAATTAGAATTAAACTATGTAACAGTAACACAAAATTGGAAAAGAAGTAAATGGAATAAATGATTTCCATGGTGTTTTTATTTGCTGGGAAGTGTTACCACTTTTGATTTGACTTTTGTAAGTCAAGGATATATTTTGTAATTTTAAGGGTAAACCCTGACGAGTAGAAGAAAACACACTGCTAAAAAGCAATAGAAGAAAGAAAACAATAAAAATGCTCAATTCAAGAGAAGGACAGAAGGAGAGAAAAAACAAAAGAGATAAAACACAGGAAACAAATAATAAGAAGGATTAGACACTTAGGCTCATGTTACCATCTTTTCTGGAAGTAGAGCCAGCTTTTGATGACAAATCTCCAATGTAATTCAAAAATCGTGTTGTCTCCCAGAATATTCATATAGTTACATAATTATTAGAGTACAATTATTTGATGTTTATTGTACTTTTGTCCTGAATGCCCATCACATGCAGTTTTAAAGGGAAGTATTGAAAAACAATCTTTACCTTTCAATTTTATTTTTTGTGAGAACTGATTTAGTATAAAAGGATTATTTAGGACCCAATTGTTACCTGAATCTATAGGTATGCTTTTTGAGGCTTCCCTCTAGACCAAGCATTAATAAATTGATTCCTCATATAGTCTGGATCAGGCTTTTCCTATATCTTATATTCTGACATTTCCTTACTATTATTCTGTAACCTCCAATAGAGATTACAGAAACAGCATCTTTACTGAACTTATACATTTATTGGTAACTCTGCAAGAGATGTGTTTAAAACAGCTCTTTCTTATTTGAAAAAAAATCGCCTATCATTGCAATTATTCTAGGGAAAGTAAATACACTCAAAAGTGACTTTCTAAGTTATACAGCTGTTTTATTATAACTATACTATAAGAACTGGTTTGTACAGTATGGAATACTTTGTTCTACAATTGTTTTTTCTAACATATCTACAAAACAATGAAAATTGATATTTGTAATAATGACTCCGAGGTCATCGTAAAGAGGTCATCGTGAAGAGAAAATTCAAAATATGTTATTTTTGGCTTTAGTACTCAGTTTATTTTGTTGCAGCATAATTCTTTTAAAATTGACAACCCAGGAATTGACTATTACGCCAAAGCACTTAATTCTCAGACCACATTCTACACTAGGGATTGTACTACACTATCATTTGCAGTTATTCTTGAGGTGCTGGTAATAAAGATTTTTTTTAATCCTTGGGAATCTCCCACTTATTGAACTATCATAAAAATCACTTCAGTACCTAAGGATAGGACTGATGTTCAATCACTGTAGATTGGTAGCACTGTGTTGATTGTTAAAATGGTGAAATATTACCCTACTGTTTAATAAATGACCTTAATCCAGAGACCAGCTATTGTTCTCTCCACAAATGCCCTGGTCCCACCACTCTTGACATCTTTCAGGACCCTACTCCAGGGCTCATGCTGTTGCAACTAGTAAATGTTTTGAGTAATATCCCACATAAGGATACTAACATTGCTCAAGATGGATTATAAACCACCCTTAATCACTCAGGTAAGCATATATAGCAACAAGAGGTACCTAGAGACTTCTTGCAGGGTTCTACATTCTCTCTTAGGAGTATAGATGCACATTTCAAATGTGGCTTTTGGTTATGCAGTTTATCTGTGACTCTAGAAGCTGTAATTTTGGTTTAGTCAGACATCTAAACTTGTGTTCCTCCATAAGGACAAGGATTCTGGCACAAATAGTTTATTAGGGAGGTGATCCCAGAAGATTCCAATGGAGAAGTGGGGAGGTAAGACAGGGAAGGAAAGGCAGTCAGTAAAGTGTGTTTTTTTTAAATTTATTTTTTAATTTTCACTTTAAGTTCTGGGATACATGTGCAAAACGTGCAGATTTGTTACATAGATATACATGTGCCATGGTGGTTTGCTGCATCTATCAACCTGTCATCTAGGTTTTAAGCCCCACATGCATTAGGTATTTGTCCTAATGCTCTCCCTCCCCTTGCCCCCCACCCCCCAACAGTCCCTGGTATGTGATGCTCCCCTCCCTATGTTCAGGTATCTTGCTTGATAAAAACACACTTAATTCCCAGCAAACTAACACAGGAATAAAGGGTGTTTTATCAAGCAAGCTACCACTGTGAGAAACTAGTACTTCATCTCATTGGAGAAGTCTGGAAGCCAGTATAGAATGCACATCTTAAAGTTATTTCACCTGCTATGGTTTGGATATGGTTTGTACTCATCCAAACTCACAATTTTATTGCCAATGTAGTGGTGTTGGGTGGTGGGGCCTAGTGGAAGGTGTTTGGGTTATGAGGGCGGATACCTCATGAATGGCTTGGTGCTATTCTCACGGTAGTGACTGAGTTCCTGCTCTAGCAAGACTGGATTGGTTTTCATGGGAATGGATTAGTTCTCATGAGAGTAAATTGTTATAAATCCAGGAAGTCCCTGAGGGTTTCCCCTTTTGCATGTATTCACTTCCCCTTTGACCTTCTCTGCCATATCATGACACAACATGAAAACCCTTGCCAGAAACCAGGGCCATGACCTTGAACTTCTGAAGTTGCAGGACTGTGAGCTAAAAAACCTCTTTTCCTTATAAATTATCCAGTCTCATGTATTCTTTTATAGCAACATAAAACAGGCTAAGACACCACCTGAGGGGTTAGAGATCTAAGGAATAAATACTCATAGTTCTGTTTGTCTTGAATTGAGGTTTTCAGGGGCATTAATTCTATAGTACTTGCTGTGAAGTAGGCAGAACTGGCCCATGTTACTAGAGAAATCTCTAGTATTGGTAATAGGAAATCACTGGGACAAGATTACACTATATCCAACTTGCTAATCTAAGCTTTAGCAAAGAGATGCTCACAGCACACTCCTGTTGGTGCCATCACTACCACCTCACCCTACTCCCAAGGTGAAGAAGAAGTGTGTTGAGGATTAATCAGCTTCAAGAGGCACATTTTCTCATCTTGACACATTATCGAGGGAGGGAAGCCTTAGTAGAAGGGAAATAAGTTAGCTTGCATTGGAGTAATATATCCCTCATATTTTTGAATAATCTTCCAGGTATTTTTAGCAAAAGTGGATTGGGTCTGCATTTCCCCCCTTTAAGAGAAATCTCAACCAATCGTTTTCTCTTTGCAGCTTCACTTCAGCTCTTCAAAAGCATTTTCTTTCTTAAAACAGTAGTGGTCATGGGAAACTATGGCTGCTGCCATTTGGGGGAAAGACCCAGCTATCTCTTTTTCTCTTTGAATCACTTTACTCCTTCCATTCTCTTTGATGTGGAAGGGTAGGTGGGTGAGAAGCATGCATCTCTCTGCTAGAGAGCTTAGAAGAAACTCCATCCTGGAAAAGCTTGAAGTAAACTGTCTATGTAAGTTCTCTTTTGATATTGGGGCACTCTCTGCTTCTGGATTTCACACTGTTGGCTTTGCTACTTCTTTATATTGGTCATCTGATTATGCAAGTTTGTGATTTGGGTATGGTTTTTGTGGAAAATAAAAAAATAAACCATTTGACCTGCTTCGATTCTGCTCTGTGGTCCAGTGGTATGTGTTTTATTATTTATTCAATCCTTACAACAACTCTCTGAGGTTGGTACTATTCTTACACTCATTTCATAGATGTGTGCTTCACTGGGTCCATCAAATTTCTCTAATAAAGATGAAAACCTTTCCCTTTGCAATTACTAAGTAATCCAAGGGTGATATGTTGATACCACCTGAGCATCCTGTTTCCAATAACCCTTTAATTAGTGGCTTTAACATTCTTATATCAAATAATTATTGCATTATAGTTGCAAAAAGGTGTTTTTTTGTTTCTCTCAGTCCTTCTATATTTATTAACTGGCATCCTTCTGCAGAAAAGAGCATACCTGTTTCCCCCTCTCTTGCCCTTTTCCCTGAGCATCACTTGGACCCATAGAGTTTTATTTATTCAGGCTTATAATAATTTATGGCCTTTTTGATGCTCAAATTGTCTCAAACTTGTCCAAGAGGAATTCCTTCAAGCTGGCCTCTATGTCCTTCTAAAACTCTTTGAGTGATTTTTAACTTTCTGGTTCAGTGAAATATTTCAGGCTCACTCCCATAATCTCTCTGCCTCATGTTTGTAATTAGCCAGTTATCAAAAGAACCTTGTTTTCTCTAAGAGAGAAATGGTATGTAGACACTAAATCTGAGCATTAGGTATGTTCACTGCCACTGAATGTCACTGCCTTCAGACCCCTTCAATGGACAGAGCCAGAAAATTTTTCCAAAACTAATGAGTTTATTTTGAGATTTTTACTTTCATTATACCAATGGATAACCCAAAACAAAGCTGGATTTGCAGCTGTCTGTGCCTTCTGCACTGTGCCCATTATGAGGTCTCTTCTCTATGTCTCTATTGGCCATTAGAAAATATTGCTATCTGCAATTTTACCTCTGTCTTTTCCAGACATCTTTTCTGACATCTTTGGTTTCAGAAAAAATTTCCATGACTATTTTCCAAGCTGGCTTTTTCTGCTGCTCTCATTTGCCCCCATTTCATACGTAGGCAAGGGGTAGACACGAAAAAACACTGAGTACCGCCTCAGAACTGCGCTATGTACCTGGTTGCTAAGAGCACATCATATTTCAAAGACATAGTTTGGCTATGTGGAAGATGTGAAACCGTCAATAGTTTCCAGCCAGAATTATTTTCTGTTCAAAAGCAAGTGATATGGTTTGGCTGTGTCTCCACCCAAATCTCATCTTGAATTGTAGTTTCCATAATCCCCACGTGTCATGGGAGGGACCCAGTGGGAGGTAATTGAATCATGGGAGCAATTACCTCCATGCTGTTCTCATGATAGTGAGTGAGATCTCACGAGATCTGATGATTTTATAAGGGGCTTTCTCCCCCACGTTGCTCTATACTTCTCTCTCCTGCTGCCTTGTGAGGAAGGATGTGTTTGCTTCCCCTTTTGCCATGGTTGTAAGTTTCCTGAGGTGTCCTCAGCCAGCTGAACTGTGATTCAATTAAACTTCTTGTCTTTATAAATTACCCAGTCTCAAGTATGTCTTCATCAGCAGTGTGAGAATGGACTAATACAGTAAATTGGTACTGAGAAGTGGGGTGCTGCTGTAAAGGTACCTGAAAATGTGAAGCAACTTTGGAACTGGGTAACAGGCAGAGGTTGGAACTGTTTGGAGGGCTCAGAAGAAGATCAGAAAATATGGGAAAGTTTGGAACTTCCTAGAGACTTGGAGGCCTCAGAAGAAAGGAAGATGTGGGGAAGTTTGGAACTTCCTAGAGACTTAAATGGCTTTGATAAAAAAGCTGACAGTGATATGGACAACGAAGTCTAGGCTGAGGTGGTCTCAGATGGAGATAAAGAACTTGTTGAGAACTGGAATAAAGGTGACTCTTGCTATGTTTTAGCAAAGAGGCTGGCAGTATTCTGCCCCTGCCCTAGAGATATGTGGAACTTTGAACTTGAGAGAAATGATTTAGAGTATCTGGCAGAAGAAATTTCTAAGAAGCAAAGCATTCAAGGTGTGTCTTGAGTGTTTTAAGAGTATTCAGTTTTATGTATTCACAAAGATATAGTTTGGAATTGGAACTTATATTTAGAAGGAAAGCAGAACATAAAAGTTCTGAAAATTTGCAGCCTGATGATGCAATAGAAAATTAAAAAACAAACAAACAAAAACAAACAAACAAACAAAAACATTTTCTGAGGAGAAGTTCAAGCTGGCTGCAGAAATTTGCATATGTAACGAGAAGCCAAATGTTAATTGCCAAGACAATGGGGAAAATGTCTCCAGGGCATGTCAGAGGAAGCCCCTCCCATCACAAGACAGGAGGCCTAGGAGGAAAAAGTGGTTTCATTGGCTGGGCCCAGGGCCTTGCTTCTTTGTGCAGTCTTGGTGCCCTGTGTCTCAGCCGTGGCTAAAAGGCGCCAATGTACAGCTCAGGCCATTGCTTCAGAGGGTGTAAGCCCCAAACCTTGGTGGCTTACACATTGTGTTGGGTGTGCAGGTGTACAGAAGTCAAGAATTGAGGTTTAGGAACCTCTCCCTAGATTTCAGAGGATGTAAAAAAAAAAAAAAAAATGCCTGGATGTCCAGGCAGAAGTTTGCTGCTGGGGCAGGGCCCTCATGAAGAACTTCCGTTAGGGCAGTGTGGAAGGGAAATGTGGGGTGGGAGCCCCCACACAGAGTCCCCACTGGGGCACTGCCTAGTGGAGCTTTGAGAAAAGGGCCACTGTCCTCCAGACTCCAGAGTGGTAGATCCACTGAAAGCTTGCACTGTGTGCCTGGAAAAGCTTGCACTGTGTGCCTGGAAAAGGCACTCAATGCCAACCCATGACAGCAGCCAGAGGGGGACTGTACCCTGTAAAACCGCAGGGGTGGAGCTTCCCAAGACCATGGGAGCTTACCTCTTACATCAGCACGACCTGGATATGAGACATGGATTCAAAGGAGATCATTTTGGAGCTTTAAAATTTGACTGCCCTGCTGTATTTTGGACTTGCATGGGGTCTGCAGCCCCTTTCATTTTGGCCAATTTCTCCCACTTGATTGTAGTTCCCATAATCCCCATGTGTCATGGGAGGGACCAAGTGGGAGGTAATTGAATAATGGGGGTGGTTACCTCCATGCTGTTCTCATGATAGTGAGTGAGTTCTCATGAGATCTGATAGTTTTATAAGCGGCTTTCCCCCCTCTTCGCTTTGCACTTGCACTTCTCTCTCATGATACTTTGTGAAGAAGGACATGTTTGCTTCCCCTTCTGCCATGATTGTAAGTTTCCTGAGGCCTCCCCAGCCATAACTTAAACCTCTTTCCTTTACAAATTACCCATTCTTGGGTATGTCTTTATTAGCAGCATGAGAATAGATTAATACAGCAAGATACCACCTTATTATCCTCAAGGGTTCTGCTCATAAAAAAACATCTTTGCTAGCTTTATTTCATCTTGCTTTTGATTTCTGTAGACATCTCATTTGAATTTTCAAATTAATATAAAAAGCGACTGTAATAAAATATTGCTAACTGTTCTCATATTTATGGTGCCGTGTTATTTAAATGCAGTTTATTATTTTTGCAGTAGCAATAATGAAATTTGGACCAGCATTAGCTCATATATAGTACTTATTTAGATTCCATTGGCCTGGTGGCTTTTCTTCCTAACTTATCCTTCCCTATGGTGGCAGGAAAAGGGGTTAGATAATTATGAGTTCTCTTTTTCTACTCTTGGGTTTTGTTGTTGCTGTTCTCTTTAGTTTGTTCAAAGGATATGGAATGTTCAGGTCCAATTCACTGTTTAAAGGCCCTTTTTCATCTTCCTTAAAGCATTTCTCACGTTAATTTCTTTTGTGAACATTTTATCTTGATTCCCATCAACTATTCCCTCTCTCCATCTTTAGCATGGTAGTTAAGATCTTGGTTTCTGGAGATCGTCTCTAATTTTGTAGTCTGGGTCAGGCTACTTAATCTTTCTGTGTCTTTGGTTCCTTATCTGGAAAAAAGGGATAATAATAGTACCTACCTCATAATATTGTTGTAAGGTTTAATTGAATAATCCATGAAAATTACATAAAATGGTACCTCATATAAAGAAAGCTTTGATAAATGTGAGCATCTATTATTATTTACTATGCCTACAGCCTACATGTAATCATGAAAAAGACATTGGTTTTCTTCCAAGAGCAGATGTCTGTTCCTCAGTCCTCCACAGACAAATTCAACAGGGTCTTACCACCTCCACTCTTCACATAGAGGGCAAAGGTGTTTCACCTGAGTAAATGACAAGTGGGAGATACAAGTAAGAAGGAAGAAGGGAGTGGGCAAGTGGATCACTGTTTCCTTCTAGACACATTGACTTTGTTGTCTCTCTGTCATGTATTTCTGGAGTTAGGGTTTGAACTTAGCCTCCTATATTCTTAGTGACCCTATCTAAAAGTCCTGTGACCAGGGACCAGTAGGACATTCTCTGTCTGAGGATCCTATGATTCAGTACAAAGAGGAGCTGTATTAGACGCTGTCAGTGTGCTGTTGTCTCCCTTGCTCCCTTGGCCCTGACTCACCCACATGCTCCAACTCACCTCCAGCTGCCAGTGTCTGCATCTCTGGGCCTGAGGGCTTTTTCTGAAACTGGAAATGCAGACAGGAAATGCTAGTGAAATAATCACTGTCCCTCCACCTCAGTAGTCCTCAACCAATGACTACCAGAAATTGGGGTATAAATGCCCCAGCTCCCTTGCCCCTTGGGTGGGATGATTCTGAGGCATTTATTTTACACCATTTCCTAGAGCTTTCTCTCAGGATTAAGCTCCAGTTGTCACGGTGGTGATTGGTCTCATAATGACCCTCTCCTTGAACATGTTGCCCTCCCCTTCCCATATTCCTTTCTCACTACCCTATCAGTGGTCTCTGTGCCTCCCAAATACACAACTGGCAATAGAGTCCTCATGTCAGGGCCCGACTCTTGGACACCCAAATAAAATACAAGCTCTTAGTTTCTTGTTTGTTTCCAGAAACTTCCTGATGATGTTTGTATTGTGTTAACGCCTTTGGTCAATGCCACCACTTGAGTGGAGTAAATATTAAAAATTCTCTTTCTAATTGCTATATTGTTTCATAAAGGTGTTTCACTTTTTATGCCTGGCTTGCATTTCAGTAATTGTCTGGTCTGCTTTTTTTGACAATGAATAATTTGTTTCTTTCTCCAGGATGCCAAGAGATTGGCTTGGAATTGGATATTAAGACCAGCTCTGGCACAACAAATGAAAGGCCTTCAACTGCTGCTTGTGACGAACTCTAACAAAGGTAAGATAATATGCAGCAAAATTACTTGCCTCTTTGAGCTGGCAAAGAATATAATTAAAATAAAGAACTGACATCTTATGTGACAGAGTCTGAGTAGGAAGCATAGCATTTATCACCTCCTGTTCACTAGCTTTTCTTTGGGGGAAAAAAAGTCAGCAAGATTTTATCTGGGATGACGCCTACTCACCTGGCTTGGCTTAAGCTTAAAAAAAAACATGAAAATGGTGGGTATGAAATAACCTGTCAGATATACAATTTGGCCATATTATGGCTTAAACACTAAAACCAGATTTTATTTTCCCAGAAAAGGATTGATTAGTAAATCTGTACTACATATTGAAAACTAATAAGAGTGCAAACACCATTAAAGAAAATGGGGCATGGATTGCTGTCAATGCCTAAGTGTGTGGAGAGATAACAATCTCTGTTCTTCAGGATTACATTAGGAAAGTCCTGAGGGATAAAACTCAATTTGTATACAGATTCTTAGGACCAAACCTATTGCATGAAGCAGCATATATATGAATAATAAAGTAGGTTATACAGGGATTTTACTGTGTTTACCTTAGAGTGAATATTTTTATCTCCTATAATTATTCCTGAAGGGAAACCTCCTGAAAACATTGACCTGACTCTCCACAGAGGAGTAAGAATTAAATCTGCTGAACTCCAGAGTCTTGCTGAAGAATTCATCCAGGCCCTCAAATCTAGGCCTCAGCTGAGACCACAGCATCCTTTCTTTCCTAAATACAGTCTCTGAGTGGGAGGTTCTCAATGTAGTACTGACGTAGGTGTGAACATTCAGTGTTTAAAGTCATGGGAAGCAACTTAAATTAAATTGCCTTGAATTTTTTTAAGCTTTGAAATTTCTATTTTGGACTTTTAGAAAAAGAGGGGTGGGGACAGAGAAAGAGAAACAGCTTGTTCACTGGTTAGCTTTTTGTCCACCTGCCTCCCCTAACCCCAACTCTCTGGGAATCAACAATCGTTTTATTGGCACTAACAGAAGTCTGTCAATACTGGAGAAAATGTAGTTTTTTGTGTGTGCTTTTTGTATTGGTGACTATAGAGAAGAAACCTCTTATCAGTAAGGTCTTCTTTTATACCAAGTAGAGTCACAGCCATTATCAAGAGAAACTATATTTACAAGGCCATGTTCCCTTGCAAGCTTGCTTGTACAATCTGCTCCTGAATGTCCCATCTGGCATGGATTGAAGAAATTCAAGACATGGGCTTACTTAAAGCAATGCATTTTTTTTCAATCAGAGATTCACATCCAGAGGAATGAAAGATTTTACTCTTATTTCGAATAAGCTTCCAGAATTCCTTTATTTAAGTTATTGATCTGAATTGATTTTGATGTCCAGAAAAGCAGCAACAAATATGTCTAATCTAAAGAAGAATGGTTCTGAGCTGAAACCATCAAGCTATCTGCAAATAATATTTTTTCAAAACGTTGTTTGCCAAACCTCAAGCTTATATGGATTTACTTTATGTCTTGATTCTCCTAGTTGTTTTAGTTTACATTGATCAGTGGATGAGATTGGGTCTGTCTCCTCAAGTATATCTATAACATTCATTTGAAAAGTGAACAGCAGCAGTACTTGTGTCTGGCAAGTAGTGGGTGCTAAGTGAATATTTGTTGAATGAAAGAACACTTTAGAACATCTTAGTAGCATTATGCAGTTTTTCAAGTGCTGCAACAATCATTTTATTTAATTCTCACAACTAGATAGGAAAGAAACTGAAGCACTGTTTCTGTATCTCTGACTAAAGTCTCCCATCTTGGAAGTGGCAGAGTTAGGATTTAAACTCAGAGTATATACATGGAAGGCCATATCTTGACTCTACCAGTCATGGAGGCATGGAATGCAAGGCACTTTTGGGGAAAAACAACTAGTTCAGTTTGATGGCAACTTAGAGCATGTTATATAGGGGAATAATAGGTGACTATTCTGAGATAGTGATTTTTGGCCATCTTGAAGAGGGCCTTGAATGGCAGGCTAATGTGTTTAGACTCTACCGCAAAGTCAGTGAAGAACCATTTAAACTTTTTGAGCAAGGGATTAGTGTTGTCCTTTAGGCAGATTCTCTTTTGCTATAATGTATTGGAGGAGGGTAAGAATGGCAGCTCGAAGAGTTCTTTTTTTTCTCAGAAACAGGAAAAAAGAGAAGTTGAGACATAAAGAGGGTTTGAAGTAGAGAGAAGGGAAATTGGGATGCTGTGTTTGAAGGGATTGACCTTTAGTTTCAAGGTATAATTGAAACTTGAAGTAAGGGGAAACAGGGTAGGATTGAAGATTTGTGAGGGTGCTTTAGAACCTCTCATTTGAGCAGAAAATAAAAGGGCTTCTATAGAGCAGTTAAGGCTTCCCTAACACTAGATAGCATAAATTGTGGTGAATCCAACTGACAAAGCGTTGAGCCTTTTGGTAGTACAGTTTTCCCACACTGGGAAAGTGGGAAAACCAGAAAACACAGAGATAAAAGGGATAAAGCATTATACATATGGGGGTTTTGCACCTAAGATATGCTGAATTAAAGTTGTTGACTAAAAATTGGGGGGCTGGGTGCAGTGGCTCACGCCTGTAATCCCAGCACTTTGAGATGCCAAGGAGGGCAGATCAAGAGGTCCAGAGATCGAGACCATCCTGGCTAACATGGTGAAACCCCGTCACTACTAAAAATACAAAAACAAATTAGCCGGGTGTGGTGGCATGTGCCTGTAGTCCCAGCTACTCAGGAGGCTGAGGCAGGAGAATCGCTTGAACCCGGGAGGTGGAGGTTGCATTGAGCCGAGATCGTGCCACTGCACTCCAGCACGGGCAATAGAGTGACACTATGTCAAAAAAAAAAAAAATTGGGTGACAAGGCAGAAGAATTGGAAAGGACGAGAGGCTTGAAAGTAGTCATGAAGAGAGTAAAGCTCAGGCTGATTATGTGTGAGAATGTAGGAAAGGGAATTGTAGAGCCAGAGGAGGGAATTTGAGAGTTTGGGTTCTTAGAGTCTTTGAGAAGTGAAAATTTCAGAAGTATAGTGAATGAGTAAAATGCAATGGAGATGGAGGTCATTGGGGTTTAGGGAATCAGTGTAATAGAGACCAGGATAATAGAAGGGTCATCAAGAATGGTGACCTCACTGAGGAGAGTATAAAGCAAAGGGCCAGAGAAGAAATATAGTGAAGCTTAATTTAGATAAAAAGTCTTTACTGAGACAAAAGACACAATCAAATTGAATGTCCTCATTTGTGACTATTCATCTATCTCCCTGCTCTACCCCACCCTGCTCTCACCTTTCATTGCCAGATTACAGATCCTTTATGAACAAAAATTTACTCTTCAGCAAGTTCTTTTAAAATAATAGGAAAGCCTGTTTGCTATCTATAGGACAGAAGAAAACTCCTCTTTTCATGAATGAATTTTTTGAAAGATTGAATAGAACAAGGTCTAAACAGTGCATTAATGAAATTCTTGGCAGGAAGGAAATTGAGAGGTATGGCCTGCAGGTGTGTAGCTAGAGTAAGCACAAGGATAGGTAAGACAGCAAACTGGATTGGAACAGACTCAGGAAGATTTTGCCGAGAAAATGCCAATGGTTATTTCTTATAGTAAATGTATACTTGCTTAAAATTCATTAGAAAGAAAATAATAGAATTGCAGGAAAGTCATAGATAATATGCCCAGCATGACTAGATAAAGCTCCAAAGCCTAGACAATGATTCTACTACAAATTAAAGCAGGGTGTGGTCCTTTGCTTTCCAGCAGGACTTTTACGGATATTGATGCCAATTTCCATAATGCCAAGTCTATTCCCCTTAAGTCCTGATTTCCTCATCCCCTGCTTTCCCTGTCTCCCCAACACATCCATTCTTATCTGGCTTTGCTGCCATAGAAAAGAAATCATATGACATTAGCTTCTTTAGCTTTCCTCCACTTCACCTTATATTTTCTCTGCATCCTTACTCACCTTCAAGTTTTTTCCTCCCTTCCACCTCAGAGAAAGTTTCCCTCTCACTAACTGAGCTAAGGCTCACCCCTCCTATGTGCCCTTGTTACCTCTCCTCAAGGCTCCTCTAAATTCATCATCAAGATCCTCATTCCAGAACAATCCATCTATCCCTCTGCCATATCACTCCTTTCATCCCATTGAAGTAAGTCTCAAGTATTCTATTTCCAATAACCCTATTTTCTGTCCACCCATTTACTTCCCAACTCCTTGTTACCTAAAACCTTGAACACATTGCTACAATCACCTTCTAGGATGTTACCTCTAAACTGCTCTTTTTTTTTTTTTTTTAAGAGAGAGTCTTGCTGTGTCGCCCAGGCTGGAATGCAGTGGCGTGTTCTCGGCTCACTTCAACCTCTGCCTTCCCAGGTTCAAGCGATTCTCATGCCTCAGCCTCCCAAGCAGCTGGGACTACAGGTGCGCACCACCAAGCCTGGCTAATATATTTTTATTTTTAGTAGAGACACGATTTCTCCATGTTGGCCAGGCTGGTCTCGAACTCCTGGCCTCAAGTGATCCCTCTGCCTCTGCCTCCCAAAGTACTGGGATTACAGGCATGAGCCACCACACCTGGCCTAAACATCTCTTTATTAGGAAGCACAGTTTCTCTGCATCTTCATTTCCCTTGACTCATTCTCAAAACTTTCTTCCTTTGGCTTACAAGACTCTATCCTCTCCTGATTTTCCTCCTCCTACTCAGGCCATCTATTTGCTATACCTCTTTTTCTACTCCTTCCTAAATACAGATATCCTGAAAAAATATGGTGTTTGCCTTCTCTCTTTTATCTATATCTTTCTTCCCATCTTATTTAACACTTCACCTTTGCTCTTGCCTTGATGGAGATTTTCAAAATGTATAGCTTCAGCCTTGGCCTCTTTTATGAGTTTTACTTCCATATTTCCAACTGTCTCCTGGACACATCCATCTGAATGTCTCCCCTGTATCCCAAATCAATGCTCTGAGTCCAAAGGTGAACCAAGCCTTCCACTCTTTGGGAAGCTCTACTGATGCCTCAACCAACCCCCCAGATGATCAGTCTTGAAACTTCTGAGTTTTCTCTGGCATCTTTTTCTCCCGTACCCCAACATGTTAGTTCTGCTTTCTAAGTTTTTGTTGCATTCATTCCCTTATTTTTATTCTCATCATTACTATCCAAGCCCACATTCTATTTATTGCTAACCCAGGCTAGGGAAAAGCCACCTCTGTTGTCTCTCTGGCCTCCAGAATCTCTCTGCTCCCACCAGTTAATGCACTTCACTTTGACCAATATTCTGGAAACACAACTATCATAACACTGGAAAATTAAAAAAAAAACCCTTCATTTTTTCATATATAAAGTTCAAGCTTCTTAGTCTGATATCCAAGATCTTTTAAAAATTTGACTCCATCTTACATTTCAAATGTAATGACAGCTCTTTAGATATATGCTATTCTCCAGACAAATAGAATCATTTGCCATTCACATTCTAGTCTTCCTGACTTCTGGTCTTTTGCTCTTGCAGAGCTTATCCTTTGCCAATATTTCTACACATCCAAATCCTACCTATTCTTCAAAACTCATCTCAAATATTGTTTACTTAATGATACTTTCCTGATCACCCAGCTGGTAATAATGTCTCTCTTTTCTGAACATTCATAAAATTGTAATTACAGCATACACCACCTTTTATATTTTAGTATATTTATTTGAGTGCATGTCTTATCTGAATTGTTTGAATTGCCCACAGTTTTACTCACAACAAATTCTAATTAATTATGTGATAAGTATATTAATGTAAAATACACACTAATCAATGATTAAATAGATCAGCATCAAAGGGAATTTGGGAATGAAGAGATGGCAGGCATGGGAGGATAGACATAAATATATCCTAAAAATTTGAGTTTGTATCCCTAATGCAACTTTTTAAATAGAAATAGCGTTATTGAAATATAACTAATATACAATAGAATTCAGTGGATTTTCGTATATTCACAGGGTTCTGGAACCATCACTATAATTTTAGAACATTTTCTTCCCATAGAAGAAACCCCATACCAATTAGAAGTCAATCCCCATTCTCTTCCTGCCTCTCACCTTAGCCCTGAGTAGCCACCAATTTACTTTCTATTTTTATAAATTTGCCTGTTGTAGACATTTCATAGACATGGAATCGTACAATATGTGGTCTTATGTGATTTCACTTAGCATTGTGTTTTAAAAGCTCATCTATGTTACAGCATGTATCAGTATATCATTCCTTTTTATTGCTGAATAATATTCCACTGTATGGATACACCACATGTTATTTATCCATTCATCAGCTGATGCATATTCAGGTTGTTTCCCCTTTTGAGTTATTATGAATAATGCTGCTATGAATATTCATGTACAAGTTTTTGTATGAATGCATATTTTCATTTCTCTTGAGTGTATACCTAGAAGTGAAATGGCTAGGTCATATGGCAACTCTGTTTAATATTTTGAGAAACAAGACCATTTTCCAAAGCAGCTTCACCATCTTACATTTCCACCAGCAATGTATAGGGTTTCCAATTTTTCCACTTTCTCACCAACACTTTTTTCCATCTTTTTTATTGTAGATATCCTAATAGATATGAAGTCATTGTGGTTTTGATTCGTATTTCTCTGATGACTAGTAGTGTTGGGCATCTCTTCCTGTGCTTATTGGCCACTTGTATATCTTCTTTAAAGAAATGTCTGTCCAAATAATTTTCCCTTTTTAAGTTGGATTATATGTGGTTTTACTATTGAATTGTGAGGGTTCTTTATGTTTTCTGAATACAAGTCTATTATCAGACAATGATTTGTAAATGTGATACAACTTTGATAATACAGCTGAATCTGCGATAGATGCCTTTTTTGTGAAGATATTAAAGATAAAGTGAAGATATTTCTGAAAAGGAAAATAAATGAAATCACTGAGATGTATTAAGGCAGAAATAGAAGAAAAGACTTAAGGATCTAAATCAGTGCATACAATAACGAGGAGGAGGAGGAGGAGAAGAAGAAGGAGAAGAAGAAGAAGAAAGAAGAAGAGGAAGAAGAAGAAGAAGAGAAGAAGAAGAAGAAGGAGAAGAAGAAGAAGAAAGAAGAAGAGGAAGAGGAAGAAGAAGAAGAAGAAGAAGAAGAAGAAGCAAGAAGAAGAGGAAGAAGAAGAAGAAGAAAAGGAGAAGAAGAAGAAGAAGAAGAAAGAGAAGAAGAAAAAGAAAAAGGAGGAGGAGGAAGAGAAAGAACAAGAGGAGGAAGAATTCTTCCAAATGGCCACGAACTATTTAATAATAATCTGAAACACTATTGTTGAAGAATAATTTTCAGAGTGGTTATATTTAGGAGAATAAAATTAAGTAAAGTTTGTATGAATAGAAAGATTAAGTGAAATTATAGAATTATTACATAGTAGTATAAATTCCTTTGCACATACACACACACACACACACACACACACACACACACACATAAATTGGAGCAAAATTCTGGGTGAGTTCATGGTTCAATCCTGACTTGCAATGGAAACCAAAATGAATATTAATAACCGAGACTTGAAGGTTATATTACACCCTGTTTAAAACTAGAGACTAACTCTGCTCAAAATAAGTTGATGTTTGGCTGCTTAAAACTGCAACCAACATCTTATACTTTTAAAAACAGTGAAGAATTTTCATATAAATTTTATGATTTAGCTCTATTTAGTAGGAGTCCAGATGAAAATCATTTCTTGCTTAGTTTGAATTTCACTTCAGTTTTGGCATCTGATTCAATCTGAAGAATGTTAGCCTGAAGTCAGAAAAGTCTTAATTGCTTTTGTAAAAATTGAGACAATTTTGACAGAATAAGCCCTCATCTCTTTGGCAACTGATAATTGGAAACCAGAAGTATTTTTCACATTGTGGTGAGGACTGTTTCCAAAATTCTATTTCCAGAGACTAAAGATAAGACAAATTGGGGGAAGTGTGGTTAGGTGGTGTGTTTTGTTTTTATTTGTATTTGGAGTCAGGCCAACTGATTTCTCACACTTACATATCAAAAATATTGGAGCATTTTTTTTATTGATAAGGGGTAAGCTTCCTTGACACTGAAGTTAGAATGACACGATAGTGGCAAACATACTTTTGGTCTAGTAGACAGTGAAAATCAGTAAAAAAGGAAATATAGCATTTAAGGAGCAGATGGCAGTGCTTTCAAAACTTTTTGAGCTTTTTCTTTGCTTTTTTTCAAACTCTTGTAATATAACCAATTACAATTACTAAAATCAGATGGTATAATGATGGTGAGCACTGTAGCACCTAGCAGAGTGATTGGATCAATGTGTAGGGTGATGCTAATGGATCAATGTGTAAGGTGATGCTTAACCCATTAGTTAAGACTGGATAAATGGGTATTACAGTTAATGACAACCTTTAAATCACATTATCCTGACTAATCCTATTTTGACCACTCTATCATGTGTCTCTACTTACTTATCTCTGAAAGGTATCTATGAACAAACATGCCATCAGATTTTTAAAAACATTTTATTTTGAACTAATTTTAGATTTACATACAAGTTACAAAAATAGTGTAGAGTGTTCCCATATACTCTTTACCCAGCTTTCTCTAATTAACGTCCTATAAGACCATGGTACAATTATCAAAACCAAGAAGCTAACACTGGTATAATACAATTAACTAAACTGCAGACCTCACTAAAGTTTCATTAGTTTTTTCACTATTTTTTTCTAGTCTAGGATTTAAACTGGGATCCCACATATCATTAAAATTCGCATGTCTCCTTAGTCTCTTCCAATCTGTGACTATTCATCAATCTTTCTTTGTTTTTTATGACCTTGACACTTTTCTTTTATTATTATACTTTAAGTTTTAGAGTACATGTGCACAATGTGCAGGTTAGTTACATATGTATATATGTGCCATGCTGGTGTGCTGCACCCATTAACTCGTCATTTAGCATTAGGTATATCTCCTAATGCTATCCCTCCCCCCTCCCCCCACCCCACAACAGGCCCCAGAGTGTGATGTTCCCCTTTCTGTGTCTATGTGTTCTCATTGTTCAATTCCCATCTATGAGTGAGAACATGCAGTGTTTGGTTTTTTGTCCTTGCGATAGTTTACTGAGAATGATGATTTCCAATTTCATCCATGTCCCTACAAAGGACATGGGCTCATCAATTTTTATGGCTGCATAGTATTCCATGGTGTATATGTGCCACATTTTCTTAATCCAGTCTATCGTTGTTGGACATTTGGGTTGGTTCCAAGTCTTTGCTATTGTGAATAGTGCCGCAATAAACATACGTGTGCATGTGTCTTTATAGCAGCATGATTTATAATCCTTTGGGTATATACCCAGTAATGGGATGGCTGGGTCAAATGGTATTTCTAGTTCTAGATCCCTGAGGAATCGCCACACTGTCTTCCACAATGGTTGAACTAGTTTACACTCCCACCAACAGTGTAAAAGTGTTCCTATTTCTCCACATCCTCTCCAGCACCTGTTGTTTCCTGACTTTTTAATGATTGCCATTCTAACTGGTGTGAGATGGTAT
Organism: Homo sapiens; assembly: GCF_000001405.40. Classification (NCBI taxonomy): domain Eukaryota; kingdom Metazoa; phylum Chordata; class Mammalia; order Primates; family Hominidae; genus Homo; species Homo sapiens. The sequence goes on from NC_000023.11 coordinate 20,812,524, forward strand.
CTCATTGTGGTTTTGATTTGCATTTCTCTGATGGCCAGTGATGATGAGCATTTTTTCATGTGTCTTTTGGCTGCATAAATGTGTTCTTTTGAGAACTGTCTGTTCATATCCTTTGCCCACTTTTTGATGTTGAAGAGTACTTGTCAGTTATTTTGTAGAATGTCAACTAACGCGTGTCAGATGCTTTCTCATAATTAGATTGAGGTTAGCATGTTTGGCAAGAATGCCACAGAAGTGATGTTGTGTCCTTCTCAATGTATCTTATCAAAAGGTTTGTGGTATCAATTTGTCCCACTACTGGTAATGTTAACCTTGATCACTTGGTTAAGGTGGTTTCTGTTGGGTTTCTCTACTATAAAGTTGCCATCATTCCATTTGTTCTTAATAAATATCTTGAAGGACTATGATTTCAAAGGGCATAGTGGGGCAAGATTGCTCATATGTTTTCAAATGACTGGGCAACCCTGAAGGCTAGGAAGACTAGTAATATGACTTAGAATACAGATAAATTTGTTTGGGAGAAAGAAGGACTTCCTCTGCAGGAAAATTTTCTTTATTCCATCTTCTCTCCCCATTTTCCACTACCCTTTACTGCTAATACATTTATTCCAGAAAATAGAGAACTTCCTCCCATATTCAACCCCTTTTTGGGGAAATGGCAGTCTTCTGCTTTATTCTGGTTCTACTGATATACATTTCACATATGGCATCAGATAAAAGCTCTTAGGAGTCCTTTGGGTTAGAGATTTTCATTGTTTCTATTTCTTATTCATCATTTTCTGAGTAGCATAATTTCTTCTCCTATGTGTGTAGAAGCTTTGCAGGAAGTAATCAATTTTTTATTTTTAGATTATATATAAATCTGATCTTAATTAATTATCACAATATTAGTCATACTGACCAAATTTTAAAGTTCTCTTGCAATAAAAACAGTGGAATGGCGTAATTTATCCAAGTTCTACTTTCTAAGTTGATTTTCAGTGTCATTGATATCCTGTTACTTATCCTCCTCAACTAATTTGTTTATTCCTTTGTTTGCACTTACTCTATTGGTTGAGTACATACTAAGTAAAAGGCACTGCACTAAATAATTCAGAATGTAGACAGAGGGTAAGAGACAGTGTCCTCAAGAAATTTTCTATTTACTATTCTAGTAGCATAAAAAATTATAGTACGCTATTATATTATGGTTATTGAGGATTCTCTGTTTCTAACGTATGTATATAACTTCAAAAGAGAGAACGCTATGGGTTCCACCCTTCCATCTAATCTTCAAATTCCTTGGAAATAAAAGTGATGAGATATTCTTTCATGTAAATGAATCTTTGAGACTAAAAGCAAAGAATTGTATAAGAAGACAGAATAGATTGCTAAGAGATCTCTTCCATTTCCATTTTCCCAAAGAAGTCAGGCTGTCAATGGACACACTGATATGCCATTAGAATAATCAGAGAGACCTTGTCTGGGAAAGCTCAGTATTTCCTCACAAAGTCTCCAAGCATCATGCAAGGACCAGCTTGGAAAAGACACTGGGTTACTCCCTTGTTAGTGAAGTACCTAGAGAGAGCCTGGGATTGAATGGATCTAGTATGACAGCACAAAACGAGAGGCACTAAGCAAGATGGACAGATACATGGATCAATAACCAACCGTTTGTTCACAGGCATGTCTTTCCTGCTAGACCATGAGTTCCTTGAAGGAGGGAACATGTCTTCAGCAGCATTATAACCCTAGTACTTGGCACCAGGCCAGACCTGAAGAGAGGGTTCAGGGAAGGTTTGTCCTATGAATGGGCAGCTTCAAATCTTTGTTAACCTCTGGGGGATTCTTACATATACCACTGTGGACCCAGTGCTTATCCGCGTTATTTGCATTTGAGTCATATGCTTTCCAAAGTCCCATGCTATGCATGGATGTGAGTGGGTTGCTCTTGGCTTTCCAAAACAATCCATTTCATCTCCTAGGACTCAAACCAAGTAAAGTATAACTGAACCCTCAAGTCATATAACTTGATCCCTTTGGACCAAGGACAGACATTTCTGACCCACTGAAGATAGAGACATAACCTGTTAGTACACCAGTATCATCCTGTGTTTTCTCATTTACAGAATTAATCATTTTTGCAATTCTTTCCTTAATGTCTATGTTTCCTGAGAGAATGTCAGCTTTCTGAGAACCAAGATCTATAGAGTGTCTTATTTACTGCCATTCCTAGCACATGTAACCTAGCACAGAAGAGACATTTAATAACCATTGTATCAATGGGTGAACAAAAGGAACACAACACAGAACAAGAGAGTATGGGGAAATGGAGAAGGGTGAGGCTATATTGAGTCAGGGGGAGTGCATTAAATCTGAGTCCAGAAGGGTAAAGAGGATTTAGAGCTCTGAAGATGGGTGTGTGGAAAAGGAATGGTGGTGGCCGGACAGGGAGAGACTTCGGATGAAAGGAGCAATAGCAGCAAAAGCACATGATAGGGAGAGGTGGGATTTGGTTATTTGGGCAGGAAAGTAGAGGTTATGAAAGTAAGCAGGCAGAAATAGGGTCAGAAAGGAAGTATAATCAATAGATATATGAATGAAATATTGAGAGTTTAAATAATAAAACTATAATAATTAAAATAGGAATGATTGTTATCATAGCTCAAGTGTAGTATGATTCTCTCTTATTACTTTTTATTATTGTTTGTTGTCATATTTTGAAAGCTTCAGTGTTTGTGGTTTCATTCAGAAATGTACAAGTTTCTTCTGGAGAGGAGTGAAATTGAGGCACGATATATTTTATTATAATATAAAACCATTTTTAATGATAATCAGAACTTAAGTATAATTGAAAACCCAGGGAAGTATGGCTAATGATGAATACAAGGTTGTTATACTTGTTTGAAATAACTGTTTCTGATTTTACCTCATGAAATCACCTCTTTGCTCTAAAGTCTCAAAGGTTAAAAAAGTCTTAAATGCTTTCTAGCCCATCTTTGTGACTAGGTTCTCAAATTTGCATGGGCATCATCTTCCCTTTTTTAGACTCTCTAGAGAAAAGATACTATTTGACAAATCTTAACAAGTTAGTGGGTTTTTTTTAATGTAACCTAAATACCTCTTTCTACACTTTAAATTAAATTTCTTTCCCTCACTCTTTCAGGAAGATGGAGGGTCATGATTTTACAACTGTCAATAGTGTTTTCTATGCACATGTTGCCCCGGTATTTGTTACCCAACATACCATCAAACAACCTCCCAGTTTTAAATAGCCTCTTAATTCAAGAGACTCACAGAGAGAATCAATATGACTTTCTGTTTTCATCTCTACTTGCTTCTTCTAAAAATGTACAGAGAAGTATAAACTTTGTATAGATTCCCGTCACAGCATGTGGAGTTTAATACCCACCCACCACCCTACCCAAAAAGGTGAATAGCCATACAAGGAAATGGAATAAGCCACTCAGCACCACTCTATGAGCAGTTTAAAATGACAGCTTTGCACAGCATATGTGAGCTCAGAATAACGACCCCTGGTAAATTCATGCAATATGCTTTGTACACTAATAAAATTCATCATGATCTCTTGGAATGCAACAATTATTCATGCTCTTCTCATTTTATTTTTTTGGGGGAGCAGGCAAATGGAAATAGTTCTACAGAGCAGCATGTTGAGATAAAGGTAAGTGGGATGTGATTTTTCTCAGGTGTGCCGTTCAGAGAGAGATAGCAGCCTGAATATGAAGGTAGGCAACAGTATTGCTTTTTCCTGTCAAAGCACTGGAATTAAGTGAAATGGATTTGAAATAGAAGAACATATTGTACTGTACTTCTTATGGAAGAAAACATATCCCTATAACACTTTGTACAAGCTAACATTAGATATGGTAATTAAATTCAGTGGTTGTTCCAAAATTAATAGATGCTTTACTTCAAAGTACTTTGCTAGCAGAAGAAAATCAGAAGAAAGCAAAATGAAAGCAAAATGAGTATCGTCTTTTTCATTTCACTGGTCTGTAGGAAAGTATTCTGCAGCTAACTCTTCACAAAGACCCAATACACAGTCTCATGAGGTGGTCCCCTTTCCTTCTGATGTACGCACTTCCCAAGTAAAGCAATATCCTTTGGCCACCAGCTAAGCTCTGTCTAGGATTTTGAGAGGATATAGCACCAAGCACATTACTTTTCAACACAATTTAGATCTGAATTCGAAACTCTCAGTTCATGTCAATAAAGGTGATGTTCAATAGCTTATGTTGATTAGGGACTGATTTTCTTTGCAAAGAAAAATACTGTGTTTAGGTCAAATCAACTTACATTTTTGCTTGCTTATGAAAAGCACCAAAATTGAACAGTATGTTTTACTGGTTTGAGTAAGTTTGCTTTTCCTAGATATTGTTTTTTTTGGTGAGGATATTCTCTATAACTAATAATGGGATAATACAATATCATGTACCTCTTGATGGGTTGAACTGAGAAGGGCACACCATGACTTTTGTGGTATTCCTGCCAAAAATGCATAATCTGAATATAACTATTAGAAAACATCAGACAAGCCCAAATGGAGGATCATTCAATTATTCTTCAGAAATATCTGTTGTCATAAAAAGAGAAAGGCTTCAGGGCTTTTAAGATTAAAGGAGACTAAAGGAACATGACAACTATATGTACTATGTGGCCCTGGACAAGATTCTGGACCTTAAAAGCATTGTTATAAAGGACATTATTCAACTGGCAAAAATGAAATATGGATTATGGATTAAATAATAGTATTCCATCAGGGTTAAATTTCCTGATTTTGATACTGTAGTTATGTAAGAGAATAATCTTGTTCTTAGAAAATACATATTGATGTATGTAGGGGTATAGGAGCATGATTTCTGCGAGTTAAAAAAGTATCATTATCTATCTATCTATCTATCTATCTATCTATCTATCCATCTAAAGAAATAATAATAAAAAACAAATAGGAATAACTAACAACTGGTGAATCTAGATAAAGAGCATGTGGAAATGCTTTATACTATGTACATAACTCTTATATAAGATTAAAACATTTGCAAATAAAAACTTTAAAAATACTTTTAAAAAGATATTCTTTATACTTTGCATTCAGCTTCATTTGTCTCAAAAGTCTTGTCTTGCCTGGCTTTCATCTTGTGTGCACTAAAATTATTAGCAATGACACAAAAAATCCATAGCATTGTCAAAGAATTGTAAAAGGAAAACTATAATCTGTTTTAAATGATGCCAAATTCACCTAAAATCTTGAATTTGAAATAGAACGAACTAGTGTCAACTTTAGATCTGTGGTCTGAATGTGAATTTCACACAGAAATCAACTTTACATACTTATTCAGTGGATATTGCAAATACTCTTTACCATTGTTGTGTGAGTGTTTTCTATTTGGTTCTTCAGCAGATTCAATGTGTCCCATTTTGAGGAATATAAAAATAGATATATTTCATCTAAGTATTATGTTTTTAAATGACCTTTAGTTTTGTTTTTAAATGAAATCATTTGAAATAATTGCTATTCTAAAGGAAATTTTTGGAAGTATGGTCTCAATATTTGTTGGGGGGCTATTGACATTTAGTGGGAGGAGGTCAGAATTGATAGACAGTGTGTGGGATAAACCTCCTCTATGGAAAGTTATCTTACTTCCTGCATTACTTTGAAATATCTTGCTGGACATTCCTGATGGTAAAAACCCATAAAGAATGGCCATAATCAAAAAATAAAAAATAATAGATGTTGGCGTGGATGCAGTGAAAAGGGAACACTTCTACACTGCTAACAGGAATGTAAACTAGTACAGCCACCGTGGAAAACAGTGTGGAGATTCCTTAAAGTAGAACTACCATTTGATTCAGCAATTCCACTACTGGATAGCTACCCAGAGGAAAAGAAGTCATTATATGCGAAAGATACTTGCACACGCATGTTTATAGCAGCACAATTCGCAAATGCAAAAATGTGGAACCAACCCAAATGCTCATCAATCAATGAGTGGATAAAGAAACTGTGAGATATATATGTATGTATGATGGAATACTACTGAGCCCTAAAAAGGAATGAATTAATGGCATTCACAGCAACCTGGGTGAGATTGGAAACTATTATTTTAAGTGAAGTAACTCAGGAATGAACAATCAAACATTGTATGTTCTCACTCGTAAGTAGGAGCGAAGCTATGAGGGTGCAAAGGCATAACAGTGACACAATGGCATTTGGGGACTCGGGGGAAAGGGCAGGAAGGGGGTGAGGGATAAAAGACTACAAATTGAGTGCAGTGTATACTGCTCAGGTGATGGGTGCACCAAAATCTCACAAATCACCACTGAAGAACTTAGTCATGTAACCAAATACCACCTGTTGCCCAATAACCTATGGAAATAAAAACAATTTTTTTTTTTATTTTTGAGACAGAGTCTCGCTCTGTCGCCCAGGCTGGAGTGCAGTGGCGTGATCTCGGCTCACTGCAAGCTCTGCCTCCCGGGTTCACGCCAATCTCCTGCCTCAGCCTCCTGAGTAGCTGGGACTACAGGCGCCCACCACCACTCCTGGCTAATTTTTGTATTTTTAGTAGAGACGGGGTTTCACTGTGTTAGCCAGGAAGGTCTCGATCTCCTGACCTTGTGATCCACCCACCTCGGCCTACCAAAGTGCTGGGATTACAGGCATGAGCCACCGTGCCCGGCCAAAAATTTTTTTAAAGAATATTGCCTAGCACACAGTAGGTACTCAGAAAAAAAAAACTATTAATAATTATCAAGTGTATGCGAGGCTGGTTCAACATATGCAAATCAATAAATGTGATTCATCACAAAAACAAAACTAAAAACAAAAACCACATAATTGTCTCAATAGACACAGAAAACGTTTTCGATAAAATTCAACATTCCTTAATGTTAAAAATCCTCAACAAACTAGTCATCAAAGGTACATACCTTAAAATAGTAAGAGCCATATATGACAAACCCACAGCCAACATAATACTGAATGGGCAAAAGCTGGAAGCATTTCCCTTGAGAACTGTAAACAGACACTACTCCTGTTCAACATAGTACTGTAAGTCCTAGCCACAACAATCAGGCAAGAGAAGAAAATAAAAAGAATCCAAATAGGAAGAGAGAAAATGAAACTATTTCTCTTCACGGATGATTCTATACCTAGAAAACCCCATACTCTTTGCCCAAAGGCTCGTAGATCTGATAAACAACTTCAGCAAAGTTTCAGGATACAAAATCAATGTACAAAAATCAGCAGCATTTCTATACACCAATAACGTCCAAGCTGACAGCCAAATTGAGAATGTAATCCCATTTACAATAGCCTCAAAAATAATCAAGTACCTAGGAATATAGCTAACCAAGGAAGTGAAAGAACTCACCAGTTGGAGTGTATAAGTATTCTTTTCTCTACAACCTTGCCAGCATCTGTTATTTTTTGACTTTTTAATAATAATAGCCATTCTGACTGGTGTGAGATGATATCTCATTGTGATTTTGATTTGCATTTCTCTAATGATAAGTGATGTTGTTTTTTTTCCATATGCTTGTTGGCCACATGTATGCCTTCTTCTGAGAAGTGTATGTTCATGCCCTTTTGACCACTTTTTAATGGGGTTGTTTTTTCCTTGTAAACTTGTTTAAGTTCCTTATAGATTCTGGATATTAGACCTTTGTCAGATGCATAGTTTGCAAAAATTTTCTCCCATTCTGTAGGTTGTCTATTTACTCTGTTGATAGTTTTTTTTTCTGTGTAGAAGGTCTTCAGTTTAATTATATCCCATTTGTCAATTTTTTCTTTTGTTGCAATTGCTTTTGGCATCTTCATCATGAAATCTTTGCCCATGCCTATGTTCTGAATGGTATTGCTTAGGTTGTCTTCCAGGGTTTTTATAGTTTTGGGTTTTACATTTAAGTCTTTAATCCGTCTTGAGTTAATTTTTGTATATAGTGTAAGGAAGGGGTCCAGTTGCAATTTTCTGTATATGGCTAGCCAGTTATCCCAGCACCATTTATTGAATAGGGAATCCTTTCCTCATTGCTTGTTTTTGTCAGCTTTGTCGAAGATTAGATAGTTGTAGGTGTGTGGTCTTATTTCTGGGTTCTTTATTCTGTTCCATTGGTCTATGTGTCTGTTCTTGTACCAGTACCGTGCTGTTGTGGTTACTGTATCCCCGTAGGAATCAACCCAAATGCCCATCAATAGACTGGATAAAGAAAATGTGGTACATATATGCCATGGAATACTATGCAGCCATAAAAAGGAACAAGATGTCCTTTGCAGGTACATGGATGGAGCTGGAGGTCATTATTCTTAGCAAACTAATGCAGAAGCAGAACATCAAATACCATACGTTTTCACTTACAAGTGGGAGCTAAATGATGAGAATACATGGACACAGAGAGGGAAACAACACACACTGGGGCCTATCAGAGGGTAGAGGCTGGGAGGAGGGAGAGGATCAGGAAAAATAACTAATGGATACTAGGCTTAATACCTGGGTAATGAAATAACCTGTACAACAAACTCCCATGACACACATATACCTATGTAACAAACCTGCACATCCCATACATGTACCCACCCCAAGCTTAAAATAAAAGTTAAGAAAACACACACACACACAAAATAAAAAATAAAACAAAAAAAAACCCACAATGAGATACCATCTCACACCAGTCAGAATAGCTGTTATTAAAAAGTCAAAAAATAACAGATGCTGGCAAGATTGTGGGGAAAGGGAAAAACTTACATGCTGCAACTGGCAATGTAAATTAGTTTAGCCACTGTGGAAAGAAGTGTGGAGATTTCTCAAAGAACTTAAAACAGAGCTACCATTTGACACAGCAATCCAATTACTGGATTTTGGGTATATATCCAAAGGAATATAAATTGTTCTACCATAAAGACATATACACATGTATGTTCATTGCAGCACTATTCACAATAGCAAAGGCATGGAATCAGCCTAGATGCCCACCTAGGCTGATGGTGGACTGGATAAAGAAAATGTGTTACATATACACCACAGAATACTACATAGCCATAAAAAAGAATGAGATAATGTCCCTTACAGTGAAATGGATGGAGCTGCAGATTATTAGCCTAAGTAAATTAATGCAGGAACAGAAAACCAAATACTTCATGTTCTCATTTTTAAGTATGAGCTAAGCATTGTGTACACGTGGACACAAAGAAGTGAACAACAGACACCAGGGTCTACTTGAGGGTGGAGGGTGGAAGGAGAGTGAGGATTGAAAAACTACCTATCAGTTATTATGCTGATTTCTTGGTTGACCAAATTATCTGTACACCAAACCACCATGACAGGCAATTGGCCCATGTAACAAACCTGCACATGTTCCCCCTGAACCTAAAATAAAAGTTGGAAAGATAAAAAAAGACTAAAAAGAAGCTCCAAGAGAAAGAAAAAAAATTTTCAAGTGCAGAACATAATTCCATTTTTTATTTAAAAACTTTTTGCACTATTTTAATAATCACTATATTTTCCAGGAATTTAGATGCTTCTACCATATACAATGAGAAAAAAATTGAACTTATTTTGCTTGGTGTTTTACTAGGAATTGCTTATCAATCTGGAAAATCATGCCACTAATGGTAATGTCACTCACATTTGTGTGGCCAACACAACACACCTGAATTAGTCTGCATATGTATCTGTCTCTATTATGAAGCTCCCAGGAATATAGATGAATATAACCATTTAACCTTTATTTCAAAATGTCAAAAAATTAAAAATATTTCAACAACATTCAACTGAATATTGTCTTATTTTTTCATTGAAAATTATGTGGATTTTGCTCTTGACTTTTAAAATTATGATGACTAATATCTACTTCATTTTTAAAGCAGCTTTAGATTCACTGCAAAATTGAGCAGAAAGTAGACAGTTCTTGTATATCTCCTCCCCTGCATAGTCTTTTCCACCTTCAATATTCCCCACCAGAGTGGTACATTTATAATAATTGGTGAACCTACATTGACACCATTATTATCCCCCAAAGTTCATAGTTTATATTAGGGTTCATGATGTTGTCCACATGACTGGACAGATTTATAATGACATGCATCTACCATTATATTATCATAAGGAATAGTTTTACTGCTCTAAAAAATCCCCTGTGTTCTGCCTATTCATCTCTTCCTCCTCCCACTGATTTTTTTTTTACTGTCTCCATATTTTTGCCTTTTCCAGAATGTCATATATTGTAGTTGGAATTGGAACCCTGACTAATACACACAGTATGTAGCCTTTTCAGACAGTCTTCTTTCACTTAGCAATATTCATTTAAAATTTCTTATTTCTTTTAAATTCTGATTTATCTATTATGAGTAAAAGTAAGCTGACTTTCTAGTGTGGTCATGCCCAAACATTTACATTTAAAATATATTTTATATTATGAATTACGTTCCTTTTATTTCTCCTTAAGGTCATAGGATATTACATAGATTTAAATAATTACCTGTGAAGAGAGATATTAGCCATGAATTTCATTTCAGTGTAGCAAAGGGGACAATATAAAATATTTCTTAAAAACAGGGTAGGAGTTCCTGCAAACATTAAAAATAGAATTATCATATAATCTAGCAATTCTACTTCTGGGTATATACCCAAAAGTACTAAAAGCAGGATCTTGAAGAGATGTTTGTATCTCCCTACACATAGCATCATTATTCACAATAGTCAAAGGGTGGAGGCAACCCAAACGTTCACCCACAGATGAATGGATAAACAAAATGTGGCATCCACATAAACTGGAATATCATTCAGTCTTAAAAAGAAGGGCATTCTTTTACATGCTGCAACATGAATGAACATTGAGGGCATTATACCAAGTAAGATAGTCAGTCACAAAAGGACAAATACTGTATGATCCCACTTATATGAGGTACCCAGAGTAGTCAAAATCATAGAGACAGAAAGTAGAATGGGAGTTTCCAGAGACTGGCGGCAGTGGTGGGCGGGGGGGAGGGGGGGAGTGGGGGGGACGGGGAACCGGGAGTTGTTTAATCAGTATAAAGTGTCAATTTTGCAAGATGAAAACAGTTCTGGGGACTGGTTACACAACAATGTGAGAGTGTTTGAAACTACTGAACTGAATACTTAAAAATGGTTAAAATAGGAAATTTAGTATTATGTATAGATTACCACAATTTTAACAAACAGGGTGGAGGGCACTGGAGATCTACTGCTCTGTAGGCTTGAGGGAGAGGCATGGTCTATGGTCTGCCTGACTTTACTTTCCTCTTTCATGAAGGTTATACATCCTCAGATATTGAGACACCTAATAGCAAGAAGAAAAAGTTATCTCCTTATATGATCACAAATAATGAGTTGGTTGATCCCATTGTTTAATTTTCTAATGAGCAATCATCATGTTGTTTAAAGACTCAGTCTGTGCAGTTCATGATCCCAACAGCCCCCCGATGAAGCAATCATCTCCAAGCAGCTCCCCTGGGAGATTCAGCACATCTAGTTGACTCTTAGCTGGAGCCTCCCACTACATCCACCTCCACTTTCCTCTGAGCTACTTTGTTCCAAATGATCAGTATTTCAGCAATTCTGCAGTCCTGCCTCTAGGATCTGTTGGTACAGGAGGGACCCATCTTCCCATACCTTGCACAAAGTGAAACTGGGAGCTTGAGTGGGCAGGCATTTTTTTTTTTTTTTGGTAAGAGATATTGTCTCTTATGCTTCATATCTCTCCTCAATACCTTAAGAAGCACAACAATATGCACAATGATAAAGACATCTTCTCCCCCTTGAAGACCTGCCCAAATACTGACTGGTTTTCTCAATACTGGGGGAGTAATGAATGGAGTGACCCCCTCCTCCTCTCTCTCTCAGAAATGTGAGGTAAAGGGATTTCTTTTAGAATACAGAAGGAACACAGAAATAAAGGGACAGTGATACAGGAACAGTGCTCAAGGTTTGTTGTCACATGTCCATTTGCAGATGAACCCTAGGCATGCCCTCAAGAAGCCAGCTCTCCTCTCTCCCAATACCCCTAGTTTATCTCTTTATGAAAAATGCCAGGGTGGGCATGGAATCTTTGAGCCAATAACTAAGTCTTTTTTAAATTCAGTCTGAGAGAATTTATCTGTTCTAAATAAAGCTTGATCTCAGCCATAATCTCTACTGTATTCTATAATCTCTATGTATTCTACAACCTTTAGAGACAAGAATAGGTCTCAAACAGTCCTTCATGCTACTTTGTCACACAAACCTTATCAACAGTGCTTTGCTTACAGACAACCACCTGCTCCCTCCTAGTTACACTCCTTCATCCTGCTCATGCCTGAATTTTTCTTCATACCGTAGCCCCCACCTCTGACCCCATATATTAGCTTTCACAGCTTCCCACTCTAATTCTACTAGTCTGATCTTGCTTTAGACTTTGTTTTTTGGTTTATTTTTACGTTGGATCATTTATTCATTTACTGACACAAGTATATTCAATACTTTCTGTGTGCCAAGCCTTCCCAATTCTGCTAATTCCAATGCCTGTGTCAATCCCTATGATCTCAGGAGACAAACTCTATTTCAACCCTGGACCTAATAAATCTATATAATCAAGTTAGTGCCACTTCTGGAACATCCTTCTCCACTCCCTACCCCCAGATCTGATTTCCTTGCTAGGCAAAAATGCCTGCTTAGGGCTTTTGAGTTTTCCTACATAAAGGGCTACTCTAGCTATTTAAGATCCTCAGCCACTTCCTGACATCTTTCTGTGAATGGATAAATAACTCCAAATTATGAGAAGTCACTCTTTATATATCAAGTTTCTATTGCTACGTAACAAACTACCCCAAAATTCAGTGGTTTAAAACACCAATCATTACCTCTTATACCACATGCATCTGTGTGTTGGCTGGAGCTTTGTTTTAGGTTGGGCAGTTTGGGGCACCTTAGCTGAGGCAGCTGTGCTCCACATGTCACTCATCCTCCCCCTGGGAGTAGCAGGCTAGGTTAGGCATGTCCTTCTCATGGGAAAGGTATAAGCACATGAATGAGTGAGCCAAATTGTGTGAGCACTTTTCAAGATTCTGTGTCACATTTACTACGTTTCGTTGGACAAACATGTCACATTTCTAAGTCCAGGGGTGAGGAATTACGCTCCATCCATGTTGGAAAGGACTGCAAGGTTACATGGCAAAGGGTACAAATACAGGGAGAAGTGAAGAATTTGGGCCACTGATAGAGTCTATTGAACTTCTCATCCCCCCTCCTAATTTCTGCTGTAATCTTAGACTGCATCTGTATATTTTCCCAAACCACACCTTAGTTTCGTCATGACTTTTGGACATTGTGATACGTGTCTTTCTCTGGGTGACTTTTTCCTAAGTTATATTTAGGCTTCTCAAATACAGTTTGCTCACTTCACAGTCATATTCGCATCTTTGTCCTATGTAGTGAAATGCCAAAGCATATTCTTAATAAACACACAATTGTTTTGTACAAGAAAGAAGCTTGCAGAAATAAGATTATTAGAGAACAAGGGGTGGATATTCTAGATTTGAATTTTAAAAATCAGCTAATGCACTATTTGATAAGTAGATGGCCTTCTGACCAAGTCTATGTCTTTGAGTCAGCTTGAAGAATGCGAACACTCCCAGGACATGTGAGGAAGTGTACAAGTTTGAATGACAGGATTTTAGTGGACACATGGCTCCTCATGCATTCATTCATTGGGTGGTGATGAAAGAACTGGTAATTCTGAGATGGTGTAAGCAGTTGTCATGAACTTGAAATCTTATCTCTTGAAGACTGATTCAAAGAAGTTAATAGAGCATCTCCGAACTAATACTCTTGGTAAGTTGGCAATGAGATGTTTTTGTGTTGCACAGATAATAGTAGAATCAAGTGTGACCTCAGAGTTATTATTACTAACTCATATTAGCTAGAGTTATCCGCTTATTGTTTCCCAGTGCATTAGGTTGGTGGTATGGTGGTGATCTTTCCATGCTATTATGGAAAGATCACTAAATTGGCAGCTCAGAACCCTGAATTCTAGACTCTAATGAGCCACCACTTTAACTAGGTGTGCTTGGATAAGTCTCTTAATCTCTCCGAGTCTTAGCTTTCCCACTTGCAAAATATAGGCTGCTACTAGATATTTTTAAGACTGTACTAGGATAGAAGGTGATAGGATCAAGGAAGCATTATATATCTAACAATTAGAATCCCTTTTCAATTGATTCTAAGCATATCATAGTTGCTAGAAGAAAATGCAGGGATTTTCCAATGCCCTAGATAAAAGCAATGATATTGCTCCACTATTTATTAATCATGTATGGTGAAAAAATAAACTGTACCATAAATATATTACATCCTTAGTCCTGTTGTGTCTTGAAGCTAGGCAAGAACATATGGTTTTCTTAATACAAACTCATATTAACTACTAGAAAAGTAGCTCAAAATGTATGCCTTACTGATCATGAGTTAGCATTATCATGTTTATATGTAGAGACTCCTTATTTTCCCATTTAACAAATGCCTGCTCTAAATGATATAATAAAGTCCTTACTAATGAATGGTGACTGAGGTGTCTTTCACTACCTCAAGAACTGAGTTTTAAACAATCAGTGATGGCTTATTTTTCCAATTCACAGTGTTATTTTATTTACAAACAGAAAGGGATTGCAAAGATACTGTAATTGATTTGCTGGCAAGTTTACAGCCTCTATAAGTGATTTATCAGGTTGATATGGCTCCCTGTGAATCTCAGCAGCTAGAGTTATCCACTTATTGTCTCCCAGTGCATTAGGTTGGTAGTATGATAGGCTGTCTTCAGATGTAGGTTATGTCTTCTACTTCTTACTACCATTAGTGAGTTAGAAGTTTTTAGACTCTAATTACTGCCATTTGAGCTTTTGGAATCCATACATTCACTCAATCGTTCAATGGAGCTCCATTACTAGAAGCCAAGCATTTGGACACCTGGGAAAAAACAGTCATTATGAAAAAAATAAGTCTGACCTACGTTATTCTGTAAATAAATGAGATAATCTCAGAGCAATTTGTGATTTTTAAAAGCGTATCATAATTCTTTTTTATTTTTCATTTTCTCTTGTTCAGAATGGTAAAGGTAACACAATATTTATCAGTCCAGGAATAAATACTAACTACTTCAGTTTTCACCACCAGTCTGATGTCCCTAAGTGCCATCTTTAATTAAAACACTGTAGTTGTGATATTTGCTCTTTGGGTCACAACACTCCTTTCCTTCCTATTTAGTCTTTTTGTATGTTTGTGTCTCTCTAAATAAATAAAAGCCTCACAATGCAAAATTGTCACCATTCCCTGATTGAAACCCTTTTTTTGGTCCTTTAATTAAAATCTCACTCTATTCGAACTCATTAAGTCCATTTTTGTTATCTCTTGAATTTTTAATGACCAAGAGTTACATCTGTGGAATGTTCTTTGAATCGAGTTCTCTGAAGTGTGGACACTGGTATGACCCCCATAGTCTTACATTCAGGCCTAGAAAATGTTTAATTTTTTGTTCTTTCTTAAAACAAATTTCTCTATTTGTTAAAATCCTTCTGTTTTTATTTCTCTAAGATTCTGCTCTAAAATCACTGTTGGCTTTTTATTTTTAAGGAGACATTGTATCAGAAAAATATGCTATGGGTATATGGGTACCCAGCCAGTTTTTATTTTTTCTATCAAGCAAATCTCTGTGAAGAAAAACTCACTGTTTTTTTGCTGTTGTTGTTGTTGTTTTGTTTTGTTTTTGATTTTTTGAGACAGGATCTTGCTCTGTCACCCAGGCTGGAGTGCAGTGGCATGATCATGGTTCACTGCAGCCTTGACCTCCTGGGCTCAAATGATCCTTCCACCTCAGCCTCCCAAGTAGCTGAGACTACAGGCATGCACCACTACACCTGGCTATTTTTCTTTTTTTTTTTTTCATAGAGACAGGGTCTCACTTTGTTACCCAGGCTGGTCTCCAACGCTTGAGCCCAAGTGATCTTCCCGCCTCAGCCTACTAAAGTGCTGAGATTACAGGAGTGAGCCACTGTACCTGAGACCAAACCCACTTCTACATCAGACACCCTCAATAGTTCTATTACAACATGAGCTAAATTGGCATTCTAATTTATGCCAATTACCTTAGACAAGGGTTTATATTTTGGATACTGCTTTGTTGTAGGGGACTGTCCTGTGCATTGTACAGTCTTTAACAGCATCCCTGACCTCGACCTACTGGATGGCAGTAGCATTTCCATTATATATTGATAATCGAAAATGTATTCAAATGTTCCTGGGGGAGAATCAGGTGATTTCTCAGCTAAGTTTTTATATTTTTAAAGGTGAAAGCTTTGACTTGCTCAATTTAACCTGCAATATGTGATCATTTTCTGTTACTAAGACTACAGGAGCTATGCTATGCTTAGAGCAAATTGTTCATCTGCACTAAAGGCCACCTACTTACACAGATTTACTGTATATTATTTATGTTATTAAGTGCTACTTATACATTATCTCATTTAGTTCTCTGTTTCACATAAGAACAAATTGAGGCAATAAACACAATTTCCTGGGAAGTTTTAATCCAGATTCCAGATAATGCAAATGTTCTAGGCCTTTAAAACCTATACACTGTTTCTACATTCTTTGTTATGCTCACTTTATAATCTTGACGAACTTATTAAACTTCCATGTGCCTTAATTTTGCCAATAGTGTTAATTATTATTACTATTACCTGTATGAACTATAGTTTGATATTTTTTTTTTTTTTGAGACAGAGTTTCACTCTTGTCACTCAGTCTGGAGTGCAATGGCGTGATCTCGGCTCACTGCAAGCTCTGCCTCCCGGGTTCGCGCCATTCTCCTGCCTAAGCCTCCCGAGTAGCTGGGACTACAGGCGCCCTGCACCATGCCTGGCTAATTTTTTTGTATTTTTAGTAGAGACGGGGTTTCACCATGTTGGCCAGGATGGTCTCAATCTCTTGACCTCGTGATCTGCCCGCCTCGGCCTCCCAAAGTGCTGGGATTACAGGCGTGAGCCACCATGCCTGGCAGAGAAAAAAATATTTTTTGGCTTAGAACTCTACCTGAAATCCCCTTCAGAAGAACTTGGGTTTCCATGTAGTTTGTTGACCTGCTGTTTTATAATACTGGAGTTGTCCCTTTTGTTTTCTTCTCCTTGAGGCTTTGGACATACTGGACACATAGACACTCAATAAAGCCTTGCCAACTGACTGCATAAAAAAACACAAATTGCTTATCTATAGAAATTCAAGGTATTTTTTCCCAAGGATACTAACAATCCCTGTTATACCAGCATTTGATGATTCACTGCAAATATTTGTGTGTTTTGACATATTCTAGTAGTTTACTCATCTAAATCGAAGGGTTCTTATCAGCATTTCTTTTCAAAGTTTTATGCTATGAGCAGTAACTC
Source organism: Homo sapiens (assembly GCF_000001405.40). Classification (NCBI taxonomy): domain Eukaryota; kingdom Metazoa; phylum Chordata; class Mammalia; order Primates; family Hominidae; genus Homo; species Homo sapiens. The sequence goes on from NC_000023.11 coordinate 20,829,952, forward strand.
TTCCTTACTTAGACTTTGATATATATTACCTTTAAAATATGAGACAATTTGCAGACAAGGGGGAAAGAGGGATAACGCAATCATCAACTCAGTTATGTGGGATTAGCCTTATAAAATTGTACTACATCTTGAATGCTTCTGTCACCACTTCCTCAGACTGCTGTGTGTGGTCTGTTGCCTCAGAATGATTAATCACCTTCTGAAGGCAAATGAGACATCACCATGTCACTAGCATGGTGAATGGCTGGTCACAGGAAGGCAAACAATGGTCAGCAGTATTGGTTACTATTTAATAATTGACGAATGGGATTATTTTATTTTCTCTGAAAGATGAATGAGAGGTTACTTCAAGATAATGGCAGGAAGGGTAAACATCAAGAAGAAAGGGATGGAAATTCAGGACTGACTTAGGCAGGAAATGAGTTTAGCTGCAGTGACATCGTTTTGACAGTGCCTGCACAGTATGTGCCTGGCGCAGAGCCTGGAGAGAAAAAAAAACATTTTGACTACATTTCTTTGAAGGAAAATGAGGAGCATTAGATTGTATTCACAAAGGCAGATCTACAATCTGTCTTCTCAGAGGGACTAATATGTGTATGCTTTCAGTTTGGACTGCATCTGGGTCTCAGCTGCCTGGTTCTATATTGATTATTAAGTGTTATTTTTTGTCTAAATTAAGCTACTTTTTAGAACCACATTGTTAAATCAGTATTTCAAGATTGGAGCAATATTCATTAAGAAGAGCTATGAGCTTTTTGTCCTCAAATAAATTAATGTTGTCCCTTAACACCTCCAAGAATAAATCATGTGAAGCTAATTAAGATAGTGTTCACTCTTCTTGCACAGACAATTGGAAGCCTTTAGGGTCAAGAAAATGAATATTATTCTCTCTTAAAATGACTGTTATAGAAAAGAGCTACACCATATCTTATTTCCAGTAGTTCTTCCTTGAATGGGTACAGTTATAAACAGGAAATATGAACCCAGGCACCCATCTGATAAAGAATGACCAACCTTTCTGGTAAGAAGATGTTCACAGACATATATTCATGTTAAAAGTAGTTGTTTGGCCAGGTGCAGTGGCTTACACCTGTACTCCCAGCACTTTGGGAGGCTGAGGCAGGTGTATCACTTGAGCCCAGGAATTCGAGACCAGCCTGGGCATCTATACAAAAAATACAAAAAATTAGCTGGGCATGGTGACACGCACCTGTAATCCCAGCTACTTGGGAGGCTGAGGTGGGAGGATCACCTGAGCCCATGAGGTCAAGGCTGCAGTGAACCATGATCGTACTACTGCACTTCAGCCTGGGGGACAGAGTGAGACCTTATCTCTAAAATGAAAATAAATAAAATAATAAAAGCAGTTGTTTATTAAGACACCTTTTCCAATCCCCATAAATCAAAGTTTAAAATCCTTGCAAAAAACACCATATGCTGATCTCCTCAAGCAACCTAAGGAGCCAGCTCTTGAAAAATAAAGCCAACATTGGTTAAGCCAAGAAGCATTGCTGTTAAATGCAAATGCCAAAAATTGATTTATAAGATAATCAAAAGCTGAAGATCACAGTATCATGGTCATGTGAAATTTTCTTATATGTAAAATGAGAAAATTGAAAAAGATAAATGTAGAACTCTGAATACATGGAATAAAAAGTTGTGTGCAATTGCCTCAGAATAATTTTTTCTTTCACTGAAATTGAAATATATTTTATGTATAGTTAACTTTTGATATTTCTGGACTATAAATATTTGCTATAGTATTTTATAGTTAATTGGTGTTTGTCCTTCCTATTTGATGGTTTTAATTAAGAAACTTTGGCTTTTTTTAGTAACTAATAGATGCATAATGTCTATATTGATTTAACTTTCAGTAAGAGATTTGGGAGTTAGTCTATATGACTGTAAGACAGAAATGCTTTAAGGTAAAATTCCAAAGCAGTGTTTTCCAATGCACTGAGATTCTCAAATCTAAGTTAGTGAAGATCACGAGATGTGTTGGATTAAAACAATGTGTCTGTATAAAGCAATGGAAAGAATATTGTTCAAGAAGATAAACACATTGACCAAGTGCTTTGGGATTATTATGAGAAGCAGGGATTTGTTAAGTGCATGTAGTGTGACTTTGGGTCTGCAGGTTTTAAGATTAGAAGATAATATTGACATACATTATCTCTTGCAGATTTCCATCCCCCCAGTGTTAGTATTTGGAAGAAATTTCCTACACGAAATGATAAATGATGAAGTTTGTAGTCAGTCTCTCTAGACTCTCATGTTCTTTTTCATGAGTTTTTTCTTCAACATACAGATGTATGCTGTTGGCCTTTCTTATCTAATCTATCCCTTCTTACCTTAGCCCTCCCCTCCCACCTCCATTCCAAAAAAAAAGACCTGAAAGAAAAGTATTTGTAATTCAAAAAGCAGGCTCACGTGAACATTACTCAGGTGCCCCCACTAGGTTGCCTGGACAATACGCTGATTGCAATCTGGGAGAATCTTTTCCCAGCAGGAGGGACAGTGCCCAAGCTAAGCTCACAATGGCACTGGTGGCTTCCTGTCCAACCTCTTCCTCCTCCCACCTTCAGACACACAAGGAGAACTGTAACTTCTCAAGGGCTCCACAGGCCCCAGGTACTGGAGTAGCTAGCATCCTAAATCCAGATTCCTGTTTCCAAACAGCCTATTTATTTCATTCAGTAACAAAGCCACAATTTCACACTTGCGTCATAAGAAGAGAGACCCAAGAGTAAAATATTGTTATCTTCGTTGGAGTCAAACCCCAGCCAGGTCCAGAAAACGTTCCCACAAAGGAAGATGGTCAAATTAGGGAACCACAACCATCTCTGGAGGCTGACTCTGGCCTTGTGATTTTTCTCTTTTCCCACCGATACTTATTCCTTAAACCAATACCGTGTGGCTTGTGAAGTTTGTTCTGACCCATTATATGGCAGATGGCAACCCTGAGCAGAACCACCTGGTTCAACAGCTTTCTTATTTATTCCTCATTCACCTATAATTATGGCACCACAATATTGTGTTTGAAGCCTCATTTCTACGTGTGGAAGGAAAGATTTTTTTTTTCATTTAAAAGATATTTTAGTACCAAGTAACATATGGGAGGGCAAGTATTTCAAACTTTTATTAGGAAAAACTTTATTGGTATTTTAAACTCAAACTACATAAGTGGTCATTCTCGTGTGAGGCTGTCTTGATTACTATAGTTTTATAATAAGTCTTCAATCAGAGAGTATGAGTTCTCCAAATATGTTTACTTAAAATGGTACACTGTATATGTATGTTAATGTAACAACCACCTAAAACATGATACAGAACTATTCCATCACCACAAAGATCTTTCTTGTGGTACCTCTTTATAGTCATGCACAACTTTTTACCACCCCCCACCATCCATAACTCCTGGTGACTACTAATCTGTTTTCTAGCTCTATAATTTTGATATTTCAAGAATGTTATATGAACGGAATCACACAATATATTATCTTTTGATATTGGCTTTTTTTCATTCAGCACAATGCTCCTGAGCTCTATTAAACTCTTGTTTGAATCAATAGTTTGTTGCTTTATATTGCTGAAAAATACTTCATTATATATATGACATATATATTAATATGCACAAACACACACACACACACATCACAGCTTGTTTAACCATTCACCTACTAAGGAACATTTTGGTCGTTTGCAGTTTCTGACCATTAAAAATAAAGCCGCTATGAACAATTGTGCACAAGTGTTGTGTGGGCATAAACTTCATTTCTCTAGAATAAGTGCCTGAGAGTTCAACTGCTGGGTCATATGGTAGGTGTATGTTTCTCTGCATCCTTGCAAACAGTTGGTGTTGTCACTATTTTCTATTAATATTTTAGCCACTCTGATGAATATATAGTGATATCTCATCATTATATTAATTTGCATTTCCTTAATAGCTACTGATGTTGAACATTTTCCGTATGATTATTTGCCATCCTTTCATCCTCTTTGGGGAAATGTCTCTTCATGTCTTTTGCCCATTTTCTAATTACACTGCTTTTTTTTTTTTACTGTTCAGTTTTGAGAGTTCTTTTTATATCATACAAATGAGTCCTTTGTCAGGTATGTAGTTTGCAAATATTTTCTTCCAGTCTGAAGCTCATCTTGTCATCCTTCTAGCAAGGTCTTTCACAAAAAAGTTTTAAATTTTGATGAAGTCCAATTTTAATATCTTTCTTTTATCAATTACACTTTTGGTGTCTTGTCTAAGAACTCTTTGCTGTCTTAGGTCTCAAACATTTTCTTCCATATTACATTCTAAAAGTTTTATAGTTTTAGGCTTTATATTTACATTTGTGACTCATTTGGAGTTACTTTTAACGTAAATTATGAGGTTTAGGTTGAAGTTCACTTTTTTGCCTATGGATATTCAATTCAGCATCATTTGTTGACAAGAATATCCTTCCTCCTTTAAATTGTTTTACTGCCAAAAATAAGTTGGCTATATAAGGCTATGTGGGATTATTTCTGGGTTTTCCATTCTGTTCCAATGACCTATATGTCTACCTCTTCATCAATATCAACACAGTTTTGATATCTGTAGCGATATAGTAATTCTTGAAATAGGGTAGATTGATTCCTTCTACTTTACTCTTCTTTAAAAAGATTTTTTTTTTTTTTTAGCTATTCTATGTTCTTTGGTCTTTCCATATGAATTTTAGGATAGTCTTTTCTATATCTACAAACAAGTCATGCTGAGATTTTGATATTTATTGTATTAAACCTGTATATCAAACTATGAAGAATTGACTTTGTTTTTCTATTTTGAGTTTGCCGAGTCATGAATATGGTACATCCCTCCATTTATTTAGAACTTTAATTTCTTTCATCAGCATCGTATAATTTGCAGCATGCAAGTTCTATAGTTGTTTTGTTAGATTTACACCTAAGTATTTCATTTTTCTTAAGAACAATTGTAAATAGTATTATATTTACTATTTTGGTTTTCACAGTTTATTGTTAATATAGAGAAATACAAATAATTTTGTATGTCAATCTTATATCCTGTGACTAGAAATTTTGTTGTAGATTCCTTGGGATTTTCTATGCAGACTGTCATGTCATCTACAAATAGGGACAGTTTTATTTATTCCTTCCATATATGTGTGCCTTTTTCCTTTTCTTGCCTTATTGTGCTGGCTAGAATTTCTAGTATCAAATGAATAGCAGTGATGAGAGCAGACATATTTGCCTTTCTCATCCTAGAGTGAAATTATTACATCTTTCAAAATTGTGTTGTTAGCTGTAGGTTTATTTGATCATTTTTTATAGATGTTCTTTATTAAGAATGTTTTCTTCTATTACTAGCTTCCTCAGAGTTTTAATACTGCATGAGTGTTGAACTGTGTCAAATGTGCTCTTTCTGCATCAGTTGATATAATCACGTGATATTTTTTCTTCTTTAGCCTGTTGGTATGATTAACTTTAACTGAATTTTGGCTACTGAATCAGCCTTACGTCCCTGGAATAAACTTTATTTTGTCATGAACATACGAGTACATGTGTCTTTTTGTTAGACTGATTTATTTTCCTTTGGATATATACCCAGTGATGGGATTGCTGGGTCAAATAGTAGTTCTATTTTAAGTTCTCTGAGAAATCTCCAAACTGCTTTCCACAACAGCTGAACTAACTTAAATTCCCATGAACAAAGTATAAGCATTCCCTTTTCTCCACAGCCTCACCAGCATCTGTTTCTTTTGACTTTTTAATGATAGTCATTCTATTAGTAAATAGTTTAGATGGTGTCTCATTGTAGTTTTGATTTGCATTTCTCTGATGATTAGTGATGCTAAGCATTTTTCGTGTTTGTTGGCTACTTGTATGTCTTCTTTTGAGAAGTGTCTGTTCACATAGTTGCCCACTTTTTAACGCAGTTTTTTTTCTTGTTTATTTGCTTAAGTTTCTTACATATTTTGGATATTAGGCCTTTGTTAGATGCATAGAAAATATTTTCTCCCATTCTGTGAGCTGGCTGTTTATTCTGTTGATAATTTCTTTTGCTGTACAGAAGTTCTTTAGTTTAATTAGGCCCCGCTTGCCAATTTTGTGTTTGTTGCAATTGCTTTTGAGGACTTAGCCATAAATTCTCTGCCAAGGCTAATGTCCAGAAGGGTATTTCCTAGGTTTTTATATTTCTAGGTCTTACCTTTAAGTATTTAATCTATTTTGAGTTAATTTATATATTGTGAAAGTAGGGGCCTAGTTTCATTCTTCTGCATATGGCTAGCCAGTTATCCGAACACCATTTACTGAGTAGGGAGTCCTTTCTTCATTGCTTGTTTTTGTCAACTTTGTTGATGATCAGATGATTGTAGTTGTATGGCTTTATTTCTGCATTCTCTATTCTGTTCCACTGGTCTGTATGTCTGTTTTTGCATGAGCACCATGTTATTTTGCTTACTGTAACCTTATAGTATAGTTGGGTAATGTGATGCCTCCAGCTTTTTTCATTTTGCTTGGGATTGCTATGGCTATTTGGGCTCTCTTTTGGTTCCAAATTAATTTTAGAATAGTTTTTCTTAATTCTGTGAAAAGTAACATTGATAGTTTAATTGATAGGAATAGCATTTAATCTGTACATTACTTTGGGCAATATGGCCATTTTAACAATATTGATTCTTACTATCCATGAACATGGAATGTTGTTCCATTTGTTTGTATCATCTCTGATTTCTTTGAGAAGTAGTTTGTAATTCTTGTTGTAGAGATATTTCATCTCTCTGGTTAGCTGTATTCTTAGATATTTTATGTTTTTTGTGGCTATTAGAAATGGGATTACATTCTTGATTCTCAGCTTGAATATTATTTTAGTATAGATACACGACTGATTTCTATACACTGATTTTGTATTCTGAAACTTTAATGAAGTTGTTTATCAGTTCCAGGAACCTTTTGGCAGTCTTTAGAGTTTTCTAAGTATAGAATCATATTGTCAGAGAAGAGAGATAGTTTGACTTCTTTTCTGATTTGGATACATTTTATTTGTTCCTCTTGCCTGATTGCTTTGGCTAGGACTTCCAGTACTATGTTGAATAGGAATACTGAGAGTGAGCTTCCTTGTCTTGTTCCAGTTCTCAAAGGGAATGGTTCCAGCATGCCCATTCAATATGATGTTGGTTTTGGATTTGTCATATTTTGAGGTATGTTCTTTCAATGCCAGTTTGTTGAGGGTTTCTATCATAAAAGGATGTTGAATTTTATCGAAAGCTTTTTCTGCGTTTATTGAGATGATCATATGTTTTTTGTTATTAATTCTGTTCATGTAGTGAATAACAATGATCAATTTGTGTGTGGGGAAGCAACCTTGTATCCCAGGAATTAAGCATATTGATTGTAGTAAATTAACTTTTTGATATGCTGTTGTATTTACTTTGCTAGTATTTTGTTGAGGATTTTTGCGTCTATGTTCACCAGGAATATTGGCCTGTAGTTATATTTTTTATTGTGCTTTTGCCAGACGTTTGCATCAGGATGATGTTGGGTTTCTATAATGAGTTAGGGAGGAATTTTTTCTCTTTGATTTCTTGGAATAGTTTCAGTAGGATTGGTACCAGCTGTCTTTGTACGTCTGGTAGAATTCACCCATGAATCCATCTGGTCCAGGACTTTTTTTGGTTGATATGTTTGTTTATTATATTTTAATACTGATTCAATTTCAGAACTTTCACTATTGGTCTGTTCAGGTCTTAAAGGTCTTCCTGATTCATTCTTGGGAGGTTGTGTCTTTCCAGGAATTTATCCATTTCCTCTAGATTTTCTAGTTTCTGTGCATAGGGGTCTTCATAATAGTCTGTGAGGGTCCTCTCTAATTCTATGGGATTGGTTGTAATGTCACCTTTGTCATTTCTGATTGCGCATTTCTCTTTTTTTCTTTGTTAATCTAGCTAGCAGTACATCAATCTTGTTTATACTTTCAAAGAAACCACTTTTGGCCTTGTTGATCTTTTGTATGGATTTGGGGGTTTCTATTTCATTTTGTTCTGTTTGGATTTTAGTTATTTATTTTCTTCCACTAGTTTTGGGGTTAGTTTGTTCTTGTTTTTCTAGGTCCTGTAGGTGCAATGTTAGATTGTTGCCAGAGTTTTTGCACTGATTCCTTCTTATCTGAGGGGGCTGATATTTCTTTAGCTTTTTAAATTGCTGTCATTTAGATGGGACTTTTTGTTTTTTTTTATTCTTTTTTTTCCCTTGAGGGTTTAATTGTGGTGTATGCTGTGTCACTTGGCTTTATTTCTGGATGTTTTCAGAGGACGAAGGCCCTGTGTGGGCTCCTTAGTTGTGACTAAATTCCTGCATTAGGTTTCACAGGCTATGTGTGCTGAAGGCATTTATTTTTGTTTGGTGGTGTAACTCAGGCTGCAATATAGTAGACGACACTTAACAGTAAGAGCTGGTAGATAGGCTGTTACTCAGCTGCACACCTCTTTTGTACTTAAGTGTGTTTTAAGCAGTGATCTGGAGAGGGGTAGATGGGGTGGTGGTGAGAGACAACCCTTTCACCAAGTCCATTCCCAGGCCTCGGTGGAACCCCCAGCCAATGTCTGGTGCTGTGCTTGCATTTCCTTAGCCCCAAGAGTGGCCCTGGTGGGTTGTACTCCCTCCCAAATGTTAGGTCACCAAGAGACCCACAACTGGCCATGGGTCTGCTGGTCCTCTGAGCTTGGAAGAGTCAGACCGGGCTGTGGGGTATGTCTGCAGGTGGTCTGATGATGCAGTGGGTCAAGGGTGGAGAATCCCTAGGCAGAGGTGGTCGTGCCATGGGTGTACAGTTGGTGTGGTGTCCACAGCCTGAGATTTTTTGCCCAGCAGATGACTGTGGAGACCTCCCAGCTCACACTCTCTTGACTGGGTCTCCCTCCAGTGTATGTCCCAGGAATAGGCCCAATCAGCTAGTTTTGTCCCAAGTCCTATGCATCCAGATCCCTGGGCTATTCCAGGCCATGGCACTCTCTTGGGTAGAAGCTGCAGCTGACCAACAGGCTACACCCTTCGTGGACCAGTCTTGCAGAAGAAGGGATGCCCAGCCCCCATGCCAGCACACAAACCTGTGCCTTAGTCTTTTCAGTATTCTTGGGTTGGGGGCTCCTCCCTTGATCAAGCTCAGGGCACAGACTTCAGCTCAATATCCTTTGGCAGGATGCTTGAACCCTGGGGGTTTGAGACCTTTGGCAGGATGCTTGAACCCTGGGGGTTTGAGACTGGGTCCGTGGCTTCATCTTCTGGCCCTTCAGGGTTGAGCACTGGCAGTGCTGGGGGACTAAACTATTCCCAGGCTACTGACAAAACAGTCAGGTGGGGCAGCAGAGACTGTGCTGTGTGCAACCTCTTGTGGAAATGGCCAGGCAGGAGCCTTTGCAGGGGTTGGTGGACAAGGGGCACACAGATCTGATGTGCCCTGGTCCCATGGGATAGGCAGCCCTGCTCTCTCCCTGCTAGCAGTTAACAGGGACTAGACATACTCAGAGCAAGATGGAGAACCTTGGGGATGAGCACCTATGGTCGTGTTTTGCTGCAGCTTCCGCATGCACAAAATCTTCTGGGTTCCACGCGGTTTGAGCTCTGCATCTGCCTTTTTTCTAGGTAGTTCCCCTTGCCAACTCAAATGTCTATGGGATCATATCTCTTCTAGCTAAAATCTTAGAAGTTCATGTCAGAAGTGTGGTGCTCTGGAGTTCCTTCACTCACCCCTTCCTTAGGAACTGCTGAGGTTGAGTAGTCAGTCCTGGTACTTGATGACTCCATGCAGGCTTCCCGGCTTTCTTCTTCTTCAACCCTGAAGGGCAAGAGGATGAAGGCATGGACCCGGTCTTAAACCCCCAGGGTTTGAGCAACTGCCTAGGGATATTGAGCTGAGGTCTGTGCTTTTCTATCAACTTTCAGTGTTTTCTCTTAAAAGATCTGTTCAAAGTGTGATAGTTTACTTGATATTTTGGTTTCTGTCAGTAGGAGAGGTGTTTCCTGGATGTGTCTAGTCAGCCATCTTGTCCTATCTCCACAAAGTTTCTCTGCTGAGTTCCTGGTCTCAGGACACGAAATGGGAAATTCCCTGGTGGGTCTTCCAAAAGTTGGGTCTGATCACATATGGCCTCTGTACCTGCAGGCTTCAGGTATGGTGGGTCATTTCCAAACTTAGAAGTGATCTGTGCCAAGGCTCTGGAGGTTCACTGCAGAGATATCCTTTCTTTTTAGGGAATTACACTTAGGCATTCTTTTAGCGTTGTTACACTAGTGACAAATTCTCTTAGTTTTCTTCATCTTGACTTTACCTTCACCTTTATTCCTGAGGATATTTTCACAGAATGTAGGATTCTAGGTTGACAATTCTTATCTGTCAGAACATGGAAAATGTGCCACTTTTTTCCTGGCCTCCATAGTTTCTGATAAGCTCTTCTATCGATGAAATTGTTTGACCCTATAGAAAATGCATTGTTTTTCTCTGGCTATTTTCAGGACTTTTCTTTGTCTTTACTTTTCACATGTTTAATTATGCTGTATCTTGGTGTGGATTTCTTTAAGATTTCTCTGTTTGAGCTTCATTCAGCTTCTTGAATCTGTAGGTCATTTTGCTTTTGCCAAGTTCAAAAAAATTTCAGCCACTATGTCTTTGAATACTTTATTAACATAACTCTTTTTCTCCTCTCTTTCTAAGACTCTGATAACATAAATATTAGGTTTTTTAGTTATAGCCCTACAAGTCCCTGAGGATCTGTTCATTTTTTTTTAAGTCTATATCTCCTTGTCATTCAGATTGGGTAATTTCTATTCTTCTATTTTCAAATTTACTGATTATTTCCACCTTCTTCATTCTTTTGTTTTAAACCCCAACATACTTTGTTAAAATTTTTGCTTTAAATCATCAGTTATCTTCCAAAGAGAGAAAAATAATGAGAAAAGCATTTTATGTTTTCCCACATAATTACTATTTCCAGTGCTTTTCCTCCCTTTGTGTAGATACAGATTTCCATCTGATACAATTTTCCTTCTGTTTAAAATACTTCCTTTAACATCTCTCATAGTTCAATTCTGCTCTTGATGGATGATTTCAGGTTTTGTACATCAAAAAGGTAATTATTTCACCTTCACTTTTGAAACATATTTTCACTGCTTATAAGAGTCTAGGCTAACAGGGTTTTTTTTTTAATTCATTTGGTACCTGAGATATGTTGTTCCACTGTCTTCTGTCTTGCATTATTTCTAATGAGAAGTATGTTGTAGTTCTCATCTGTTACCCTCTATATAATGTAATTTTTTTCTCATGGGCTGCTTTCAAGAATTTTTAAAATCAATTATTTTCAATGATTTGATTATAATGTACCTGGATATTTCTTGGTGTTCATATTGCTTGTGCATGGGATTCATTCAGCTTCTTGGAACTGTTTATTTTTTTAGGTAGGCTAGTAAATCCAGTCCCTGACAGTCCACCTTGGTCAAAAGCAGAAGTCCTGCATTACTAATTTTTAGAGGTCTCCAGCCATTTCTTATGTGCAATTAGGGTTGAGAACCACATGGTGATAGACAGAAGTGGACAAATGTCAAAAACAATTATGAAGTAAAATGGCCAGACTTGATCATTGAGTGGAGGTGTGGAGGTGGATGGGAGGTAAAATGTGGTTAAAGAAAATGAAGATACAAATAGACTTCTTGCCTCAGTAACTGTGCATTGAGAAGGATGTTGAAATACAGAACTCTATCATCAATATAGTTTTAAGAAATGGAAAAAACTAAATTTGATAAACCTGAAATCTGTCCAAGCAGAGTCATTTTTTTAAGAAATTAGTCTAAAAATCAGAAGGCAAATACAAAGTGAAGGAATATATGTAAGTAGAATTCATATGCATGTAGATGATAGGAAAATTTATAGGGTGCACAATATCGGCAAAGAAGAATGTTCAGAGTGACACACTCTTAATCTTCAAGCTGCTATTCCTTTTGAGGAAACAGGAATTTGATGACTCAATGCCCAAGTAGATATTTAAACAATGAAATTGAGAAACTTATTATTTCTTTTACCTTTGTTATCTGTTTAAACTGTTTATCCATTTCAAAAGTTTGACTGAATGTAAAAAATATTTAAATTATTACACTAAAAAAGTAGGGATTTATGAGATATCAAGTAATCCTGGACCAACTTTTCTTTTCAAAGTAGGAAGACCTACCTTCATATAACTCATGAGGATATATAGATATTTAATTTTAAAATATGAAATCATCTACTTTTTCTAAGCCTATGATGAATTCTAGTTGGTGACATGTAAGAAAATTAATTCATTCTTGAAATTTTTGTAGCAGAATGGACCATAATGTGGAACTTTATATTTTTTGTGAGAAAACTAGTATGTTGGAATTTCTAGCAGTTTTGAGGGTAGACTTCAAGTCTCTTAATTGCAGATCTTTTTTAGCCTTGCTTTTTTTAATACCTGTGCAAGGAAAATAGCCCTAATGAAGTAAGAAGTCTCCCTGTAATGTAACTCTACGACAAGTTCTCTTTTTCTCTCTATTATAATTACCTTTCAACATCCTGAAGTCATCAGAAGAGTCTGGAGTTAGACTTGTGTTTGTGATGCTTAGGAGACTGGAGAAAGGAGTTCTTCCCAATTTTGGGGTGCAGAACTCAGAAAAATTGGGGTAAATGTCATCAAAATGTCTAGACATGATTGGTGAATAAGTTGCAGATGCAACAACCAGCATTGTTGCTTTTGGAAGAGTCCTCAGAAAGAGTGGGGAGAGAAAACGATTCCACGCAGTAATCATATTTGGAAAATCAAGAAAGGGAAAATCCCAGGAGGCTGGAAAACTTAGAGCACTGAGCTTACTTTTCAAAATCCTCTCAAAATGATGACTGTACAGTTCATCTTTGATTATCTGGCCATATAATTAATCAGTGTATCTTCCTGTAAAACAGCTGAGAAAAATAATAAACAAATAATAAACAAGTAAATGAAATAATAAGCTGCTCATACTTCCTTACCTTTAATTGCCCATAGTGCCCATGTTTTTGATTATAATGCATTTTGTTCAGGAAGGCTTATTGGCCTTTAGAACTGTTCATTCTTTGGGGATGTCAATACACACTTTTCTGGATTTTTAAATGATCTCCATTAGCTTTCAATCACCAGTGATTTTCTTCTTGGATCTTTGGAGGGGCAAAATTTGAATCTTTCCCAGCCTGCTATTGTAGAAAGGGCACAGGCACCAGAGGCAGACGAACCTAAATTCAAATTTCAGCTTAATGATCTTGGGCAAATCCATTTGACTTGACATTGACTTCATCGTCCGTCTGTTCTCATTTTAAGCATCTTTCTCAAGCTATTCTCTAAGATATCAGTCTGATACTCAAGGCAAATTAGAGATGTCTTTTCAAAGCACAGTTTTAATGTTTATGGCAAAAGTAAGGTGCTACATTATGGTGATAGTAACTTAAGTGTATACATTGGTTCACAGTCACCAAAATTTATACATTAATTATATGCAGTTTTTGACACATCAATTATACCTCAGTAAAGTTTGGAAGGAAAGACTAAGATGCTGGAGAAAGACTTTGGAATAGGAGGATGTCATAAAGCTCATTCTGTGGACCTAACAATTACTTTTTTAAAAAGTCTTACAGGAGGCTATCATCTTTAGCAAACTAACACAGGAACAGAAAATCAAATATCTCATGTTGTCACTTACAAATGGGAGCTAAATGATAAGAACTTATGAACACAAAGAAGGAAACAACAGACAGTGGGCTCTACTTGATGGGGGAGGGTGGGAGTAGGGAGAGGAGCGGAAAAGTTAATTGAACTTAATGCCTGGGTGATGTAATAATATGTACAACAAATCTCCATGACATGTTCATCTATGTAACAAACCTCCACATGTACTCCCAAACCTAAAATAAAAAAAATTTTTTAAAAGCCTTACAGGAAAAACAATTATCTGGTAATAAAATACAAACACTCTCTCTAAAGACTTCCTTTAAAAGTCTTCAAGGAAGTTTTTTTAAAAAAAGATATTTATCCATGCTTAAAAAAATATGAGCCTTAATTGAAAAACTGACAATTCTCTGACCTTAGTAAAATGTAACATCCTCCAAACAACTGGCATGGGAAAGTAAATAGTTTTTTTTTGTATCAGTGGATGGTTTAGCTTAGTAACAATATGGCTAAATAATTTCTGTAAAGCCTGAAGTGCCTGTTTTGAAATGTCTGAGATATTATTTGTTTGGTGGTAGATTGGGGGTGGGGTATATGGAAATCAGCTCTAAGGATGACATGACATTGTTAGTAATGAACGTATTTAAAATAGGACTCAGGCAAGGCTATTTGCAGAGCTGCCTGACTGGTGTGAATCTGCACAGACATATTTCTGGACTTCTGTTTGCAACTCATGGTAATTTACAGAGTAAATGGCTCAGGATGTGCAAAAGGGAACAACAGCCTATATAGATTTCAGGGGACTAAATGGAAATCTTCCTCCTTGACACAGGAAAATTGGCATGTGATGAATAGCTGATGGCTGGAATTTTATGCTCTTGCATAAAATTCAATTTAATTTTCTTTAGGTTTTAAATCAACTCATTGATAATGTGTTAAAATGAAGAAAAGGAAGCATTTAGCCTTTGGGAATGTATTTACCCTTCAGTAGATGCTATTTAATAGACAAGATTTAACTTGCTTGAAATATGAAATTACTTTCTATGACTACCATATTCACCATTACTGTAGAAATGAACACTAAAATGTTTGAATATGCACAAAGGATATCAAACAGGTGCATTTATTGAGTACCTGGTATGCCTCAGGCATTGTGATAAACAATTTAAATACATTATTTCATTTCATCTGTATTCCAGTTCTACTTACACTTAACTACCATTTCACCCTTAGGCAAATCATTTAAAGTCTCTGAATTTTTTTTGTTTTCTCATCCCTATAGTAGAAACTTTAATAAGTGTCTTGCTTTCTGGTTCACTAGTCTATGCATTCAATACATATTTACTGTGTACTTATTATATACCAGTAGTTGTACTAGATGCTGGGGATACAACAGTGAATAAGGCGTTTTCCTGCCCAGAGGTTATTTGGTTTTTTAAACATGATGTATGTAGAAATGTAAGTGTGTATTTTTTCCAACACTTATTAAAAAAATAACCTTTTAAGGTGGCACATCTAACAAGGTTGTTACAGAGATCAACTGAGGTAATGTCCAAGAAAAGTACTTGATAAGTGATAAAAGGATATAAACCTACTTTGATGAATATTGGAAAATGGAGTTAATATTAAATCAACAAATTCCTTATGGATAAAAAATACTTTCAGGCTAAAATTTAATATTAATCTCTGAAAAAGTGTAGTTATGATTTCATTAACGTGAACTGCAAATTATTGCTGGGATAATTGAAACGAGTCTAATATTCATGAAAAACTGCTGCTCAGTAAGAGTATAATGTGGGATGGGGGTGGAGCCAAGATGGCCGAATAGGAACAGCTCCAGTCTACAGCTCCCAGTATGAGTGATGCAGAAGATGGGTGATTTCTGCATTTCCATCTGAGGTACCAGGTTCATCTCACTAGGGAGTGCCAGACAGTGGGTGCAGGACAGTGGGTGCAGTGCACCGTGCACAAGCTGAAGCAGGTTGAGGCATTGCCTCACTTGGGAAGTGCAAGGGGTCAGGGAGTTCCCTTTCCTAGTCAAAGAAAGGAGTGACAGATGGCACCTGGAAAATCGGGTCACTCCCACCCTAATACTGCGCTTTTCCAACGGGCTTAAAAAACGGCACACCAGGAGATTATATCCTGCAACTGGCTCAGAGGGTCCTACCCCCACAGAGCCTCGCTGATTGCTAGCACAGCAGTCTGAGATCAAACTGCAAGGAGGCAGCAAGGCTGGGGGAGGGGCGCCTGCCATTGCTCAGGCTTGATTAGGTAAGCAAAGCAGCCGGGAAGCTAGAACTGGGTGGAGCCCACCACAGCTCAATGAGGCCTGCCTGCCTCTGTAGGCTCCACCTCTGTGGGCAGGGCACAGACAAACAAAAAGACAGCATTAACCTCTGCAGACTTAAATGTCCCTGTCTGACAGCTTTGAAGAGAGTAGTGGTTCTCCCAGCACATAGCTGGAGATCTGAGAACGGGCAGACTGCCTCCTCAAGTGGGTCCCTGACCCCCGAGCAGCCTAACTGGGAGGCACCCCCCAGTAGGGGCAGACTGACACCTCACACAGCCAGTACTCCTCCGAGACAAAACTTCCAGAGGAACAATCAGGCAGCAGCATTTGCGGTTCACCAAAATCCATTGTTCAACAGCCACCGCTGTTCTGCAGCCACCACTGCTGATACCCAGGCAAACAGGGTCTGGAGTGGACCTCTAACAAACTCCAACAGAACTGCAGCTGAGGGTCCTGTCTGTTAGAAGGAAAACTAACAAACAGAAAGGACATCCACACCAAAAACCCATCTGTACGTCACCATCATCAAAGACCAAAAGTAGATAAAATCACAAAGATGGGGAAAAAACAGAGCAGAAAAACTGGAAACTCTAAAAAGCAGAGCACCTCTCCTCCTCCAAAGGAACGCAGTTCCTCACCAGCAATGGAACCTCACCAGCAATGGAACAAAGCTGGACGGAGAATGAATTCGACCATTTGAGAGAAGAAGGCTTCAGATGATCAAACTACTCCGAGCTACAGGAGGAAATTCAAACCAATGGCAAAGAAGTTAAAAACTTTGAAAAAAAATTAGACGAATGGCTAACTAGAATAACCAATACAGAGAAGTCCTTAAAGGACATGATGGAGCTGAAAGCCAAGGCTCGAGAACTACGTGAAGAATGCAGAAGCCTCAGGAGCCGATGCGATCAACTGGAAGAAAGGGTATCAGTGATGGAAAACGAAATTAACGAAATGAAGTGAGAAGGGAAGTTTAGAGAAAAAAGAATAAAAAGAAATGAACAAAGCCTCCAAGAAATATGGGACTATGTGAAAAGACCAAATCTACGTCTGATTGGTGTACCTGAAAGTGATGGGGAGAATGGAACCAAGTTGGAAAACACTCTGCAGGATATTATCCAGGAGAACTTCCCCAATCTAGCAAGGCAGGCCAACATTCAGATTCAGGACATACAGAGAACGCCACAAAGGTACTCCTCAAGAAGAGCAACTCCAAGACACATAATTGTCAGATTCACCAAAGTTGAAATGAAGGAAAAAATGTTAAGGGCAGCCAGAGAGAAAGGTCGGGTTACCCACAAAGGGAAGCCCATCAGACTAACAGCGGATCTCTCGGCAGAAACTCTACAAGCCAGAAGAGAGTGGGGGCCAATATTCAACATTCTTAAAGAAAAGAATTTTCCACCCAGAATTTCATATCCAGCCAAACTAAGCTTCATAAGTGAAGGAGAAATAAAATCCTTTACACACAAGCAAATGCTGAGAGATTTTCACCACCAGGCCTGCCCTAAAAGAGCTCCTGAAGGAAGCACTAAACATGGAAAGGAACAATCGGTACCAGCCACTGCAAAAACATGCCAAATTATAAAGACTATCAAGGCTAGGAAGAAACTGCATCAACTAAAGAGCAAAATAAGCAGCTAACATCATAATGACAGGATCAAATTCACACATAACAATATTAACTTTAAATGTAAATGGGCTAAATACTCCACTTAAAAGACACAGACTGGCAAATTGGATAAAGAGTCAAGAACCATCAGTGTGCTGTATTCAGGAAACCCATCTCACGTGCAGAGACACACATAGGCTCAAAATAAAGGGATGGAGGAAGATCTACCAAGCAAATGGAAAACAAAAAAAGGCAGGGGTTGCAATCCTAGTCTCTGATAAAACAGACTTTAAACCAACAAAGATCAAAAGAGACAAAGAAGACCATTACATAATAGTAAAGGGATCAATTCAACAAGAAGAGCTAACTATCCTAAATATATATGCACCCAATACAGGAGCACCCAAATTCATAAAGCAAGTCCTGAGTGACCTACAAAGAGACTTAGACTCCCACACAATAATAATGGGAGACTTTAACACCCCACTGTCAACATTAGACAGATCAATGAGACAGAAAGTTAACAAGGATACCCAGGAATTGAACTCAGCTCTGCACCAAGTGGACCTAATAGACATCTACAGAACTCTCCACCCCAAATCAACAGAATACACATTTTTTTCAGCATCACACCACACCTATTCCAAAATTGACCACATAGTTGGAAGTAAAGCTCTCCTCAGCAAATGTAAAAGAACAGAAATTATAACAAACTGTCTCTCAGACCACAGTGCAATCAAACTAGAACCCAGGATTAAGAAACTCACTCAAAACTGCTCAACTACATGGAAACTGAACAACCTGCTCCTGAATGACTACTGGGTACATAACGAAATGAAGGCAGAAATAAAGATGTTCTTTGAAACCAATGAGAACAAAGAAACAACATACCAGAATCTCTGGGACACATTCAAAGCAGTGTGTAGAGGGAAATTTATAGCACTAAATGCCCACAAGAGAAAGCAGGAAAGATCCAAAATTGACACCCTAACATCACAATTAAAAGAACTAGAAAAGCAAGAGCAAACACATTCAAAAGCTAGCAGAAGGCAAGAAATAACTAAGATCAGAGCAGAACTGAAGGAAATAGAGACACAAAAAACCCTTCAAAAAATCAATGAATCCAGGAGCTGGTTTTTTGAGAAGATCAACAAAATTGATAGACTGCTAGCAAGACTAATAAAGGAGAAAAGAGAGAAGAATCAAATAGACGCAATAAAAAATGATAAAGGGGATATCACCACCGATCCCACAGAAATACAAACTACCATCAGAGAATACTACAAACACCTCTACACAAATAAACTAGAAAATCTGGAAGAAATGGATAAATTCCTCGACACATACCTCCTCCCAAGACTAAACCAGGAAGAAGTTGAATCTCTGAATTGACCAATAACAGGCTCTGAAATTGAGGCAATAATCAATAGCTTACCAACGAAAAAAAGTCCAGGACCAGATGGATTCACAGCCGAATTCTACCAGAGGTACAAGGAGGAGCTGGTACCATTCCTTCTGAAACTATTCCAATCAATAGAAAAAGAGGGACTCCTCCCTAACTCATTTTATGAGGCCAGCATCATCCTGATACCAAAGCCGGGCAGAGACACAACCAAAAAAGAGAATTTTAGACCAATATCCTTGATGAACATTGATGCAAAAATCCTCAATAAAATATTGGCAAACAAAATCCAGCAGTACATCAAAAAGCTTCTCCACCATGATCAAGTGGGCTTCATCCCTGGGATGCAAGGCTGGTTCAACATATGCAAATCAATAAATGTAATCCAGTGTATAAACAGAACCAAAGACAAAAACCACATGATTATCTCAATAGATGCAGAAAAGGCCTTTGACAAAATTCAACAACGCTTCATGCTAAAAACTCTCAATAAATTAGCTATTGATGGGACATATCTCAAAATAATAAGAGCTAGCTATGACAAACCCACAGCCAATATCATACTGAATGGGCAAAAACTGGAAGCATTCCCTTTGAAAACTGGCACAAGACAGGGATGCCCTCTCTCACCACTCCTAGTCAACATAGTGTTGGAAGTTCTGGCCAGGGCACTTAGGCAGGAGAAGAAAATAAAGGGCATTCAATTAGGAAAAGAGGAAGTCAAATTGTCCCTGTTTGCAGATGACATGACTGTATATCTAGAAAACCCCATTGTCTCAGCCCAAAATCTCCTTAAGCTGATAAGCAACTTCATCAAAGTCTCAGGATACAAAATCAATGTACAAAAATCACAAGCATTCTTATACACCAATAACAGACAAACAGAGAGTCAAATCATGAGTGAACTCCCATTCACAATTGCTTCAAAGAGAATAAAATACCTAGGAACCCAACTTACAAGGGATGTGAAGGACCTCTTCAAGGAGAACTACAAACCACTGCTCAATGAAATAAAAGAGGATACAAACAAATGGAAGAACATTCCATGCTCATGGGTAGGAAGAATCAATATCGTGAAAATGGCCATACTGCCCAAGGTAGTTTATAGATTCAATGCCATCCCCATCAAGCTACCAATGACTTTCTTCACAGAATTGGAAAAAACTACTTCAAAGTTCATATGGAACCAAAAAGGAGCCCGCATCACCAAGTCAATCCTAAGCCAAAAGAACAAAGCCGGAGGCATCTCGCTACCTGACTTCAAACTATACTACAAGGCTACAGTAACCAAAACAGCATGGTACTGGTACCAAAACAGAGATATAGATCAATGGAACAGAACAGAGCCCTCAGAAATAATGCCGCACATCTACAACCATCTGATCTTTGACAAACCTGACAAAAGCAAGCAATAGGGAAAGGATTCCCTATTTAATAAATGGTGCTGGGAAAACTGGCTAGTCATATGGAGAAAGCTGAAACTGGATCCCTTCCTTACACCCTATACAAAAATTAATTCAAGATGGATTAAAGACTTAAATGTTAGACCTAAAACCATAAAAACCCTAGAAGAAAACCTAGGCAATACCATTCAGGACATAGGCATGGGCAAGGACTTCATGTCTAAAGAATCAAAAGCAATGGCAACAAAAGCCAAAATTGACAAATGGGATCTAATTAAACTAAAGAGCTTCTGCACAGCAAAAGAAACTACCATCAGGGTGAGCAGGCAACCTACAAAATGCAGAAAATTTTCGCAACCTACTCATCTGACAAAGGGCTAATACCCAGAATCTACAATGAACTCAAAAATATTTACAAGAAAAAAACAAACAACCCCATTAAAACGTGGGCAAAGGATATGAACAGACACTTCTCAAAAGAAGACATTTATGCAGCCAAAAAACACATGAAAAAATGCTCATCATCACTGGCCATCAGAGAAATGCAAATCAAAACCACAATGAGATACCATCTCACACCAGTTCGAATGGTGATCATTAAAAAATCAGGAAACAACACGTGCTGGAGAGGATGTGGAGAAATAGGAACACTTTTACACTGTTGGTGGGACTGTAAACTAGTTCAACCATTGTGGAAGTCAGTGTGGTGATTCCTCAGGGATCTAGAACTAGAAATACCATTTGACCCAGCCAACCCATTACTGGGTAGATACCCAAAGGACTATAAATCATGCTGCTATAAAGACACATGCACATGTATATTTATTGCGGCACTATTCACAATAGCAAAGACTTGGAACCTACCCAAATGTCCAACAACGATAGATTTGATTAAGAAAACGTGGCACATGTACATCATGGAATATGATGCAGCCATAAAAAATGATGAATTCATGGCCTTTGTAGGGACATGGATGAAACTGGAAACCATCATTCTCAGCAAACTATCACAAGGACAAAAAACCAAACACCGCATGTTCTCACTCATAGGTGGGAACTGAACAATGAGAACACATGGACACAGGATGGGGAACATCACACTCCGGGGACTGTTGTGGGGTGGGGGGAGGGGGGAGGGATAGCATTAGGAGATATACCTAATGCTAAATGATGAGTTAATGGGTGCAGCACACCAACATGGCACATGTATACATACGTAACAAACCTGCACATTGTGCACATGTACCCTAAAACTTAAAGTATAATAATGATAAATTTAAAAAAAAAGAGATAGGAAAAGAAACAGACACACAGGGAGGAAGGCCATGTGAAGAAGGAAGTAGAGATTGGAGCTGTGCTGCCACAAGCCAAGGAAGGCCAGGAGCCACCAACAGCGGGAACAGGCAAGGAAGCGTTCTCCCCCAGTGCCGTCACAGAGAGCATGGCCCCACAACACCTTCATTTTGGACTTTTGGCCTTTGGAACGATGAGAGAATACATTTCCTATTTTTTTAAAAAAAGAAATTAAAAAAATCTTATTGTTAAATTTAGAATATCAAAAATCATAACATATTTTGATCTGTAATCACAAAGCTCAAACTCAGTGTCCCTCCTTCCCCATCTTCCTAGTGTTTAATATATGTTTAAATTTAAAAAAAAAGAGTATAATGTGGGATGATGTTAACATGATGGTCTCTCCTTTACAAACAGACTTGTCATGCTAGTTGAAGATACCATCAAAGTGAAGAAGTTTATGTATAATTTGGCTGAAAACATTTTTTATTGAAGGAGAGCTAATAATGCTGTATGTCAAACTCACAAGTTTGTGAAAAGGAACTTCTGAGTTGGAAGATGTACTACCAAATATATAGATTAATTCATTCATTACTTCATTCATTCTATAATAAACCTCTTCAGTCCCAAAATAATTTGGAGCCCAAGAACTGACCTCTTTAAATTCCTTAATCACCCCCTTGCAGGTAAAGGAAGGTCATGAAGGCTGGGGATAGTTAGAAGATACAGAAAAATGAGATTATCTTTTATAGTTTCTTAGTAGAAACTAGATTTTTGGTTTTCCTTTGTTTTGGACTTTCTCCCATTTCGGTTTTCTTAATTGTCACAGACAGATTGTTTTCTGTTGTTTGAGTTTTAACAGTTGGTGTTCCTGATTTTTGCCCTTGACACATAATACTGGGGAACAGGAGTAAACAGCGCAATTTTCTCCAAAGCTGAAAAATTTTTGCAAATTTTTCCCTTTCATGTACTGAATTCTACTTGAGATAAGCCTGATTAATCCATCGTAAAATAGCTATAAGTTAAAGCAGGGAATATCAAACTATGGCTCACAGGCCAAATCCAGCTAATAGCTTGTTTCTTTAAAGTTTGTTAGAACATGGCCAGGCCCATTCATTTAAATATCATCTATGGCTGCTTTCATATTACAACAGCAGGGTCAACTAATTGCAACAAAGATTGTATGGCCTGCAAAGTTGAAAATCTTTACTTTATAACCCTTTAGAGAAAAAATTTGCCAATAGCTGAGCTAAAGCATTAACTAACTTTAAATATACATATATGATCATTTTACAGATATATATTGACTTACAACACTTATTTGACCATGGTAATTAATTATATCTTAAATTTTTAAATAAAGTTATTTGTGAGGATTTAAAATATTCTAAGTGGGCTTTTCCTTCACAGGCAGAATTCTATCAAGTCTTCCCTCCCCCAACTTTTCACACCATCTCTAAAGCAGCAGGGAGTGCTGGTTATTTAAACATCTTAATTATAGTACTAAAGAAAGAAGTCATGATCATTTATCTCCCAGCTGTTCAACAAAATCATTGTCTTTTCAACAAAAATACTAAAGTAATCTCTACAGAGTGATATAAAATAGCTGCTGCATGATATCATAAAATTAAATTATATATTCCATAATTTTAACATAACTCAACTTAAAGTTTGATATGGATACTGTGCCTTAAATTTGGAAACCCTAAATCTTATAAGGAAAAGGATAATTCTAATTAATAGAATGTAATTATGAAATTTTCAAATATAATCACAAACTATTCTGGGTAAAAAATATAGCGCTATTCAGTGCTTTCAAAAGGAGAAGTGTCAGATCCTGCTGTTCAGACTATAGCTACTCTGCAGATACTAATTTAATATGGCAAATGAAGAAGTGATTTCTTTTTAAAATGAGGATAATATACTTACCAAGTGATTCAATGAGTCACATCACCACTTAGTTTAGGTAATTTGCCAAGTGACTATGCCATTTGTTCGCAGGGATAGCGGGGAGACTCCCTTTGTTCTGAAATATTTTCTTATGTACCTGTGAACCTTACTGTAGGTACACAGAGGGTAGATGCTGTCCTGAACAACGTGAGACATCTGGCTGACTTTGGTCAAATATGTTTGCTCAGTTATCCTCCTACATCAATAACTTGTTCTTCTTTGCCTCCTTCAACTGTTTCTTTTCCTTCTCTCTTCTCCTAAAGGTAGGCATTCTCCAAAGTGCTTTATTAGCTCTTCTTCATTGTCTAAAAACTTTTTATTTTCATATAAATTTAAACCTAAACAGAAAAGTTGCAAAAATCATACAAGGAATTTCCATATACCCTTAGTCAAGATTCACCAATTATTTGCATTTTGCTCCATTTGTTTTATCACTGTCTCTCTCTCTCTGTGTCTTTGTCTTTCTCTCTCTCTCTCTCCCTGCGTATGTGTGTGTGCATAGTATTATTTTTTGAACCATTTAATAGTAAGTTAAAGACAATGTGCCCCTTTACCCCTATATACTTCAGAATGTATGTTCTAAGAACTAATTCCTTCTTTTACATAACTATACCATAGTTATCAAAATTAGGACATTCAACATTAACGTAATAATATTTTCTATCCAAAGCTCATATCCAAATTTTATCAGTTATTCCAATAATGTTCTTTATAGCTATGTTTTTCCAGTGTAGGATCTCGAACTAAATCATGTGTTATATTAACCATTATGCCTCTAATTTCTTTTAACTGGTATAGTTTTTCTGTTTTACTTTGTATTTTTGACCCGAGCACTTTGGAAGAGTATAGGAAAGCTATTTTATAGACTGTCCCTCAAGTTGGGTTTGTCTAGTGTTTTCTCAGCAGCCATTCTTTTATTCCTTTCTAAGCAACTTTTCCAGATCTCACCCAATTTTCTAGCTTCAACTTCTTATCTATATCACCAATTTTCTTGTCTTCCCTTGTCTTAACCAAGGCATATCATTGTTTCTACTTCTGACAACGCAACAAAGCAGCTAACTTGAAAAAAATTTAATGAAAACTACCTAAAATAAAATATCTTGACATGCTGGGAGAAAACATTGTTTTAAATGCATAGTTGAGTCCACTAGAAAGTAACAAAAACCTCATAAGACAAAAAACTCAGTGATAACCAGAAACTAGAGTGGGAAACTGATGCTGAAGCTGAAGCTCTGGCTACCTGAGACGCCTTTTGGGACCTGAATTGATAATCCTCAATAATTCTTTTTAAAAGTACACGATAAAGGAAGGGGTGAAATGGAAACAAATATCTACCAGCAAAAGAAGATGACAAAGAAATCTGTTTACAGTGAAACTGACTTGGGCTCTGGATTTTAAAAAAAAAGTCAAAAAACCCTCTTCCTTGAGAATTTGAGAGCATAGATTTGTTTCTTTCAGAATTGGAGTTTGAATTTATACAAGTTACGTATTTTAGGAAGTCCCAAATACATCTAAGAAATTTAAGTGATTCTGAGTTTGCTTGGCAGAAGAAAATGTAAACCTTTTCAGAAGGGTCACACTTCAGTCTTCACAGAATTCTCTTAGATAAAATCCAATAAAATAGAAGCTCACAATCCAAAGTTAGAAAATGCCTAGGGAAAAAAACTGCTATGAGTAAGAATCAGCAGAATTAGAACCCCCCAAAAATGAGATAGAATTACTAGCCATATACCACAAAATAAGTACATTTAAAGTGATTAAAGAATGAGAAAATAGACGTGATAACACGGCCCAGTATAAAATATTCCCACACAGATTAACAACACCTAAATGTTACTTGGAGGAATAAAAAATATAGTTGCTGAAATAAACAAAACTCAGTGGATGGTTTAAATGGTAGAACAGATTCAGCTGAAGAGAGACAAGGAAGAATTATCGAGGTGTAGCATAGAGATGTAGACATGGCAAACATAAAAAAGACCGAGAAATAGAGAATAGAATAAGACCTTACATATTTTCAACAATAACAATGGATTAAGATCTGTATGCTGAGAAAAAATAACTGTCAATCTGGAATTGTAACATATGATACATGATTTTTTAAGAAAAAAAAGTGAACTAAATATTTTTTCAGACAAACCTGAGAGCTTACCAACAAAAAACCTTTATTAAAAGAACTTCTAAAGCACATGCTTTAAGAAGGACAATCATCTCAAAGAAAGGACTGAATGCAAAAAGAATAGTGAGCAAAGGAATTGGAAGACATATGGGTATGCTGGAAAACAATCATTGAATAATGATAGCCTTAACTTGAATACATCCTGACTTGTCCAAGTTGAACACACTGATTTACTTCTACAGCCTCCTGAAACTCCACTAAAACAAATATAAAGAATTTTTTTAAATACTTGAGTGCATAAGGACAATGCAAACAAAGAATAGAGATAGCAATTATGGAAGATGGAAAGAAAGCAGAGGAATAAATATTAACTTATTTAGTAGACCTAGGAGAGCTGAATCTTGAGCCTTGAGAAATCTGATTTTTATCACAGAACCCTGAATTGGAGGGGTCAGTTACCTGTGGAAGTAGAGGGGCATGTAGAGTTCATAATTAGAACTACTTTGGGAATTAAAACCAAATAAAACTAAAATACTTTGGAAAATAACATGTAAGAAGATAAGAGTTGAATGGAATTAAAATGATCTTCTACAAAATGAGATATTAAATTTAGTCTTTGTAAACAACGTGTGTTAAAATATTAAGGAATGGAGATAAAAATGTATAACTTCTGAGCCAGTGGAAAATGAAAACTAAATTTATAAAATGCACATGTATATAATATATATTTAAAATAGATATAGGTATAGGCATCAATGAAATAGATGTAGATATAATAGGTATAGATACAGATAAGCTCTGCTATCACAGAGTCAGGGGTTGTCCTACAAGATCTGATATTCAAATCATACTCAAATTTCTCATTAACCAGTAAACTCTAAGTTTTCTTTTTCACCTGGGATAAGGGTAGATTCAGTGGATTATTGCCATCATTTTTATAATGATAATAATAGCAACTAGTTGTAATAGTCTAAATTGCTTCAAAGGAAGAATAATTGGAAGAACTGTATAATAGGAATAATAGTAAAAATACTGCTGAATTAAGCCACAAGCTCAGTCTAGACCCTATTGAGATTAGATTACATTTGAATAAAAAATAGACATCAAATGAACCATGCCCTGTATGTTCAGCCTCTTCTTGAAATCAAAGATGTTCATTGTTGTTTTGTCATTAGATGTTATGGTACAACAAAATCCTATCAAATGGTGAAGTTATTTCTAGGACAATCCATTAAATTATTCATTGTAGTTTTAAGTCAGATTTCAGAATTGTGAAGAAAAGCATTGGAAGGGGATGTTCCATGTATTTTTAATACTGAATCCATAGAAACCAGAATATTTTATGATAAAACCTACTAGCAAGATAGGAAGCTGCTTTTGAACTTTTCTTTCCTTTTATTTCTTTTGTTTTAATGGATTAAATGCTGAAAACAGAAGCTGAAACAGTAAGTTTAGGAGTACCAAACAAAGATGTATTATATTCCTAGGATAATGTGAACATAAAAAAATTGCATCATTTTCCATTTGAAAATAGCCTAAAATATAAAACCAAATTGAACAATAATTTGTCAGAAGGGGAACAGGTTGCACTTTATGATATTGGTCTCTTTTTCATGAAGATTCTGACTACATGTCACTCTATATGGTTTCCATATGTGGCATGGATCTTATCATATAGCTACTATTCATACAGTTTTACTTAGAAGAGTGATTCTCAACCCTGGTTGCACATTGGAATTACTTGGGATGCTTTAGAAAATACTGATGCCTGGGATCCACTCCCACAGATTCTGATGTAATTGGTCTAGAGAGCAATGTGAGCATTGGGCTTTTTAATTTCCAAGTGTTTCTAATATGTAGCCAAGCCTGAGAACCACTGAGGTAGAGGATTCAACTTAGGCTTCTTACAGCTTTCGAACCCCTGGGTTTCTAAGGGCTTCCTAAAATCAAAGGCCATTTCTCTGGTTAAAACTAATAATGTTGAACAAAGGATCTCCTTTTTAAAATTTCTTTTAAAGTTAGTGAAGCCTGTAACTCATCTCTCTCTTAGCCTCTTCTTGTTTCCCACCCACTCTACTTTCCCGACCATTTGAATATTTGCTGTGATCCCAGGCAGCACAAAGGGTGGACACCCAGCCCCACTTCCCTCACCATGACTCATCCTAAAAGCTGTTTGCCGAATGAGGCTCTGGTTTTTGTTTCAGACTTCATGTAAGGGCATCCACAACCCTACACAACAATGCCTGTTCTTGCTCAACTCCCCCTCAGTCCCCGCCCAACCTCCTACTCTCTATTCAAAACCCAGCCAGAAGAAAAACAAGGCATTTGTCCCCAGCAGTTTGCAAACCAGTCATGCTTTTCCAACATACACAGGGTTACCATTCAGCAACCCAGGATTCTTGAAACTAATTCCCTAGGCATTCATCAAATACACTTGTAGCCCTCCAAAGACATTAGGAATTTTCAGCCTCTGTGATACGTAGACTGTGGATGGGATTGGCCTTTCACGATGCTTATAAAGGAAGGACTTCCAAACCTCCCAAATCTACAGGACAGCAGATAGAGGCCCCTTTTAGAAATATTCATAGGCATTTGCCCTAAACTTTTCAATGGGAGCTCAATTTGGCTGTGTTTTGGGCACAGATGTATGTTTACTGGTCAGCTACAGGGGAAAGTAGCATGGTAAGGGTTTGGGACAGGGAAGTAGAGCTAGATCTGTCCAGTGGACTGTGGTGAGGACTAAAGAAGAAAGTACACCGACAGGTGAGCTCCAGAACTAGAGGGTGGCTAAGAGACAGTAGATGGTAGTCCCTGCCTGACATGAGAACCATGGAGGAAGGAGAGGAGCTGACAGATTTCTGAGGCACAGTGAAGAGGAATCCAGCATTAACAATCTTCTGAAATCCAAGTGATATGGTTTGGCCGTGTGTCGCCACCCAAATCTTATCTCAAATTGTAATTCCCAGGTGTTGAGGGAGGGACCTGGTGGGAGGTGATTGGATCTTGGGGGCAGTTTCCCCCATGCTGCCATCGTGATAGTCAGGGAGTTCTCACAAGATCTGATGGCTTAAAAAATGGCAGTTTCCCCTCCGCTCTCTTTCTCTCTCTCTCTCCTGCCACCATGTCAGATGTGCCTTGCTTCCTCTTTGGCTTCCACCATGATTGTAAGTTTCCTGAGGTCTCCCCAGCTATGTGGATCTGTGAGTCAATTAAACCTCTTTTGTTTATAAATTGTGCAGTCTCAGGTAGTATCTTTTTTTTATTATTATACTTTAAGTTCTGGGGTACATGTGCACAACGTGCAGGTTTGTTACATATGTATACATGTGCCATGTTGGTGTGCTGCACCCATTAAATCGTCATTTACATTAGGTATATCTCCTAATGATATCCCTCCCCGCTCCCCCCACCCCACAACAGGCCCCAGAGTGTGATGTTCCCCATCCTGTGTCCATGTGTTCTCATTAGTCAATTCCCACCTATGAGTGAGAACATGTGGTGTTTGCTTTTTTGTCCTTGCGATAGTTTGCTGAGAATGATGGTTTCCAGCTTCATCCATGTCCCTACAAAGGACATGAACTCATCATTTTTTATGGCTGCATGGTATTCCATGGTGTATATATGCCACATTTTCTTAATCCAGTCTATCATTGTTGGACATTTGGGTTGGGTCCAAGTCTTTGCTATTGTGAATAGTGCCGCAATAAACATATGTGTGCATATGTCTTTATAGCATCATGATTTATAATCTTTTGGATATATACCCAGTAATGCGATGGCTGGGTCAAATGGTATTTCTAGTTCTAGATCCCTGAGGAATCACCACACTGTCTTCCACAATGGTTGAACTAGTTTACAGTCCCACCAACAGTGTAAAAGTGTTCCTATTTCTCCACATCCTCTCCAGCACCTGTTGTTTCCTGACTTTTTAATGATCACCATTAGAACTGGTGTGAGATGTTATCTCATTGTGGTTTTGATTTGCATTTCTCTGATGGCCAGTGATGATGAGCATTTTTTAATGTGTCTTTTGGCTGCATAAATGTCTTCTTTTGAGAAGTGTCTGTTCATATCCTTTGCCCACTTGTCATACTGAATGAGCAAAAACTGGAAGCATTGGAAGCATTCCGTTTGAAAACTGACACAAGACAGGGATGCCCTCTCTCACCACTCCTAGTCAACATAGTGTTGGAAGTTCTGGCCAGGGCAATTAGGCAGGAGAAAGAAATAAAGGGTATTCAATTAGGAAAAGGGGAAGTCAAATTGTCCCTGTTTGCAGATGACATGATTGTATATCTAGAAAACTCCATCGTCTCAGCCCAAAATCTCCTTAAGCTGATAAGCAACTTCAGCAAAGTCTCAGGATACAAAATCAATGTGCAAAAATCACAAGCATTCTTATACACCAATAACAGACAAACAGAGAGCCAAATCATGAGTGAACTCCCATTCACAATTGCTTCAAAGAGAATAGAATACCTAGGAATCCAACTTACAAGGGATGTGAAAGACCTCTTCAAGGAGAACTACAAACCACTGCTCAATGAAATAAAAGAAGATACAAACAAATGGAAGAACATTCCATGCTCACGGGTAGGAAGAATCAATATCGTGAAAATGGCCATACTGCCCAAGGTAATTTATAGATTCAATGCCATCCCTATCAAGCTACCAATGACTTTCTTCACAGAATTGGAAAAAACTACTTTAAAGTTCATGTGGAACCAAAAAAGAGCCCACACTGCTAAGTCAATCCTAAGCCAAAATCACAAAGCTGGAGGCATCACGCTACCTGACTTCAAACTATACTACAAGGCTACAGTAACCAAAACAGCATGGCTCAGGTAGTATCTTTATAGCAGTGTGAAAATGGACTAACACAGACAACTGGTACTGGGAGTGGGGTACTGCTATAAAGATCACCTGAAAATGTAGAAGTCACTTTGGAATTGAGTAACAGGCAGAGGTTGGAACAGTTTGGAGAGCTCAGAAGAAGAAGGAAGATGTGGGAAAGTTTGGAACTTTCAAGAGCCTTGTTGAATGGTTTTGACCAAAATGCTGATAGTGATACAGACAATGAAGTCCAGGCAGAGGTGGTCTCAGATGGAGATGAGGAACTTATTAGGAATTAGAGTAAAAGTCACTCATGCTATGCTTTAGCAAAGAGACTGGCAGCATTTGCTCCTGCCCTAGTGATCTGTGGAACTTTGAACTTGAGAGAGATGATTTAAGGTATCTGGCCAAAGAAATTTCTAAGCAGCAAAGTGTTCACATGTGACCTGGATGATTCTGAAAGCATTCAGTCATATGCATTCACAAAGAGATTATCTGAAACTGGAATTTTTATTTAAAAGGGAAGCATAACATAAAAGTTTGGAAAATTTGCAGCCTGACCATAAAGTGGAAAAGAAAAACCCATTTACTGGGAAGGAATTCAAGCCGGCTACAGAAATTTGCACAAGTAACAAGGAGCTGAATGTTATAATAATAACCAAAACAATTGGGAAAATCTCTCCAGGGCATGTCTGTCAGAGATCTTGGCAGCAGTCCCTCTCATCACAGGCCTGGAGGCCTAGGAGGGAAAAATGGTTTCATGGGCGGGGCCACTGCCCTGTGCAGCCTTGGGACATGGCACCCTTCATCCCGGCAGCACCAGCTCCAGCTGTGGCTAAAAGGGGCAAGGTACACCTCAGGTCATGGCTTTGGAGGGGGAAAGCCACAAGCCTTGGCAGCTTCCACATGGTGTTAGGCCTGCAGGAACATGGAAGACAAGAGTTGAGCTCTGGGAGCCTCTGCCTAGATTTCAGAGGATGTATGGAAATGCCTGGATGTCCAGGCAGAAGTCTGCTGCAGGAGCAGAGCCCTCATGGAAAACCTCTACTAGGGCCATGCAGAGGAGAAATGTGAGGTAGAAGCCCCCCACAGAGTCCCCACTGCCTATTGGAGCCGTAAGAAGAGAGCCACCATCCTCCAGACCCCTGAATGGTAGATCCACGACAGCTTACAACACAGGGATACAATGCCATGGGGGCTGTACCCTGCAGAACCAGAGGAGTGGAGCTGTCCAAGGCCATGGGAGCCCACCCCTTGCATTAGCATGGCCCAGATGTGAGACATGGAGTCAAAGGAGATTATTTTGGAGCTTTAAGATTTAATAAATGCCCTGCTGGGTTTTGGACTTGCATGGGGCCTGTGGCCCCTTTGTTTTGGCCAATTTCTCCCATTTGGAACAGGAACATTTACCCCATGCCTGTTCCTCCAATGTATCTTGGAAGCAACTAACTTATTTTTGATTTTACAGGCTCACAGGTAGAAGGGATTTGCCTTGTCTCAGATGAGACCTTGGACTTGGACTTTTGGGTTAATGCTAGAATGAGTTAAGTCTCTGGGGGACTGTTGGGAAGGCATGATTTGTTTTGAAATGTAAAAAGGACATGAGATTGGGAGGGACCAGGGGCAGAATGATATGGTTTGGCTCTGTGTCCCCTGAAATCTCATCTTGAATTGTAATTCCCAGGTGTCAAAGGAGGGACCTGGTGAGAGGTGATTGGATCATGGGGCTGGTTTCTGCCATGCTGTTCTCATGATATTGAGGGAGTTCTCATGAGATCTGATTGTTTAAAAGTGGCAGTTTCCCCTGTGCTCTTTTTCTCTCTCTCCTGCCACCATGTAAGATGTGCCTTGCTTCCCCTTCGCCTTCTGCCATGATTGTAAGTTTTCTGAGGCCACCCCAGAAATGTGGAACTGTGAGTCAATTAAACCTCTTTTGTTTATAAATTATGCAGTCTCAGGCAGTGTCTTTATAGCAGTGTGAAAATGGACTAATACACTAAGTAGGACAGTAGTTACCACGGGCTCAATCTCTAGGCAGAGAACAAGACCTTCATTCTGCTCTTTGAGAATGGGGTGGGGTATGAGATGGTGGCAGTAGAGTAGGAGAAGAGTATGGGAGGGCCATAAGCCTCAAGAGAATTGGTCAGAGATCCCTTACATGTAATTATTTGCATGTCTTTGATCTCAGTTCAAGATTTAGCTGTGAATATTTGAGAAATTATTTAACATTTGGAGTCTCAGCTTTCTCATCTTTAAAATGTGTGAAGTAATACTTGTGCTATGGACTAAATGTTCTTGCCCCCTCAAGAACTCATATGTCAAACTGTAATCCTCAATGTAATGACATTTGGAGGTTTGGCCTTCGGGAGGCAATTAGGTCATGAGGGTGGAACCCTCATGAATGGGATTAGTGACCTTATAAGAGGAGGCCAGAGCTAATTTGCTCTCTTTTCACCATGTGAGACACAGGAAGAAGTCAGCTGTCTGCAATCCAGAAGAGGTCCTTCACCAGAACTAGACCATGCTGGCACCCTGGTCTTGGACTTCTTACCCAGAATTGTGAGAAATAAATTTCTCTTTCTTTTTCTTCTTTTTTTTTTTCAAAGTCTCATTCTGTTGCCAGCCTGGAGTACAGTGGTGCAATCTCGGCTCACTGCAATCTCCGTCTCCCAGGTTCAAGTGATTCTCCTGCCTCAGCCTCCTGAGTAGCTGGGACTACAGGCACTCACCACCATGACTGGCCATTTTTGTATTTTTAGTAGAGACAGGGTTTCACCATGTTAGCCAGGATGGTATCGATCTCCTGACCTTGTGATCTGCCCGCCTCGGCCTCCCAAGGTGCTGGCATTACAGGCATGAGCCACTGCGCCTGGCCGAGAAATAAATTTTCTATTGTTTATGTTACCCAGTCTATGGTATTCTGTTACAGTGGCCTGAAGTAAGACAACTTGCCTCTCAAGAGTGTAATAAAGATTCAATGACATCAGTATAAAGCAATTAAATAGCATCTTGGTAGAGTTTATGCATACATGACTTCAATTCTCCCTTTCTTTGTATCCATGCCTCATTGCAATGTGACTTTGTAGTTTCTTATATCAAAAGGTGAAGTTTATCTCTTTACCCTTTGAGCCTGGACTTGTCTTTTTACCTGCTTTGGACAATGGAATGCAACAGAAGTGTTCTGCATGTATGCTTTAAGAGGCCTTGCACATCTCCTTTTGCTCTCTTACAACACTGCTGCTGCCATGTAAACAAGCTCAGGCTAGCCTGCTGGAAGATAACAAGCATATGGCTCTGTTGCCCCAAACATCTGATAGGACAGCCAGCCAATCCCCCAGAGCATAACCAATTAGCTGACTGAAAGTTGATTGTAGAGCCAGCTAAGACCAGAAATGTCCAGTTAAGCTCAGTGTCTGTTGCCAACTCAAATTTTGAGATAAATTAAAAATTATTGTTTTAAGCCATTGGGGTAATTTTTATGCTGAAAAAGCTGATACAGTCCCTGGCACAGAGTTAGCACCCAATGATGATAGCTGCTGTGATTCATAATAGTATTAACTGAGTGCCAGGTGAAATACCTAGAGCCAAATGAGCCTCACAGTTGTATACTGCCTGGTATAAACAGTAGTACCTGTACAATGTTTGTAAGTTTTTAAAGTCAATTACAATATTTTAAAATTGGGAGAGTTTACATAAAATCAGCTAACCCAGCTTTCCTTCTCCAGGCAACAACTGCAAGATCTGAGTAGTTGCTGCCCTTGAAATGGGGAAATTTCTCCTTAGATGTTCAGTTTCCCCAACTTTCTGTGGTTTCTGAAACACAATTATTCACTCAAAAGTATTGATTCTGTTTCTTATATGTAGCAGGCATTGTTCTAGGGTCTGAAGATACAGTGACAAAAAAAGAAAACAAACTTTCTACTTTCCTATGGAGTTTGCAAGTGTGTGACAGCGTGGACTGAGGGGGGTTGCACAGAGGCTGGGAAACAGTCCATATCCTTGCACAAATTTTTTATTTTGCTATAGGAAGCCAGCAATAAAATCATTTTTTAATTATTTATAAAAACAGGACACTTAAAGAAGAAAGTCGAAGAAAAACATTTGCTGAACCATAGACGGATTGTTGAGAAGGATATTATGGCCCCATCTAAGCTTAGAGCAGGGTTTCTCAGCTAAGGCTATTGATATTTCAGACTAGATAATTATTTGTTATGGGGGCTGTCCTGTGCATTGTAGAATATTTAGCAGCATCCTTGACCTCCACCTACTAGACGCCAGTAGCACCTCTCAGTTGTGACAACCAAAACTGTCTCTAGACATTGCCAACTGTTCCTTATGGGGCAACATTGTCCCTGTTTGAGAACTAATGACATAGAGTGAAGGAGAAATACAATGGGCAAAAGCTGTCAACTGCACTGGTTGGGATAAAGCTAGCTTCTGTAACAAAGGAACCCTCAACTCTTAATATGGAAATTATTTCTTGCTCATGGAATAGTCCAACATGGTGCTCCTGGCTAGCCAGTAGTCCACACTGCTTCTGAAGTTCCTATACTCATTTGCATCAAGCCAGGAGACGAGGAAAGAACATGGAGGATAGCACAGTGAGGTTTTTTAAATGGGCAATGCAGGAGGTTGTGTATGTCAATTCTGCTCATACTACACTGGCTAAAAGTCACGTGGTCTTATCAGGGGTTGGGAAAAGTTAGTTCTAGTTAAGTGTTCAGGAAGAAGAGAAAAGAGGTTTGGTGAACAGCTTTCAATTTTCTACATCATTCTTACACTAAACTATATTGGTTACCACAGAGGACATTTCTATATGAATTATGAATATAAATCAATAAACCTTGATCACCACAGAGGACATTTCTATAGGAGTTATAAATATAAATCTATAAACCTTGAGCCTTTCATTGCATTCTTCGTTTTAAGGGAATTTACTGACCTTCATACTAACAGCTCAGTGCTAATAGAAGTTGTTACAAGTCAGACAAGACCAATTTAAAAGCCAAAATCAAAACAATGTATTTATATATACAAATGTCAGAAGCAGGCATAAAGACTTTGTTTTTGAAAGTAGCAACAGAGAATTAGAGAAACCCCTTATGGGCCATGGAAAGGCCATTTACTTATTTATGGGGGGAACAAAAGAATGTTATTTTGGGCCCCAAAAAACAGTGGGATTTCCATCCACTACCTTTGGGTAAAATGTCTATACAATGGTAGCATGACTGCACATTTATGCTATGACATTTCCACATATGAGAAATTTTTTTTCTTTTATCTAAGTATCACTAGGAAAAATTAC
This sequence comes from Homo sapiens, assembly GCF_000001405.40. Taxonomy (NCBI): domain Eukaryota; kingdom Metazoa; phylum Chordata; class Mammalia; order Primates; family Hominidae; genus Homo; species Homo sapiens. The sequence goes on from NC_000023.11 coordinate 20,865,850, forward strand.
TGTCGTGTGAGTAAATTAAAATTAGAAAAGTTTTTAGTATACTTTTTATCTCTTCCCTGTATCTCACAGGTGTAAGGCATACAGAAAAATTGAGGAGCATTGTTGCGCTATCTAGAACCTTTTAGTACTGTGCAGAAACAGTACTGTATCAAACAAATATGCAATGTGAGATGTGAGTACCTGTCCTTTTGCTGTGTTTGGTATGGAATCTGTCTCATTTTTTCTAGCATCTCGTTCTCATTATTGTTATTTATATTAAGTACAGAAATGATTTTTCATATGATGTTTCTCTTCTGCTCTTCATTCTGAGTAGTGGGGGATGGGAGTAATAAGGAATATGCTAACTCATTTTACAATCTCTTTAATTTTGTAATTCACCACCCCCACCAAGTCAGAACTACATTTTTAACAGCTGCTGTGAAATAATTTTAATATCCACAAACTGAGGCTCAGTGCCTGAAAAAAAATCAACTTCTTAAAAATCTCCTTTTCCTGGTTGAGTTGAAGATCTCTACTTCATGTTGTTTTAATGTCGATGTGCAATCATCTCCTCTAATTTTGTCACACAGTGTGCTCTACAGGAAGCCCCCATTGCAGGAGATTTATGGGACTCTTGGCGAAGGATTCAATCAGAAATTGAGGAATGTAAATGAGCAGTGGGATTGGAGTTCTCTACCTTTACTTGTTTATTAGAGTTTGCTTGAAAAATCTCTTACTTCAAACTAACATGTTAAAGAAGAAAAAAACAGAATCTATGATTTCTTGGCCTTTATTATTAAAAATAATTTGTAGTGCACTAAACTTTCTTCTTTGAAATAATCCCTTCCCAATCCTAAAGTAGTTTTATAAGTGCAGATGCCCAGGATAACAAATTAACAGAGATTTTGTTTCTTGTTATATCGCAGGAGCATCTTCTCTCTGCTTTATGCACCTCTAAAGAATGGCTCATGCAGAGTCTAAAATAAAGAACTATGATGCAATATTTTAACAATAAAACTGTTAAGGATAATGCTATCTATATTTCACTACACTCCTGCTACAATCTACATTTTACTAGGATTATTACATCTACTGTAATACTTACAACAACTTTCTGAGTTTGTTGCTACTGTGCATATTTTATAGAGGAGGAAACTAAGGCTCAGAGAAATTAAGAAGCTTGGCCAGAATCACACAGTGGTAATTTAGTGGCATGATATTTGAATCTAAGTTGATATCCTGCTATGATCTATTTTTTAGTTGTCCACTAATGTTGGAGCTCCTTTCCTTCTACATGTGAGATTATTTGGAAGTAGATCATTGAGAAAAGATTATAATGTCAATGGGTAGTGCTGAAATCCACCAGCAGACTTTTCCTTAGGCTAGAGTTATCTTTAAAGGCAGTTGATGTTCCTTTGGAGTTCCACAACTCTGTCACTCCAAAATAGCCACTTCCTTGTTTGGATGTCTCTCTGTCTGAAAAAGTAGAGGTCAATTCCCATGCTAGGTTGAAATTTTGGAGAATGCCCCGAGGAGCTCCTCTACTCAATGCTTTTGCCTTAGCTTGCTACTCTTTTTGTTTAAAACAGCTCTCAATACTACTCACCATCCTCATCTCTCTCCAGTAGTATTAAATTTAATTACAGTTGGCCTTCCCTATTGGAGGGTTCTACATCCATTGATTCAACCAATTGAGGATCAAAAATACTTGAAAAAAATTTTGTCTGTACTGAATATGTACAGACTGTTTTGACATTATTCTATAACAATATGATATAACAACTATTTACATAGCATTCACAGTGTATTAAGTATTATAAGTAATCTAGAGATGATTTAAAGTACACTGGAAGATGTGTATAGGTTATACACAGATATTATGCCATTTTATGTAAAGGACTTAAACATCTACAAATTTTGGTATCCACAGGAGGTCTTGGAACTAATCCGCCTTAGCTAGCAAGGGATGACTGTATTTAAAATTATTTGTTAGATGTTTGAAACTTCTATTTTATTTATTGATTATTAACTAAGTAAATGAAAATTAATACTTGCTAATGTACATTCAAAAATAAAGCTTTGATTTATTTTACTAGCATGTTTAATTTTATACTGCCAGAAATATCTCACGTTGACACTGCTCTCAACATATTTTTTTCTTTTAAATAATTTTAATTTTTTCTAATTTCCAACTTTTATTTTAAGTTCAGGGGTATATGTGCAGAATGCGCAGGTTTGTTACATAGGTAAATGTGTGCCATTGTGGTTTACTGCACAGATCATCCCATCACTCAGGTATTAAGTCCAGCATCCATTAGCTATTCTTTCTGATTCTCTCCCTCCTCCCACCCCCTGCTTTCTAACAGGCCCCAGTGTGTGTTGTTCTTTCCTACCCCCATGTGTGATGGCTAATATTGAGTGTCAACTTGATTGGACTGAAGAATGCCAAGTATTGTTCCTGGGTGTGTCTGTGAGGTTATTGCCAATGGAGATTAACATTTGAGTCAGTGGACTGGGAGAGTCAGACCCACCCTCAATCTGCATGGGCACCATCTAATCAGCTGCCAGTGTAGCTAGAATAAAAGCAGGTCGAGGAATGTGGGAGGAATAGACTGGCTAAGTCTTCCCGCCTTCATCTTTCTCCCCTTGCTGGATGCTTTCTGCCCTCAAACATTGGACTCCAAGTTCTTCAGCTTTTGGACTCTTGGATTTACACAAGTGGTTTGCTAGGGGCTCTTGGGCCTTCAGCCACAGACTGAAGGCTGCACTTTCGGCTTCCCCACTTTTGAGGTTTTGGGACTCAGACTGGCTTCCTTGCTCCTCAGCTTGCAGAGGGCCTATTGTGGGACTTCATCTTGTGACAGTGTGAGTCAATCCTCCTAATAAACTCCCCTTCATATATTCATCAATCCTATTAGTTATTTCCTTTTAGAGAACCCTGACTAATACAGATTTTCATACTGGGAGTGTTTCTAGAAGAACAGACTTTTAAGGATGGAGTTCTTTCGTTGGTTTTGGGGTTTCTGGAGTTGGCTGCTTAACCTGATTAGACCCCAAAATGCTAAGGACTCTACTTCTAGTAGTATGAAGAACACTGATAGTCCTTGGCATGAACTGTTTAGAGAGCTATGCAAAATAAATGCATTTGATACTCCTTATTCACCGATCATGAAAGGCAAGGAGTTTAGTGACTCTATACACAATATCTTTGACCTTATGTGGAGAACCAAGAAATATAATGAAGTTGGTTGGTTGCTTCTAAGTTCACTGGACAAAGTAACGAAAGAAAACCATGAACTCAGGGATTCTAACTCTCGGCTCCAGAAGTGCATACAGAGCCTTAAATCTTCTAAGATTGCCCTGAGCTAGAGTCTTACTTAGCTCCTGTAAAGAAAGAGCTGAAATTGTGAAAAATCAGACACATGCTCTTATCATGCGATTGGCTGACCTTCAATGAAAGGTGCACACACAGCTTTGCAAGGTGTTTACTATTAAAGTGAAGGCATTCATTGGAAAAGAATGAGACCCTGCAACTTGGAATGGGGATGCGTGGAGGGCCTTGATGAAGCTGGGAATGCTGAGCTTGAAAACTCTGATGAGCCATTTTTGCCAGAGGAAACAGCTTCCCCATCCCCAGTGGTGGCAACATCCCCTCCCAGACCCACACTGCCATCAGCCTTTCCACTTCTGTCTCAGGATATTAACCCTGCACTGCCTGAGGCAACAGTGATGGCCTCCCCTGAGGCAGTTGCCAAGCAAGACAATGTTGATTCTTCCCAGGACCCACCCCCGACACCCCGTTTGCTTCTAGACCTATAGCTAGACTAAAGCCCTGGCAGATCCCTAGAGGTGAGGCTCAGAGTGTGACCCACGAGGAGATGTGCTACATTCCAAAAGAATGGCTTGAGTTTTCTAATTTATTTAAGTAGAAATCTGGAGAACAGACATGGGAATTGATATTAAGGGTGTGGGATAATGGTGGAAGGAACATAAAGTTGGATCAGACTGAATTTGTTGATTTGGGCCCACGAGGCAGGGATTCTGCATTTAATATTGTAGCTCGGGGAGTTACAAAAGGTTCTAATAGTTTATTTGCTTGGTTAGCTGAAACATGGATCAAAAGATGGCCTTCTGTGACTGAGGTGGAAATGCCTGATCTCCCTTGGTTTAATGTAGAGGAAGGGATCCAAAGGCTTAGGGAGACAGGAATGCTAGAGTGGATTAGTCACTTTAGACCTACTCATCCCAGTGGTGGGGGAGGGTCCAGAAGACATACCCTTCACCATTACTTTGTGAAATAGATTTGTGAGGGCAACACATGCGTCCTTGAAGAGCTCTGTGATTGCTCTTCTCTGTATGCCAGCTCTAACAGTAGTAATTGCAGTCACGCAATTACAAAATTTAAATTCATTGGGAATAATTGGATCCCAAGGTGGCAGGGGCCAAGTGGTAGCACTCAACCGTTAAAGGGAAAGTGGGCATAGTTATCATAATGGACAGCAGAGGCAAAGCAGCAATCAGAATAGTCTGACTCGAATAGAGCTCTGGCATTGGCTAATTAGTCATAGTGTTCCTAGAAGTGAAATTAATAGGAAGGCTACTGCATTCTTACTTAATTTATATAAGCAGAAAACTTCCAGGTCGAGTGGACAAAAGACTAATTTGAATTATAAAAACAGACAATCATGGCCCTTCAATCAATTTTCAGACTTGAACCAGTTTACAGACCCAGAACCCCTTGAATGAAGGGGAGGCTGGGTCCCCTTAAGGAAGAACCCCTCTACACTACCAATTTATGCTGTTAATCTTTCTCCCATCCTTCCCCAAGGAGACCTCCAGCCTTTTACCAAGGTAACTCTGCATTGGGGAAAGGGGAAAGATCAGACCTTTCAGAAACAGCTGGCAGAATCCCCACGTTGGCTCCCTGACTGGTAGGCTGAGAGCTATTGTGGTGGGAAAGGACCAATGGAAGCCATTACAGCTGCCTCTAGCTAGAAAAACAGTAAATCAAAAACAATATTGCATCCCTGGAGAGACTGCAGAGATTAATGCCAAAATCAAGGACTTGAAAGATGCAGGGGTGGTGATTCCCACCACATCCCCATTTAACTCTCCTATTTGGCCTGTGCAGGAGACAGATGGATCTTGGAGAATGACAGTGGATTACTGTAAGCTTAACCAAGTGGTGACTCCAATTGCAGCTGCTGTACCAGATGTGGTTTCATTGCCTGAACGAAGTAACACAGCTCCTGGTACCTGGTAGGCAGTCATTGACTTGACAAATACCTTTTTCTCCATTCCTGTCCACAAACCCCACCAGAAGCAAATCGTTTTCAGCTGGGAAGTCCGGCAATATACCTTCACTGTCGTACCTCAGGGGCATATCAACTCTCTGGTTTTGTGCCATGATGTTGTTCGCAGAGATCTTGGTCACTTTTTCCTTCCACAAGATATCACCCTGGTCCATTACATTGATGACATTATGCTGATTGGATCTAGTGAGTGAGAAGTAGCAAACACACCGGACTTATTGGTAAGACATTTGCATGCCAGAAGATGGGAAATAAATTCGGCCAAAATTCAGGGACCTTCTATCTCAGTAAAATTTCTATGGGTTCAGTGGTGTGGGACCTGTTGATACATTCCTTCTAAGGCAAAGGATAAGTTGCTGCATTTAGCCCCTCCTATAACCAAGAAGAAGGCACAACACCTAGTGGGCCTATTTGGATTTTGGAGGCAACTTGTTCCTCATTTGGGTGTGTTACTCTGGCCCATTTATCAAGTGACCCAACAGGCTGCCAGTTTTGAGTGGGGTCCAGAAAAGGAGAAGGCTCTGCAACAGGTCCAGGCTGCTGTGCAAGCTGCTTTGCCACTTGGGCCATATGACCCAGCAGATCCAATGGTGCTTGAGGTGTCAGTGGCAGATAGGGATGCTGTTTGGAGCCTTTGGCAGGACCCCATAGGTGAATCACAGTGGAGGTCTTTAGGATTTTGGAGCAAGGCCCTGCCATCTTCTGCAGATAACTACTCTCCTTTTGAGAGACAGCTCTTGGCCTGTTACTGGGGTTTGGTAGAAACTAAATGTTTGACTATGGGTCATCAAGTAACCATGTGACCTGAACTGCCTATCATGAACGGGGTGCTTTCTGACCCATCTAGCCATAAAGTGGGGTGTGCACAGCAGCATTCCATCATTGAATGATAGTGGTATATACATGTTTGGGCTTGAGCAGGTGCTGAGGACACAAGTAAGTTACATGAGGAAGTGGCTCAAATGCCCATGTTCCCCACTCCTGCCACCCTGCCTTCTCTCCCTCAGCCTGCACTGATGGCCTCGTGGGGAGTTCCTTATGATAAGTTGACAGAGGAAGAGAAGACAAGGGCCTGGTTTACAGATGGCTCTGCATGGTATGTAGGCACCAACTGAAAGTGGACAGCTGCAGCACTACAGCCCTCTATTAGTCTGTTCTCATGCTGTTAATAAAGACATACCTGAGGCTGGGTAATTTCTAACAAAAAAGAGGTTTAACAGACTCACAGTTCCACATGGCTGGGGAGGTCCCACAATCATGGTGGAAGGCAAAGGAGAAGCAAAGACTCATCTTACATGGCGGAAGGCAAGAGAGCTTGTGCAGAGGAACTCCCGTGTATAAAACCATCAGATCTCATGAGACTTATTCACTACCAGGAGAACAGCATGAGCCCTCACCAGACACTGAAACTGCTGTCTCATTGATCTTGGACCTCCTGGCCCCCAGAAATATGAGAAATAATTTTTTAAAAAATATAAACCACCCAGGCTATGATATTCTGTTATAGAAGCCTAACAGGACAAAGACAGATGTATACCGGGGAATGGACTAGCCTCACTCACACTGATACAAGTAGAAAAGCATCTAAAGAAAAAACAAATCTTTTGATGATATAAGATGATGTGAAGTGGATTTAAATAAGCAGATTTTATTATTTTATTTTAACATTATATTTCATAGGCATATATTTTGTTTTTCTTTTGGTTATGGTTTTACTGGTATGAAGAATGAGTTAATAGAATGTTTTTTCAACTTAAATGATTCCAGGAAAAAGGTTCTCCCCAACAGTAACACTCAGTAATGATGTCTCTGTCTTTAGGGGAATTCTAGCATCAGAGTGATTTAAATTTGGTTAGCTTTGGACATACAAACTGAGATCTCCTGCAAGATTCCCAATCAGAACAGAGATTGCATATATAAAACATATTAAAGATTTTAACATTCAGATAGTTATATGTTTGTATTTCAAAGGGCAAAAGCAGTCAATTCAATTAAATACTTTGTATGATAGCAAAAGTAATATATTATTGTAAAACTACGGATAATACAGATAATCTTAAATAAGACAAAAATTAAATGATACCAAAACTCAGAGATAATCACTTTTAATATTCTTACATGTAAATAAAAGCATATTTTACATAAAATTATGTGCCTATTTATTTTTGATTAATATTGTCATAATATTTTTCCTCTGTTACTCAATTCCTCATGATCAGCATTTATGTTTGCCTTAAAATGGTGCTGAGAAAGAATTTATTATAACTTGCTTAACAATTCCTACATTATAGGATATTTGAATAGTTTCTACTTTTTTATTACTGTAAATGTTATAAATACAGTTTTGTGGATAAATATTTTCCATAACTTCTTTATGATAGACTTCCCTAAATAAATAAAAAAAAGTAGAAATATTCTGAGATCCCTTATTAAATATGAAAAAACATATTTTAAAATTTACCTTGATTTTTATAATTTCTGGTGCTCTTTTTAAATATAGATTCAACTTTTCATCTGTTAGCTAAAAAACTTACTTTAATATTTCTTATAGTACAGGTCTGTTACCAGTGAATTATCTCAGCTTTTATTGTCCAAAAAAGTTTTAATTTTAATTTTATTTCTTAAGAAAAATTTTCATTGGCAATAGAGTTTTGAATTGACAATTTTTTTCATCTTTCAGTATTTTAAAGTCATCCCATTAACTTCTATCTTTTGTAATTTTAGATGAATTATATTGTATAATCCTTTTTTTTTTTTTTTTTTTTTGAGACGAGGTCTCGCTCTGTCGCCCAGGCTGGAGTGCAGTGGCTCGATCTCGGCTCACTGCAGGCTCCGCCTCCAGGGTTCATGTAATTCTCCTGCCTCAGCCTCCTGAGCAGCTGGGACTACAGGTGCCCGCCAGCATGCCCGGCTAATTTTTTGCATTTTTAGTAGAGATGGGGTTTCACTGTGTTAGCCAGGATGGTCTCGATCTTCTGACCTCGTGATCCGCCCGCCTCGGCCTCCCAAAGTGCTGGGATTACAGGCGTGAGCCACTGTGCCCGGCCGTATAATCCTTTTCTTTGTTCATCTGTATATACTGTATGTTTTTTCCCTGGCTTCTTTCAAAATTTTCTTTTGGGGGGAGGGGCCAAGATGGCTGAGTAGAAACAGCTCTGTTCTGCAGCTCCCATTGAGACGAATGCAAAAGGCGAGTGATTTCTGCATTTCCAACTGAGGTACCCAGTTCATCTCATTGGGACTGACTAGGCGGTTCGTGTGACCCACAAAGAGCAAGGAAAAGCAGCAGGTGGAATAACGGTTCACCTGGGAGGAAACTCCCTCCCCCAGCCAAGGAAGGCAGTGAGGGAATGTGCTACCCGTCTGGGGTAGTAGGCTTTTCCTACGGATTTTTGCAATCCATGCATCAGGAGATTCCCTCGTAAGCCTACACCACCAGTGCCTTGGGTCTCAAGCACAAAACTGGGCAGACCCATGGCGGCTGCTCCAGTCAGCAGCCGTTCAGGGAAGCACTGAGCAGCAGGAGTTGTTACATACTCCGGTTGCTCTCGGAACTCTTGTGAGGTAGGAGAACCTTCCACTCCTTTTGAAAGGGGGCTGAAACCAGGGAGCCAAACAACCTTGCTCAGTGGGACCCACTCCCATGGAACCCTGCAAACTAAGACCCACTGGCTTGGAATCCCTGCTGGCCAGTCACAGCAGCCTGGAGTTGGCCTAAGATGACGGAGTTCCTGGGGGGAGGGGCAACCACCATCACTGTGGCTCTAATCAGCAGTTTTCGCCTGCCAGTGCTAGGAAGGCTGGGCAGTTTGGACTGGGTGGTACTCCCCACAGTGCAGCACAGTGGCTGTGGCAGATCGTAGCCAGACTGATTATTTAGGTGGGACTTGGATCCATTCCTCGTCACTGGGCAGGGCCTCCCTGCAGGAATTCCAGCACTCCAGTGAGGGGCTTATAGACAGAACTCTCATCTCCCTACGACAGAGCCCTGTGGGGAGGGGTGCCTGCAGTCTCAGGTTCAGTGGACTTAATCTTTCCTGCCTGCTGGCTCTGAAGAATTTGGGTGATCCGGACAAGGGGGATTCACCCAGCACAGTGTACCAGCTATGCTAAGGGATAGCCAGCCTGCTTCCTTAAGCAGGTCCCTGATCCCAGGCCTGCTGACTGGGTGAGACCTCCCAACAGGGGTCACCAGGCACCTTATACAGGAGAGTTCTGGCTGGCATCAGGGTGATGCCCCTCTGTGAAAAAGCTTCTGGAGGAAGGAGCAGGAAGCAATCTTCACTGTTCTGCAGCCTTCACTGGTGATACCCAGGCAAACAGGGTTTGGAGTGGACCCCCAGCAAACTGCAGTAGACCTGCAGAAGAGGGGCCTGACTGTTAGAAGAAAAACAAACAGAAAGCAGCAACAACAACATCAACAAAAAAGACTCCACAAAAACCCTATCCATAGGTCAACAGCCTCAAAGATAAAAGGTAGATAAATCCACAAAGATGACGAAAAAACCAATGCAAAAATGATGAAAATTCCAAAAGCCAGATGCTTCTTCTCCTCCAAATGATCACGATACTTCTCCAGCAAAGGGACAGAACAGGGCTGAAGCTGAGATGGATGAACTGACAGAAGTAGGCTTCAGAAAGTGGGTAATAACAAACTTCACTGAGCTAAAAGATTATGTTCTAACCCAATGCAAAGTAGCTAAAAACATGGTAAAAGATTACAGGAGCTGTTAACTAAAATAACCAGTTTAGAGAGGAACATAAATGACCTGACAGAGTTGAAAAACACAGCACAAGAACTTCATGATACAAACACAAGTATTAATAGCTGAATCGACTGAGCAAAAGAGAAAATATCAGAGCTTGAAGACTATCTTGCTGAAATAAGGCAGGCAACAAGATTAGAGAAAAAAGAGTGAAAAGGAATGAGAAAAACCTCCTAGAACTATGGGACTATGTAAAACGACCGAACCTACAACTGATTAGAGTGCCTGAAAGAGACAGGGAGAATGGAATCAAGTTGGAAAACACACTTCAGGATATCATCCAGGAGAACTTCCCCAACCTAGCTAGACAGGCCAACATTGAAATTCAGGAAACCCAGAGAACCCTAAAAGATCTACCCCAAAACACATAATCGTCAGATTCGCCATGGTCAAAATGACAGAAAAAAATATTAAGGGCAGGCAGAGAGAAAGGCCAGATCACCTACAAAAGTAATCCCATCAGATTAAAAGCACACCTCTCAGTGGAAACCCTACAAGGCAGAAAAGATTGGGGGCCAATATTCAACATTCTTAAAGAAAAGAATTTCCAACCCAGAATTTCATATCTGGCCAAACTAAGCTTCATAAGTGAAGGAGAAATAAAGTTCTTTTCAGACAAGCAAATGCCGAGGGACTTCACCACCAGGTCTGCCTTACAAGAGCTTCTGAAGTAAGCACTAAACATGGAAAGGAAGAATCATTACCAGCCTCTACAAAAACACACTGAAGTACACAGACCAACAACACAATGAAGCAACTACATTAACAAGTCTGAAAAATTAACCAGCCAGCATCATGATGACAGGATCAAATTCACACATAACAATATTAATCTTAATGGGCTAAATGCCCCCAATTAAAAGACACAAAATGGCAAGCTGGATAAAAAGACAAGACCCATCAGTATGCCGTATTCAAGAGACTCGTCTCACGTGCAAAGATTCACATAGGCTCAAAAGAAAGAGATGGAGGAAAATTTACCAAGAAAATGGAAAGCTGAAAAAAGCAGGAGTTGCAATCCTAGTTTCTGAAAAAGTAAACCTTAAAACAACAAAAGTCAAAAAAGACAAAGAAGGGCATTACATAACAGTAAAAGTTTCAATTCAACAAGAAGAGCTAACTATCCTAAATATATATGTACTCAATACAGGAGCACCCAGATTCATAAAACAAGTTCTTAAAGACCTGCAAAGAGACTTAGAACCCCACACAATAATAGTGGAAGACATTAATACACCACTGCCAGTATTAGACAGATCATCAAGACAAAAGATTAACAAAGATATTGAGGACTTGAAGTCAGCTCTGGACCAAATAGACCTAATAGATATCTACAAAACTCTCCACTCCAAAACAACAGAATATCCATTTTTATCGGTGTCACATGGCACCTACTCTAAAATTAACCACATAATTGGACATAAAACATGCCTCAGCAAATGCAGAACTGAAATCATAACAAATGGTCTCTCAGACCACACTGCAATCAAGTTAGAACTCAAGATTAAGAAACCCACTCAAAGCCACACAACTACCTGGAAATTGAACAACCTGTTCCTGAATGTCTTCTGGGTAAATAATGCAGTGAAGGCAGAAATTAAGAAGTTCTTTGAAACCAATGAGAACAAAGATACAATGTACCAGAATCTCTAAGATGCAGCTAAAGCAGTGGTAAGAGGAAAATTTATATCACTAAATGCCCATATCAAAAAGCTAGAAAGATCACAAATTGACACCCTAACATCACAACTAAAAGAACTAAAGAACCAAGAACAAACAAATCCCAGAGCTAGAAGAAGACAAGAAATAACCAAGCTCAGAGTGGAACTGAAGGAGATAGAGACAAAAAACTCTTTTAAAAAATCAACGAATCCAGGAGCTGTTTTTTTGAAAAAAATTAACAAAATAGATTGCTAGCTAGACTAAAGAAGGAAAGAGAAAATATTCAAATAAACACAATCAGAAATGATAAAGGGAATACCACCACTGACCCTCCAGATATGCAAACAACCATCAGAGAATACTATAAACACCTCTATGCAAAAAACTGGAAAATCTAGAATAAATGGATAAATTCTTGAACACATACACCCTCCCAAGACTGAACCAGGAGGAAGTTGAATCCCTGAATAGACCAATAACAATTTCTGAAACTGAGGCAGTAATAAATAGCCTACCAACCAAAAAAAAAAAAAAAAAAAAAAAAAAAAAAGCCCAGGTCCAGATGGATTTACAGGTGAATTCTACCAGAGGCACAAAGAGGAGCTGGTACCATTTCTTCTGAAACTATTCCAGGCAATTGTAAAGGAGGAAGTCCTCCCTAACTCATTTTATGAGGCCAGCATCATCCTGATACCAAAACCTTGCAGAGATACAACAAGAAAAGAAAACTTCAGGCTAATATTCCTGATGAACATCAATGTGAAAATTCTCAATAAAATACTGGCAAACTGAATTCAGCAGCACATCAAAAGCTTCTCCATGATGATCAGGTTGGCTTCATCCCTGGGATGCAAGGCTGGTTCAACATACACAAATCAATAAAGGTAATTCATCATATAAACAGAACTAAAGACAAAAACCACATGATTATCTCAATAGATGCAGAAAGGGCCTTCAATAAAATTCAACATATCTTCTTGTTAAAAACTTACAATAAACTAGGTATTCATGGAACATATCTAAAATACTAAGAGCCATTTACGACAAACCCACAGCCAATATCATACTGAATGGGCAAAAGCTGGAAGCATTCCCCTTGAAAGCCAGCACAAGACAAGGATGCCCTCTCTCACCACTCTTATTCAACATAGTATTGGAAGTTCTAGCCAAAGCAATTAGGCAAGGGAAAAAAAAATAAATGGTATTCAAATAGGAAGAGAGGAAGTCAAATTGTCTTTGTTTGCAGATGACATGATTCTATATCTGGAAAATGCCATGAACTCAGCCTCAAATCTTCTTAAGATGATAAGCAACTTCAGCAAAGTCTCAGGATACAAAACCGATGTGCAGAAATCACAGGCATTCCTATACACCAACAACAGACAGAGAGTCAAATCATGAATGAACTCTCATTCACAATGGCCACAAAGAGAATAAAATACCTAGGAATATAGCTAACAAGGGAAGTGAAGGACCTCTTTAAGGAGAACTACAAACCAGTGCTCAAGGAAATCAGAGAGGACACAAGCAGACGGAAAAACATTCCATGCTCATGGATAGGAAGAATCAATACTGTGAAAATGGCCATACTGCCCAAAGCAATTTATAGATTCAATGCTATTCACATTAACCTACCATTGATATTCTTCACAGAATTAGAAAAAATCTATTTTAAAATTCATATGAAACAAAAAAAAGAGCTTTATAGCTAGGACAATCCTAAGCAAAAAGAACAAAGCTGGAACCATCACACTACCCGACTTCAAAATATACTACAAGGCTACAGTAACCAAAAAAGCATGGTACTGATACAAAAACAGGCACATAGACCAACAGAACAAAATAGAGAAGTCAGAAATAAAACTGCACATCTACAACCTGACAAAAACAAGCAATGAGGAAAGGATTACCTATTTAACAAATTGGTTCTGGGAGAACTGGGTAGCCATATGCAGAAAAGTGAAACTGGACCCCTTCCTTACACCTTATACAAAAATTAACTCAAGATGGATTAAAGACTTAAAAGTAAAACCCCAAACTATAAACGCCCTAGAAGAAAACCTAGGCAATACCATTCAGGACATAGGCATGGGCAAAGACTGTATGATGAAATCGTCAAAAGCAATGGCAACAAAAGCAAAAATTGACAAATGGGATCTAATTAAACTAAAGAGCTGCTACACAGTAAAAGAGGCTATCATCAGAGCAAACAAACAACCTACAGAATGGGAGAAAAACTTTGCAATATATCCATCTGAGAAAGGTCTAATATTCAGAATCTACAAGGAACTTAAGCAAATTTCCAAGAAAAGAACAAATGAATCCATTAAAAAGTGGGCAAAAGACATGAACAGACACTTCTCAAAAAGACATATATGTGGTCAACAAACATATGAAAAAAAGCTCAACATTCACTGATCATTAGAGAGATGCAAATCAAAACCACAATGAGATACCATCTCATGCCAGTCAGAATGGGGATTATTAAAAAGTCAAGAAACAACAGATGCTGGTGAGGTTGTGGAGAAATGGGAATGCTTTTACACTGTTGAAGGGAATGTAAATTAGTTCAAGCATTGTGGAAGACAGTGTGGTGATTCCTCAAAAGTTTAGAACCAGAAATACCATTTGACCCAGCAACCTCATTACTGGGTATATACCCAAAGGAATATAAAGCATTCTACTATAAAGATATGTGTATACATATGTTTATTGCAGCACCATTCACTATAGCAAAGACATGTAATCAACCCAAATGCCCATCGATGATAGACTGGATAAAGAAAATGTGGTACATATACACCACGGAATACTATGCAGCCATAAAAAGGAACAAGGTCATGTCTTTGCAGGGACATGGAAGAAGCTGGAAGCTATTATCCTCAGCAAACTAATGCAGAAACAGAAAAACACCATATGTTCTCACTTATAAGAGGGAGCTGAACAAGGAGGACACATGGACACAGGGAGGGGAACAACACACACTGGGGCCTATTGGGGGAGAGTGGGGGGGTGGCGCATTAGGGAAAAGAGTTAATGCATTCTTGGCTTAATACCTAGGTGATGGGTTGATCTGTGCAGCAAATCACCATGGCACACGTTTACCTATGTAACAAGCCTGCACATCCTGCACATGTACCTCACAACTTAAAAAAATAATTGTTTTAAAACTTTCTTTTTATCTTTGGTTTTCATCAGTTTGACCATGGTGTATCTAGGTGTGATTTTGTTGACATTTATTTTTCTTTGGGTTCTCTGAGATTCTTGGATAAGTATTTTAATATAGTTCATTATTTATTAAAACTATCAGGGCTTATATCTTCACATATATGTTTAACACTATTCCATCTTCTTTCTTTTCCTCCCCTTCCCTCTTTTGTCCTCTCCTTTCCTCCCTTCTCTTTCTGGGACTAGAGGTTAGAGCATTTGATACTGTTCCACAGTTTTGGAATGACCTTTCATATTTTTTCATGTTTTTATCTCTGTCTTTCAGTTTAGATAATTTATATTAACGTATCTTCCAGTTAACTGAGTTTGTCCTCAAAAGTGCTTAGTTTACTAATGGGTCCATTGAGGAAATTCTTGGGTACCAGAAACAAAAATAAAAAGATTGTTCATCATGACCAAGTGGGATTTATCCCTGGGATGCATATGCAAATCAATCACTGTGAAATGGCATATCAACAGAATGAAGGATAAAAACCATATGATCATTTCAATTGATGCCAAAAAAGCATTTGATAAAATTCAACATCCTTTCATGATACAAACTAAAAAAACTGGGTATAGAAGGAACATATCTCAGCATAATAAAAGCCAGTTATCACAGATCCACAGCTAGCATCGTACTGAATGGGGAAAAACTGAAAGCCTCTTCTTTAAGATCTGGAAAAAGATAAGGTGCCCACTTTCATCACTGTTATTCAACATAGTACTGGAAGTCCTAGCTAGAGCAATCAGACAAGAGAAATAAATAAACTACGTCCAAATTGGAAAGGAAGAACTCAAATTATCCTTGTTTGCAGAGGATATGTTCTTATATTTGGATAAACCTAAAGGCTCCACAAAAAAACTATTAGAACTGATAAATTCAGTACAGTTGCAGGATACAAAATCAACACACAAAAATGGGCAGCATTTCTATATGCCATCAGCAAACAAACTGAAAAAGAAATCATGAAAGTAATCCCATATATCATAGTCACAAATAAAATAAAATACCTAGGAATAAACTTAACAGAAGAAGTAAAAGATCTCTACAATGAAAACTATAATACATTGAAAAGGACACTAAAATTGGAAAGATATCCCATATTCATGGATTACAAGAATCTATATTGTTAAAATATCTATACTACCCAAAGTAATCTACAGATTCTATGCAAGCCCTGTCAAAATACCAATGTCATTCTTCAGAGAAGTTTTCTAAAATTATATTCCTAAAATTTATATGGAACCACAAAATACCCAGAATAGCCAAAGCTATCCTGAGCAAAAAGAACAGAAGTAGAGGAATCACAATACTTGACTTCAAATTATACTACAACGCTAACCAAACAACAAACAAAACCAAACATAACCAAAACAGCGTGGCACTGGCATAAAAACAGGCACATAGACTGATGTGACAGGATAGAGAACCCAAAAAGAAATGCGTACATATACAGCACACTCGTTTTCAAAAAGGTGCCAAGAACATGTATTAGGAAAAGGACAGTCTTCTCAATAAATGGTGCTGGATGTCCACATGCAGAAGAATAAAACTAGACCCCTATGTCTTGTCATATACAAAAATCAAAACAAAATGGACTAAAGATTTAAATTTAAGGCTGCAAACTATGAGACTACTGAAGGAAAACATTGGGGAAACACTCCAGGATATTGGTCTGGGCAATAATTTCCTGAGTAGTACCCCAAAAGAACAGGCAACCAAAGCCAAAATGGGTCAATTTGGTCACATTAAGTTAAAATCTTCTTCATGATCAAGGAAACAATCAGCGAAGTGATGAGACAACCCACAGAATGGGAGAAAATATTTGCAAACTACCCATCTGCAAGAGATTAGTAACCAGAATATATAAGGAGCTTGAACAACTATAGGAAAAATATCTGATTTTAAAATAGGCAAAAAATCTGAATAGACATTTCACAAAAGAAGACAT
This sequence comes from Homo sapiens, assembly GCF_000001405.40. NCBI lineage: Eukaryota > Metazoa > Chordata > Mammalia > Primates > Hominidae > Homo > Homo sapiens. The sequence continues at coordinate 20,882,731 of NC_000023.11, forward strand.
AAAATGGCAAACAGGTATATGAAAAGGTGCTCAACATCATTGATCATCAAAGAAATGCAAATCAAAACTACAATGAGATGTCATCTCACCCCAGTTAGAATGGCTTTTATCCAAAAAAGAGGCAATAATGAACGCTGGTGAGTATGCAGAGAAAAGAGAACCCTCACACACTGTTGGAGGGGATGTAAATTAATACAGCCACTATGGAGAAAAGTGTAGAAGTTCCTCGGAATACTAAAAATAGAACTATCATATGATCCAGCATTCCCACTGCTAGGTGTATATCCATATGGAAGGAAATCAGTATACAGAAGAGATAACTGCACTTTCATGTATATTGCAACACTATTCACAATAGTCAAGATGTGGAAACAATGTGTGTGTCCATCAACAGATGAATAGATAAAGAAAATGTGATACATATATACAATGGAGTACAATTTAGCCATGAAAAGAATCAGATCCTGTCATTTGCAACAATATGGATGTAACTGGAGGATATTATGTTAAGTGGAATAAGCCAGGCACAAAAAGACAAACTTTGCATGTTCTTACTCATTTTGGGGAGCTAAAAATGAAAACAACTGAACTCAGGGAGATAGAGAGTAGAATGATGGCTACCAGAGGTGGGAAGGGTATGAGGGGTGAGGTGGGGAGAAGTGGTGATCGTTAATGGTTACAAAATTATGGTTAGATAGTTAGAATGAGTAAGAGCTAGTATTTGATAACACAACAGACTGACTACAGTCAACAATAATTTATTGCACATTTTAATATAAGTAAAAAAGTATAATTGGACTGTTTGTAACACAAAGAAGGGATAAATATTTTAGATGATGGATACCCCATTTATCCTGATGTAATTATTACACGATATGCCTGTATGAAAATATCTCATGTATGCCATATATACACCTACTATGCACCCACAATATTTAAAAATAAAAAATACATCCTGAATTCCAAAAAATTACCAATGTCATAGAGCTTTCCTTCTACGTTTTCTTCTAGTAATTTTATAGTTTCAGGTTTTATGTTTCAGTTCTTAATCCATTTTGAGTTGATTTTTGTATATGGTATGAATTGAGGATCTAATTCTATTATTTTGCATGTGGATATTCAGTTTTCCCAGCACCATTTATTTTCCCATTGTGTTTTCTAGGCATCTTTGTTCAAAATCAATTGACCATAAATGTGTAGATTTGTTTCAGGCTCTCTTTTCTGTTCCATTGGTCAATATGTCTGTTTCTATGCCAGCATCATATTGTTTCAATTATTACAGTTTTGTAGTAGATTTCAGATCAAGTAGTGTGATGTCTCTGGGTTTGTTCATTTTGCTCAAGATTGCTTTCTTTATTTGAGGTCTTTTGTGGTTCTATGTAAATTTTAACATTGTTTTTCTATTTCTGTGAAAAATGTCATTGGAATTTTGACAGGGATGGTGTTGAATCTGTAGATCCCTTTGGGTAGTAGGGACATTTTAACAATATTAACCATATGGATTGCCCCGGAGCCTAGGTCCCTAAAGGCTAGCCTAGAAGATGGGCGTGCAAGTAGCGGCTTGGAGATTAGGTCCATGTGGGCTAGCCTGAGTTCTGGGGTTTTGGGGCCATCCTGGAACCTGGGTCCATAGTGACAGTCATGATGCCTGTCTCCATGGGGGCCCACCCAGCACTGAGGTCTACTGGGACAGTACTGAGCAGATCTATACCCTTGGTCTGCTGGTCTGGTCTGGAGGATGGGCTCATTGGGATTGACTTGGCACTGGGAAGGCCTTGAGACTGTGCCCACAGGGCCTGGCCTGGTGTTGGGTAAATTTGGAGCCTATATCCACAAAATCCTGCCTGGAGACTGTCCATAGGTGCTGGCCTCATGACTTAGGCTGTGGAGATCAGCCTGGTGCTGAGGACGGCCTGAAACCTGAGGAAATGGGGGCCGACTCAATGCTGGGAGTGGTTTAGAACTCAGGGTTGCTAGGGCAGACTGGCCTGTGACAGGCCTGAAGCCTGAGTCCACTTGGCAGGCTTGGAGCCGGGGGCTGTTTGTTCCAAACTGGTACTGGGGCATGCCCAGAGACTCAGTGGAGGAGCCTAGAGTCTGGGGCTCTGGGGGCCTGCCTGGCATTGGGTTTTAGTGAGTCTGGTGTTGGGGTTTGTGACAAATCCAGTGCTCATTTCCTTCTCCCAAGCAAAGCTATCTCTTTCCATACTATGTTGACTGAGTTTTGGGGGAGAGATGACATGGGTAGTATAAAACTGTCCTTCCTATGCTCTTCAATGTGTCTTTTCTTATTTCTGTTTTGTATCTGGTGCTATGATCTCTCACCTGGTTTTCTCAGCTCTTGTGAAGATATTTTTGTGTGTGGACAGTTGTTCAAATTGATGTTTCTGTGGTGGGCTGAGTGCCAGAAAGTCCTATTCTGCCATCTTGCTGACTTATGCCTCCTAGGAGTTTTTTGTTTTTTTTTTTTTTTTTTAACTATAGTACATTTTTGAGTCAGAGTTTCTTAACCACAGTTTCATATTCTCCACAGGTTTTTCAAGTGGCACAAATTAATTTTGCCAAAAGGAATATACATCTTCTCTTAAAGGAGCATATTTTAACCAAATTAATTCTATAAATAGCAGGTCAATTTTAAGGCTTCTTTATATAGATGACATTTTTTCCCAAAACCACATAAAGAGTTTTGCGTTTCCACTCTCCTCAGTTACCTATGACTATGTAACAAACTTCTTCATAACTTAGTGGTTTAGAATGACAACAATTCATTATGATGACTATGTGTATTGATTGTGCAGTTCTTTTGCTCTTTGCAGTGTTAGCTAGGCTCAGTTATGTGACTGCATTCAGTTAGTGCCTGGTCTAATATCTAAGGTTCATGAAGGCTTCTTTCTCATGACTGGGCCTTGATGTTGCTTATCACCTGGGGGGCATCAATTTTACTCCACGTGGGATCTTGCTGCATATGGCAGCTCGTTCTCTAGGGCCTTGCCACATGTCTTTTGTCTCCAGCATGACAGCTGAGAGTTTCTTACAGCATGGCAACTGGGTTCCAATGGAATAAAACAAACTACCACTGAAGTCCCAGGCCCAGAACTGGTACAGTGGAACTTCTGCTATATTATATTGGTCAAAGAAAGTCACAAACTAGCCTTGCTTCAAGAGAAGGGAAGCTAGACTCTAACACTTTATGAGAGTAACAGTATGCAAGTACAGAGAAAAGAATAATTTTCATGAACATAGTTGGAGACTATCTAACACAATTCACCCACTAGCCACAACAACTCACATCCCTTCCATATGCAAAGTGCATTCAATGTCATTTTCAACAATATCATACCACTGTAGCATTAGCTCAAAGTCGAGGGTCTCATCATCTAAAATTAGTTCAGATGAGGATGAAGATCCTTAGGTGCAGTTTGTTGATTGCAGCTGCTTAGGTATAGTTTCTCTCAAACAAGAAAACTGTAAATTAAAAATGCACGTTATCTGTCCCCCAACATGCAAAGGTGAGATAAGAATAGGAAAATTACAACAGACACATCCATCCAAAGGAGGGGATGGAAGGCACACAGTGGTCACTGGCCCATAGCAATTCTGAAATCCACCCAGCTACATTATGTCAGGACCCCATACTCTAGTAAACCTTACAGATTTTCTACTAATCAAATTATAATCTACTCCATTAAATGAAAGCTTCACCTATAATTATTTTCTTAACAGGCTTTCTCTAAACTGGGCCATGAGTCGAAGTGCTGTGGAACAATGGCTTTATGAATTTTTAAAGCCCCTTTGTCCAGCTGAAAGAGGATTTTTGAGGCACTGCACTAAATCATTCAGCCTCACTTTTGATTTGATCTTGATCCTGAGGCCACAGTTTACTGGTAGTATCCTGAATTTAATGTATTCCCCAAGTTTCCTTCAAACTAAAGTCTCTTAGCAATTGAAGAGACTGTCTTAAACTCTCTACATTTTCTCCAAATCCTTATCAAAAACTTTAACAGTTTTTTCATTAGCCTATCTTTCTTTTGCAATACATCATACAGGGCTAAGAGAAGTCAATTGGCATCTTCAACATTCTTTCTGAAAATTTAGCCAAATACATAAGTTCATTGGATTCCTTGCTACAGGCAAGAGTATTGCCAAATATTCTAACAGTGCATAACTGATTCTCCCTTTGCCAGTCTCCAACAGCATTTTCCTTACTGCTCTTCTACTCTCTAACCTCTGCCCAGTCTCAAAGCTAATGTCACATGTCTAAGTTTTTTTTTTTTTTTTTTTTTTTTTGGCAAGACCCCAGACCAGATACAAAGGTCTATCCTGTTACTTATTGATAGGTAACAAACCACCCTTAAACTTAGTGTATGAAACAACTGCTATTTACTGTTTCTTATGATTCTGCAGGTTGATTGGTGATACTTACGTTCCATTAATGTCAGCTGGAATCACTCATGTTATTGCATGGGCTGGGCTGGAAGGCACAAGATGGCTGCTCTTGCATTTCTGAGGTCTCAGTATTGACTGTCATTGAGGATTCAATTCTACCCAATATGTCTTCTCTCTATGTGGCAGCTTATCCTCCTCATTCTCTAGGGCCTTTCTACATATCCTCTTTCTCCAGCAGGCTAGCCTAGACTTTCTTATAGCATGACATCCGGGTCTCAAGAAAGCAAAGGTGAAATCTGTCCCTGAAGGTGTAGGCCTGGAACTCGGAAAGTCACTGGCTAGCCTACATTCAAGGGAGAGGGAAATAGACTAGTTTTTAATGGGAGAAGTGGGAGCAGCATGCATATGCATATGAATATCGAGGAATAATTGGCAATTGCTGGTAACCATATTTGGGGACTGTCTAGTACACATTCTTTAGCATGTAGCCAACAAAGAAGGATTTCAAATTTTCAAATTTCAAGTTCAACCTTTCAAAACGTCTGAACGTATAACCTAATGTTTTGCTTCCAGGTAGAAAGGGATCTGTTACATGCATATAAATGCCTTTAGGTAAATCTTACAATGTGCCTAAAATTATTCCTTGAGATTGAAGTTTTAAATACACAAAGCAAGGAGGTATGAAGGTTTGCATTTGACCTGGGAATGCAGTCAAAGTCTGGTTTTCAACTTGTGCTTTGGCTGCAGCCTTTGGAAGGCTAAATAGCCTCTTTCCTACTTTAACATCACATGAAAGATTGTGCAATTACCTAGGTTGCCATTATATATACTTAGTGTAATAACAATGGTAATACAAATAATAGTACAATAACAGTAAGGTTATTGGGATTTATAGTTAATTTCTTGATATTCACTTTCAAATATAGATAAGCATTTTGAGTGTAACATGAAGTTAAAATCTTGTTGTGTGCTTTATTTGTTGAAATTCTAACAGTCAATTGTAATATAAATGTGTATTTTTATTGCAGAAGTAAAATCCTATAATAATTAATGATGGCTGTGAAAGCCATTAATTTTTATGTATAGAACCATTATTAAGAATTTTCAGAGTTAAATGAATAAGGAAAAAGGTTGACAGTTATTATAAATATTATGAAAATGCATGAGGAAAATAACATTAGAAAGAACACATTTTCTTTTTTGTCTAATAATTATTTATACAATTTGAATAATAATAAGACTGAAAAAAGAGATTAGATTACATATTAATTCAAATTTAGCAGAATTGTTTGGTGTATGAACAATTATAACACCAAATAAAATAAACTTTTAAGAACTTAAAGTTTAAGAATTTAAAATATTGCTATTTACTTCCATTTAGGCAAAACATTTTTAAAAAGCCTTATTGATAATTCGTCACATCTTGGGAGTATGATTTAAAAGGTAAATGTCAATTTTGCCACCTCAAACTATCATAAGCAGAAAAAAAACTAAATGATAAACTATAAATTAACTTAACAAATAACTTTTGATCCTGATATAATAAAGGATGTAAAGAATACAAAGAATAAATGTTAGAGAAAAATGAGATATCTTTATCTCATTTTGTTCCTACCATCAAACTTCAAAATAAGAGACTTTAAAATCATACATTTGGGAAGACAATTCCTTATAGATTTAAGTTTTCAGAGCCTAAAACTTTAAAACAAAAATCCTATTTAAATTATCTCTATAGAGAGCCAATCTTTTTAAGGATTTAAGAGAAAGGATTCTTGAGTTCCCTCAATTTTAACATTTCTAAAATCCTAGGTACAAAGTTTCATCTAGAATATATTACTGAAAAAAAATCCTGAATTATATTCTGCTATCCACAAAAAGTCTAGAGATATTACTGAATATGTGACCTCTGTATCTTGTAAATTCGACAATTGATAATTTAGAAATGAGCAGAAGTTTCTTTAAAGTTTAACTACTTGGTGGATCAATATGAATTTAATTGTTTTTCTGCTTTACTTGCTTACCAAGGGATTTCTAGGTTTTACATAACCATTAACATACCACAGCTCGTTGATAAACTATAAAATGGAAAATTATTGAATAAAATTATAATTGTTTATATTGAAAGTTATACTGGGATCCACAATCATATAATGTCTCGTCCACTCTTTTTGGTTGTGCATTCAGAAAAAAAATTATAGTACAGCGGAAAGGTAGTGAGACACTTTCATCATTCTTCAGCAAGAAACAGACTTCATGTCATACAAGAGATTTTGGAATGTTATTTTATATAGAGATGCAAGCTATTTTAGAACTGCCTTACCATGTGTTTTACAAGATGTCCAAGCATGATGGAAGAAGCACTGCTACACACTTAAAAAGGCAGCTTAAATACAAGAAAGCTTTTATACCATATTTTGTAGATAATAATAGCATTGTAGAACTTAATAACAACTGATGATTGCATGTAGAGAAAGTCGTAAAGTTGCTTGAACGTGTTGAAAAAATAACATTGTGCCTGGAGAACGAAAGTGTTTCTTATATGATAGCTGATGGAAATACACTTCTATCATTCCTTTCCAGTCAAAATGCTAAGAGTGTTATCCAGGCGATGAAAGCTGAAATGCAGATGGAAATTCAGGGAAGATTTTGTCTTGAAGGCCAATAACTTAGTTTCAAAGCTAATTATTTTTCCCTATTCCAGACTGAAGATTTAGAAATATCATTTTCTCAAGTTCTTGTTTTAAGTAGCAAATGCATGAAAAGTATTAGAAATAAACAATATAATGGGAAATCAATTGTATTTTTGCTTCTGAAAATGTTCAGAAAGCTTCTTCTTTGAGCAGTGTATAAACATTTCCATTTGTGGAATTGCTATAATGCATTTGCATTATCACCATCAGCCAACCATCAAGACTAGGAGTTAAAAAGGAGATAAGTCTTTACCTTAGCAATTCACTATTAAAGAGGAAGGAAAACATAATAATTTGGTGGCAACATCACCATCAGTATCTTACACTGACAAAGCTATCTAAAAATTTTTCTGTTTCTCTACCAACTTCAGTAAAAAGCAGGAGACTATTTAATATAATGGGAACAAACCAGTGCTAAGCAAATTATTGTTCTTGCACTATATTAGCATATAAATATTGATATTATCATTATTAATAATTATATTGTTAATGAGTATACTATCATTGTCATTGCACTATATTGAACATTTAAAATCTAACCACTCAATTTTTAATGATAAAATTATAAATTTCCCCAAAAGGTAATATGATGATAGTGAGATATTCAGCTTTATATAAATGTTGATTTTAAAAGTTGACCATTTGATATTTTGCAAGATGTGTATTTGGGACATCTCTAGCAAAAAGCTAATCATGAAGATATGATGGGGCATGGAGCAGAGAACTTAAGTTACTTAGGCAGAGAATGATAAGTCAGGAACCCAAAAATCATTGAAAATAAGGGGGTAAACCAGAGTAAGATAGCAGCAAGGTCACTATATATATATATATATATGTACTACATGATGTTGAGTACCTGAACCATGCCACTAATTTTCCTAATCAACAGTCCTGTGGGCCTGAGTGGTTTCAGAGCCTGAATAGAATCCAACAAGTATTTCAGAGACAGTATCAGTTATCTATTTTTGCACAATAAACCATCCCAAAACGTAGTGACTTAAAGCAAAAATTACTTAATAGGTAAAACTCAAGATTCTGTGGGTCAACAATTTAGCCTAGGTCAGCTGGGCATCTCTGCTTTTGAAGGTCAGTTGGCTGGCTATTGGTTCAGGCATGTCAGCTCTCCCCTCTGTGTGGTCTCTCATCCTCCAGTAGTCGAGCTTGTGCTTGTTCACGTATTAGCTAATAGGAGTCCAAGAAAGAGTGGAAATATACAAAATCTCGAAACTGTCTCACTCTCATTTTCACCAAGTTCTACCAGCCCAGGAAAGTTCCAAAGCCAGTCCAGAGCAAAGGGTGGAGAATTAGATTTCTCCACTCAGTGATAGGAGCTACAAAGTCACATTAAAAAGGACCTGGACACAGGGAGGGGTAAAGCATTGTAGTCATTTTTGTATTTAATCTACCACAAGTTCATTGGCTCCAAATGTGGGGACTAGAGGGATTTGGGATCAGAGATGGCCAGGTAGCTCTGTGTAAGATAGCAATATTTAAATAGATTTCTTCACATGGTAGCTGGAATTCATTTTGGGCCAAAAAATACTTTCAAATCATTATTTAGTTGATGCCTTTAATTATGAAATCGTCTTACTCATGCTTTTGAAACTCCTCTCTGGTAATTAGTTTATTTCAACATCACAAGTGCTACACTGAGCATATGTTGTTATACTTATTTTCCCTTTTTAGGAACAGAAACAGAGCAGTGGCCCTCAAAGTTTGCATTAGAATCACTTTGAGGTCCGATATTACAGGCGGCTCGCGCCTGTAATCCTAGCAGTTTGGGAGGCCGAGGCAGGAGGATCACCTGAGGTCAGGAGTTTGAGACCAACCTGGCCAACATGGAAACCTCGTCTCTACTAAAAATACAAAAATTAGCCGGGCGTGGTGGTGGGCGCCTGTAATCCCAGCTACTCGAGAGGCTGAGACAGAATTGCTTGAACCCAGGAGGTGGAGGTTGAAGTGAGCAGAGATCGTGCCACTGCACTTCAGCCTGGGTGACAGAGCTAGACTCCGTCTCATAAAAAAAAAAAAAAAAATCACTTTGAGAGGCTGTTAACTGGGTTATACCCCAGACCGGTTGTACTAAGATTTTGAATTGCAAGCAATAGAAATTGACCTTTGATAATTTAAGCAAATAGCAAGAGTATTGGCAAGTCAACAGTCATTCACAGAATCACCAGGAAGACAAGAATGGGACACAGAAAATGAGCACTGGTGAGGGAGGCTAAGGAAGTGTCTGGTGAGGACACTACTATAGCCACCGCCAAACGCTGTACTCAGTAGCCAGCACCACCGCTACTAGAAATTTCAAACACTGGGCAGTACCACTGACCCCTCCCTATTGCCACAGCTGTTCTGGAGACTGACTGCTGTTGCCATTGCCAGACAATGCCAAAAAATTTAGTTTTCCATTACATTGGCTTCTTTGTGTCACTTGCTCCAGATTCAACATCTCAAGCAGGAGCATCTGATTGGTAGAGTCCTAACTGCAAAGGAAACTTGGAAAATGAGCATATTCCCTTTTCAGCTTACGTTCTAGAAGTAAGCTCTTCCAGCATTTAAGAGGGTCTGCTCTGCTCTTTTCTAACACTGTGTGCTAGGGAATTGCTCAAACATAGAAGAATGGTTCAGATCCTGGACAGTAAAAAAATCATCAGTGACTAATGTCCACTCTACTCTTAGTAAAAATCTTGGTTGGAAAATGAAGCACACCTTATGTGTACTTGCTCTTATTACCTCAGCTCTCACCTTCACACATCATCAAAGGCTATTTTACTGCAAAAACCATGGTTCTACCTAAAACTGTTTGTTCTGACAAAACTGTTTGTTTGGTCATGGAAGTGCTTGGCCTGCCCAACAGCAAGCCAGAAGTGCCATAGAGTTTATGGGCTTGCAAGCAGCCCTTCACCCGAGAATGGATGAGTTGGTAGCTCAATACTGCAACTTCCTCACACCTCAGCTGTGATAATTCTGAGGCATGTTCTTATACTAGCCACTGGAGTCCCTGAGGGAGATTGAGGTCCAGTTTCCCACAGTGGTAACTACCCTGATTCAACCCCATAATGGCTTTCTTCCTTTCTCTGTCTTACTTGCACACTCCTCTACCAATGCTTCCTGAGATGACATCCCAAATGTAACACTGGAACTTGAAATTTTGTCTTAGGTTCAGTTTCTGGGGAAATCCAATTTAAATGGTGGATACTTAGGTATTCAAATGATTTAAAAAATGATTTATGTGATCCCAAATGTGTTTACTACCAAAAGTTTGAGGATCAGTTGCAGTGACAAATGGAAAAGATTGCCCAAGATCTCATTAATGGTATGGGTTCTACACACAACCTTAAATCCATGTCTTTTCTTCTGGTTCTTGGGTCAGTTCTCTCCCCATTAAATTGCACTAATAGCAATAAAGGAAAGACTTCTATTTCCAGATGACTTTATGTGAGGCGAGCTTTGTGAAACAGCCAATATAATCACGCCCAGATTTCAAGGAATAGATAATGTCACTAGTGACTTATTCTTTTTAAAAATATAACAATAGTCTTTCCTTTGTCTCCTGTTAATGTTTCTGCCTTTGCAAATTCTTTGCCTATAATTCACTTCCAATATTGTTGTTTTGATTGACAATTTTATTTCCATTTTTGAAAAGTTAAAAGAGACAAATGCAAAATGGAATACCCATCAAAGAATGAGCCTTTATTTTAAAAAACAGAACATTTGCATGATAATGTTCAAAAAGAGAAATGCACTTGTTATTGTTGTAACCTACTGCTAATAACTTGTCTTTGTAAATGGTATTATGCAACAATATTTTTGAGGGGGAAACAAAGCCAAAATGAAATACATACTGATGGCCTACAATGATATACAGAGTACTAAAATAATAATAAACCTTTAATAAATAAAATTGAAATGAAAAATATGAGAAAAAAATAACTAACTTCGGATGTATCCTGAAAGTATCAAGAGAATATGTTTAGGGTTGTTCTTTTTGCACATCAGCTGAATAGGGAAAGTGAACTAAAATCTTCAACAGGAATGAATGACTCAATCGTTTGGCTTAGTTATTTCTATTAGACTATTTTTTTCTTCAGATATTTTAACCAACTGCCCAGGGATTTTCACTCATTTGAACCATGTCCTCAATTGTCTGTCTAAGGGTTTTCTTTTTTTTTTTGCAAATGTTTTACAGCACTAGGATATACATTTCCCATCTTTTGTGGGTTTGTAACCAGTGCCAGGACTTACCAATAATTTGATCTTTGGCCATAATCATATAATTTCTCAGAACTTTGGGTTTTGTCTTTAAAATGATCACGTATGTGATAGTTTTCATTTCACAAAGAAAATGTGCAAACCAATGAAATAATATCTGTGCAAACCCTTCATAATGTACCATATACATATAAGCATTATTGTTTGATTATGGATTAGCATTTTTCCCTGGCTGAAGTATCAAATGCATAGTTAGATTTTAGACTATGGGGTTTGATAGTCCTGGGGAAAATCTTGATTCTTCTAATAGTTATGTGATCTTAGGAAAATTCTTTAACATCCCTTAGCCTCAGTGTCCTCATCTGGAAAGTGGAGGTGATAATGCTATTCTGGGAACATAGTAAGTGTTCAAATAGCAGAGGATATTAGTGATGATTATGATGACGATGATCTGCCATAATTTGGGACATATTCTGCCTTTAATTTGGGACTTTTTTCTCCATAAGGGATTTTTTCTGCCTTTGTCTACCTTCACTCTTTACTATTTCTCAGATCATTTTTCTTAGGTAATTATATTCAAAATCCTATAACAACATTCAGGGACCAAAGTATCCACCTAAAGACCTTCTATAGACCATTAGCTTAATATATTAGCATTGGCCATCACTTTGTACTTCTACAAGGGTATATAAAATAGTGATGCCCCCTATTCTCAAAGTTCTCTGTTAGTTCATTATTATCAGATGCATCGGTCAGACTGGCTACAACACTTTTGAGTTTGCGGGTGGCTTATTATAAAAAACTACCCTAAAACTTAGAAATCTACATTCCACTGACATGGCTCTGCTCCAATTGTCTTTTATCCTCTCTGTACCAGTGGGTTAATTGGGGGCAGATAATTCTTATAGCAATGATAATGTGCAGGAAATCAAGTGGAAATATGTATGGTATCTTAAGGTCTAAGCTCAGATCCATCATGATTGCCCCCCATTACACTGGCCAAAGCAAGTCACATAGTTAAGTCCAAAGTTAAGTGGGAAAAGGAAACATAGTCTATTTCTTTAGTAGGAGCTATATTAAAATCACGTGGCAAAGAAATTGGATACAGTGAAGGGTGAAGAATCAGGGCCAGTAATGGAAATCAACCATAGTAATAAAAGACTAAACTAAAATCCTTGAGAAAAGAGTTCGAGCCTTACACACCAAGGAATCAGTGTTCCTAAACCAATGCAATGTTTCATTGCCTCGTGCAATGATTCATTGGTTCATTCAAAAACATTGCAATAGAGCTAAGAATATGAAGCCTTGATGAAAGACACCTCCCTCCATATAAACAAAATCAGTGAAGAGTTATAGGGATTATAATCACAGCCTATATAGGTTATAGTAGGGCTAAAAAAGAGGAAGTGGTAGGCACATGTAATAGATACCAAATAGGTAGTGAATGAATGAATGAAGGAAGAAATGCCTATTCATGCTGCTAAGTTTTAAGAAAATAGTTGTGGAGATATTAGGCAAGCAGGAATACCCAGGCAATGCAGGAAAGGGTAGTAATAACTATTCATCATCTTTTTACCATTTCATAAGGGACCTGAAATTCCTTTCCGTATATGGAAAATCCTTACACATGAAGCTTGCCACTGAGTTTTCCTAACACTATAGAAGCAAATACCAGGTATTCGCTTTCCCAGCCTCCTTTGCTGCTGGAGTGTGGTCACATCCTTTCCAATCAGTTGCACCCTCTCTGGACTCTGCAATTAATAAACAAAGAAGCAAGACCTATTGGAAATTTATCCATGTGCAGACAATACTACTCTATTTTCCAGGAGTAGCAATGGCCATAACTTCAAGCTATAATATAGTGGCCAGCATTGGTGGTGTTGGCTATGCAATCCATTGTGTCTGTGTATAGTGACAGCAATAACTATATCTTCAGGAGGGTAGTTATGAAATGTTATTTTGGTCATTAATCATTACTTCAAACTTGGTTCTCTGGCTCTCCTGGAAAATTCTAGTATTGTTTAAATAAGTTCCTTTTCTGCCTCAATTAGTCAGAATTTGTTTTTATTCTTGCAGCCAAAACGGACCTATCAGAGGGCTTGACCACAAATTGAGGGAAAAGTCAAAGCCAGTAATCAGGCAAAGTAAGATAATAAATGAAATTAAGCTGAGCTATTAAAATCTCTGGCAAGTGATGAGTGAGCTGGAAGAATCCTAACAACCAATGGCAGAAGTTCTTGTCAGTCCTCAGCTTCTATCACAACCAATAACTTGTATCAGTGTTTGGCAGCCTTGCCTGCACTTTGAATTACCTGAGGACTTTTTTAAAATCCCAAAGCCCAGGTCACACCCCATATCACTTATATTAGAATCTTAGATAAAAGTATTTTTAAAAGTTCTCCAGGTGGGTAAATATTCAGCCAAAATGTAACCAAGGCTGAGATAGGATTTGAGGAAGCTAGAACCTTAGATAGAAAATGAAACAGGTACGCCTGACTGGAATAAGGAATTAAAAAAAGAAATCAGAAGTGAAAATGATACAGAATAAAAACACTGACTTGTATGCACTGGATTACATATATGTATATTGAATTTAATACAAATTACTGACCTTACCACATCTCACCACTTTTAATTCTACAACGTTTGTCCAAACCACTTTTCTCTCTAAATCCATCTCCTACCTTAGCTCAGACCCTCATCAAATGTTTCATGGCCTATTGCTACCACCTTCCTGTTGGCTTTCCTGCCTCAATTCATTCTGACCTCCAACTCATTTAACACAAAGCTACCAGAATAGAACAATCTTTCTGAAAGGCAAATCTGGTTGTATTACTAACATAATTCAATGGATCCCCACATACTATCATATAAAATCCCAACTTTTTGGCATGGTCTAAAAGCCTTCATCTTCTGTCCCTGCTTAATTTACCAGCCTCATCCTTGCCTCATTTTGAGTCTCCAGCCATTTTCTGAACACTCATCTGTTCCGAAAGGCATCATCACCTTCTACATCTTCATGCCTCTTTGCTGATGCAATTATTCTTTCTTTGAATCAGGTGTAAATGTTTGTAAGACTATGATTTGTATGTTAATAGTTTACTACTTTGATATTTTGATTCATGTAATAGTATTCACTAAAAAGATTGGAAGATTCTAGTATGCAGAGACCCCACTTTCTAATCTATAAAATATTTTCTGATGATTCTGATATAGTCAATAATATGAATCTCATGGTGAATGAAAATGGTACCATAGATGTTGCATGTTTAAAAAAAGGGGTAAGGATGAGGAAAAATTGCCTATTTTTTTGCATATCAGAAAAAGCATAAATGAGCCTTTCAGCAATAGGGAAAATGAGTTAACTTTTGAAGTCGTAATTATTATACTATTCAGTTATTGCCACAAAATACAGAATGGATGATCTTTTATGTCTCCTGAGATAGGTTATTTCACCATTGTGGTTATCCCCCTCTTTTTAAATTTTTAAACACTAAAATAATGCTGTAGCTCAAGTGTTTCATTATGTTAAATCTTAAAAGACCAAGTTTAAATACTTCATCCAGTGAGTAAGAGATTCATATGAGGAGACCATAATAATTATCTAATTTGGAGCGGTATTTTCCAGCTTAAAAGATCCACAGATGTGGCAATTTTTCTTCATTTCAGATGTTTGTCTTTACCTATGCAATCTTCATTGTCACTTCAATTTGCCTTCAAAGGAAATTTTGAATGGTTATATATAGTAATATAAAATTATGTATTAGAATAATTAAAAGAGCTTATGCATGTATGGAATAGAAAATTATCATTCTGCATTATTAAAAGTGTCTAACTTTTAAATATTTGAATGCCATCTTTGTAGAAATTTACTTGCCTAGAACTTTAAGTCCATTGCTGTGATTACCATGTAGGTTAGAATGACAAACGCTGACAAGAAGATGCAGTACCTCAACTGTCTCTGGTTTGCCAACTGTACTGTCTCTACCCTTGGGGTATTACTGTAATTCCGACCTCAGACATTTTTGTTTTGAAGAAAAGGCTTCTCATTTTATAGTGCTATTGTCAGGTGTTAGAAGACCAAGCCATAGGTTCAGTTAAAACTCAGCAAATTAAGCAATTACTAATGCCAGATAAGATTGGGAGGGTGGAGTTTGACAAGGAATTAGTTGTATGTGAAAGGAAATGTAGTCATCACATATTTCTTGGTTCAGGTGTGAATATTCTTTACAATATTATAATAATGTGAAAAATACAGAATATAAATTTAACTGAAAATTGTGATGTAACTATCATGTAAGCAGGAGAGGACACAATGCGTAATGTGGAAGAACTAAAACCCTCATGAATTTTACAAGGAAGTCAATACCCGTATGAGATCTCTGTTGCTGCCATAACAAATTTACCACAAACATAGTAGCTTAAAACAACACAAATTTACTATCTTTCAGTTCTGAGGTCAGAAGTCCAGTATGGGTCTCATGAACTAAAATTTAGGTATTGGATGGCTGCATTTCTTTCTGGAAGCTCTAGGGAAGAATCCATTTTTTATTCATTCTGGTTGTTGGCAGAATTCAGTTTCTTGTGGTTGTAGAACCAAAGTCTCTGTTTTCTTTTTTCTGGGTTTTTTTTTTTTTTTTTTTTTTTTTTTTTTTTTTTTTTGAGATAGGATCTCTCTCTGTTGCCCAGGCTGGAGTACAATGGCTCAATCAAAGCTCACTGCAGCCTTGAACTCCTGGGCTCAAGCAGTCTCCCACGTCAGCCTTCCAAGTAGCTAGGACTACAGGTGCACATCACCATGCCTGGCCAATTTTTTATTTTTTGTAGAGATGGGGGTCTCACTAGTTGCCCAGGCTGGCCTTGAAATCCTGGACTCAAGTGATCTTCCCACCTTTGCCTCTTAAAGTACTGAGATAACAGGGTATGAACCACCATGTCTGGCTGGTTCCTGGTTTTCTTGCTGGCTGTAGGCTGAGGCCTGCTGCAAGCTTCTAGAGGTCATCATATTCCTTGGCTCATGGCTCTCTTTTTCTATATTCAAAGACAGCAATTGTGAGGGTTGTGTGGGGGGAGGGAGTCCTTCTTATGTCCTATCTTTCTCATATTCTCTCTGTCTTTTACGCTTTTAAGGACTCACATAATTAGATTAAGCCCACCCAGATAATTCAGAATAATCTTCCCATTTCAAGATCTTTAACCTTAATCTGCAAAGTCCTTTTTGCCATTGAAGGTAACAATCACAGGTGCCAGGGAATAGGACATGAACATATTTCTAAGTCCATTATTTGCCTACCACAATATCTAATGACTAACAAAGACGCATTTTAAAAATTATATCCATATTATTTCTAAAAAAGAAACAGCCAAAAAAGAGGGTGCTTCTAGAAAATGTCAGTGCCTGTGTGTGTTCATGGGTTGGGGGAGAAAAGTTCAAATAAGGTGGTATTATTTTTTTGTTAGAAGCCTCTAAATACTACTTGACATTTAAAACTATGTGCAAATACTTCTTCAATAAAAATGAAATGTAATTATAAAAGAAAGGGAAAGCTTTTCAAGTATTGTTTTTGAAAAAAAAGCAAATTGGGTTTGCAAAGAAGGATAGTGTTTGGGAGGAAATAATGACTCAATTGTATATAATGGCCTAGTTGAAATTCAGAAAAGTACGATTCTATTTTTTTTTTTGTTTTTTGCTACAGATTATAGGAAAAAATCTGTTTCCTAGTTGTCAGATTTTTTTATTGTTAGCATTTTTTAAACTTTTATTTACATTCAGGGGTACTTGTGCACGATTGTTATATAGGTAAATTACATGCCATGGGAGTTTGGTGTACAGATTATTTCATTACCCAGGAAATAAGCATAGTACCTGATAGGTGGTTTTTTGACCCTCACCCTCCTCCTACTCTCCACCCTCAACTAGGCCCCGGTGTCTGTTGTTTCCTTCCTTGTGTTCATGTATACTCAATGTTTAGATCCCACTTACAAGTGAGAACATGTGGTATTTGCTTTTCTGTTCTTGTGTTAATTTGCTTAGGATAATGGCCTCCATTCATGTTGCTGCAAAGGACATAATCTCATTATTTTTTATGGCTCCATAGCATTCCGTGGTGCATATATACCACATTTTCTTTATTCATTCTACCATTGATGGGCATCTACATTGATTCCATGTCTTTGCTATTGTGAATTGTGCTGCAATGAACATACACATGCATGTGTCTTTATGATAGAACCATTTATATTCCTTTGGGTATATGTCCAGTCATGGGATGTACAAATGATAGTTCTGCTTTTAGCTGTTTGAGCAATAGCCACACTGTTTTCCACAATGGTTCAACTAATTTCGACTCCCAACAACAATGTATAAGCATTCCTTTTTCTCTGCAACCTCATCAGCATCTGTTATTTTTTGACTTTTTCATAATAGCCATTCTGACTTATGTGAGATGGTATCTCATTGTGGTTTTGATTTGCACTTCTCTAATGATCAGTGATGTTGAGCTTTTCTTCATATGCTTGTAGACTGCATGCATGTCTTCTTTTGAAAAGTGTCTGTTCATATTCTTTGCCCACTTTTTAATGGGGTTGTTGGGTTTTTTTTCTTGTAAATTTGTTTAAGAACTTTATAGACTCTGGACATTAGACTTTTGTCAGATGCATAGTTTGCAAAACTTTTCTCCCATTCTACAGGTTGTCTGTTTACTCTGTTGGTAGTTTCTTCGGCTGTGCAGAAACTCTTTAATGTAATTAGATCTCATTTGTCAATCTTTGCTTTTGTTGCAATTGCTTTTGGCATCTTTGTAATGAAATCTTTGCCTGTTCCTATGTCCAGAATTGTATTGCCTAGGTTGTTTTCCAGGGTTTTTATAGTTCTGGGTTTTACATTTAATCCATTTAGTATTTAATCCATCATGAGTTAATTTTTGTATGTGGTGTAACGAAGCGGTCCAGTTTCAATCTTCTGCATACAGCTAGCCAGTTTTCCCATCACCAATTATTGAATAGGGGGTCCTTTCCCCATTGCTTATTATTGTCAGCTTTGTTAAAGATCACATAGTTGTAGGTGTGAGGCTTTATTTCTGAGTTCTCTCATCAGTTCCATTAGTTTATGTATCTGCTTTTGTACCAGTACTATGTTGTTTTAGTTACTGTAGCCTTGTAGTATAATTTGAAGTCAGGTAATGTGATGCCTCCAGCTTTGCTCTTTTTGCATAGAATTGCATTGACTACTAAGGCTCTTTTTAGGTTCCAAATTAACTTTAGAATGCTTTAATTATGTGAAAAATGTCATTGGTGGTTTGATAGAAATAGCATTGAATCTATAAATTGCTTTGGGAAGTATGGCTATTTTAAACAATATTGACTTTTTCCTATCCATGAGCATGGAATGCTTTTCCATTCATTTGTGACATCTCTGATTTCTTTCAGCAGTATTTCATAATTCATTTTGTAGAGATATTTCCCCTCCCTGGTTAGCCATATTGCTAGGTCTTTTATTCTTTTTCTGGCTACTGTAAATGGAATTGTTTTCTTGACTTGGCCCTAAGCTTGGATAATGTTGGTGTATAAAAATCCTACTGATTTTTGTACATTGATTTTTTTATTCTGAAACTGTGCTGAAGTTATCAGATTTAGGAGGTTTTGGCAAAGACTATGGTGTTTTCTAGATATAGAATCATATCAACTGCAAACAGAGACAGTATAACTTCCTTTCTTCATATAGGGATATCTTTTTGTTTTCTCTTGCCTGATTGCTCTGGTTAGGACTTCCAGTACTATGTTGAATAGGAGTCCTGTGAGTGGGCATCCTTATCTTGTTCCTGTTCTCAAGGGGAATGCTTCCAGCTTTTGCCCATTCATTATGATGTTGGTTGTGGGTTTGTCATAAGTGGCTCTTATTATTTTGAGGTATGTTCCTTCAATGGTTAGTTTGTTGAGGGTTTTTAATATGAAGTGATGTTGAATTTTATTAAAAGCCTTTTCTGTATCTATTGAGATAATCATGTGGTTTTGTTTTTAGTTCTGTTTATGTGGTGAATGACATTTACTGATTTGTGTATGTTGAACCAACCTTGCATCCCAGGGATGAAGCCTACTTGATTGTGGTGGATTCGCTTTTTGATGTGTTGCTGGATTCTGGTTGCTGGTATTTTGTTGAGGATTTTTGCATCAATGTTCGTCAAGGATATTGGCCTGAAGTTTTCTTTTCTTTATGTGTCTCTGCCATGTTTTGGTATCAGGATGATGCTGGAATCATAGAATGAGTTAGTGAGGAGTTTCTCCTGCTCAATTTTTTGGAACAGCTTCAGGAGAAATGGTTCCAGCTCTTCTTTATGCACCTGGTAGAATTCAGCTATGAATCCATGTAATCCTGGGATTTTTCTGGTTGGTAGGCTTTCTATTACTGATGAAATTTCAGAATTTGTTATTGGTCTGTTCAAGGCTTCAATTTCTTCCTGGTTCAATCTTAGGAAGTTGTGTGTTTCCAGGAATTTATGCCTTTCTTCTCAGTTTTCTAGCTTGTGTGCATAGAGGTGTTCATAGTAGTCTCCAGGGCTTTATCTATTTCTGCAGAGTCAGTGGGAATGTCCCCTTTGTCATTTCTGACTGTGATTGTTCCAATAATCCCTCTTTTTTCTTTATTAGTCTAGATAGCAGTCTATAAGTCTTATTTATTCTTTCACAAAACCAACTCCTATAGTCATTGATCTTTTGTATGGTTTTTCACATCTCAATTTCCTTCAGTTCAGCTCTGATTTTGGTTATCTCTTGTCTTCTTCTAGCTTTGGGGTTGGTGTGTTCTTGTTTTTCTACTTCTTCTAGGTGTAACGTCAGTTTCTTAATTTGGGTTCTTTCTAACTTTTTAATGTGGGCATTTAGCACTATAAACTTCCCTCTGTACATTGCTTTAGCTGTATCCCAGAGATTCTGATATATTTTGTTTTTGTTCTCGTTAGTTTCAAATAATTTATTGATTTCTGCCTTAATTTCATTGTTTACTTAAAAGTTATTTAAGAGCAGGTTGTTTAATTTCCATGTATTTACATGGTTTTGGGGTGATTTTCTTAGTATTGATTTCTATTTTTATTGCACTGTGATCTGAGAGTGTGGTTGGTATGATTTTGGTTTTTTTGAATATGCTGAGAGTTGATTTGTGGCCGATTGTGCAGTTGATTTTAGATTATGTGATGTGTGCAGATGAGAAGAATGTATACTCTGTTGTTTTTGGGGTGAGGGGGTCGGTAGATGTCTGTTAGGTCCATTTGGTCAAGAATCAAGTTCAGGTCCTGAATATCATTGTCAGTTTTCTGCCTTGATGATGTGTCTTACACTGTGTTGAAGTTTCCCACCATTATTGTGTGGTTATAAGTCTCTTCATAGGTCTCTAATAACTTGCTTTATGAATATGAGTGCTCCTGTGTTGGGTGCATATATACTTAGGAGATTTAAGTCCTCACATCGAATTAAATTCTTTACCATTATGTAATGACTTTCTTTGTGTTCACAAAATCATTTTGGTTTTGGTTTAAAGTCTGTTTTGTCTGAAGTTAGAATAGCACCCTCTGCTTTCTTCTGTTTTTTTTTTTTTTGTTGTTGTTGTTGTTTGTGTGTTTGCTTGGTAGATTTTTCTCTGTCCTTTTACTTTGTGGCTATGTGTGTCATTGCATGTGAGATGGGTCTCTTGAAGACAGCATGTATTTGGGTCTTGCTTCTTTATTCAACTTGCCACTCTATGCCTTTTAATTGGTGCATTTACTCTATTTACATTCAAGGTTAATATTGATATGTGCATATTTGATCCTTTCATCATGTTGTTAGCTAGTTATTATGCAGACCTGATTATGTTGTTGCTTTATAGTGTCAAGTGTCTATGTATTTGAGTTTGTTTTTGTGGTGGCCAGTAGTGGTCTTTTCTTTCTATACTTAGTAATCCCTTAAGGATCTCTTGTAAGGCAGATCTGGTGGTAATGAATTCCCTTAGTGTTTACTTGTCTGAAAAGGATCTTATTTCTCCTTTGCTTATAAAGCTTAGTTTGGCTGGATATGAAATTATTGGTTGAAATTTCTTTTCTTTGATAATGCTGAGTATAGGCCATCAATCTCTTAAGGCTTGTAGAGTTTCTGCTGAAAGGTTTGCTGTTAGCCTGGTGGGGTTCCCCTTGTAGGTGACCGCACTTTCTTTCCAGCTATCCTTAATATATATTTTTTCATTTCAACCTTGAAGAATCTGATGATTATGTGTCTTGGGGATAGTTGTCTTGTGTAGTATCTTACAGGGGTTCTCTGCATTTCCTGAATTTGAATGTTGGCTTATCTACTAAGTTTGGGGGAATTTTCATGGACTGTATACTCAAATATATTTTCCAAGTTGCTTGCTTTCTCTCCCTCTCTTTCAGTGATGCCAGCGAGTCATAGATTTAGTCTCTTTATATTATCCCATATTTCTCAGAGGTTTTGTTCATTCTTTATTTTTTTTTCTTTATTTTTGTCGAGTTAGTTATTTTGGAGAACTAGTCTTTGTGCTCTGAGATTCTTTCCTCCTCTTGGTCAATTCTGCTGTTAATACTTGTGATTGTATTATCAAATTCTTGAAGTGAGTTTTTCAGCTCTAGTACATCAGTTTGGTTCTTAAAATGGCCATTTTGTCTTTCAACTCCTGTATCATTTTTGTTGTATTCCTTAGATTCCTTGGATTGGGTTTCAACTTTCTCCTGAGTCTCAATGATCTTTATTCCTATCCATATGCTGAATTCTATTTCTGTCATTTCAACCATTTCAGCCTGGTTAAAAACCATTGCTGGGGAACTGGTGTGGTTGTTTGGAGGAAGGAAGATACTGGTTTTTGAGTTGCCAGAGATCTTGTGCTAGTTCGTTCTCATTTGTGTGGGTTGATGTTCCCTCAGTCTTTGATGTTGCTGTCTTTTGCTTTTATCTTCTTTGATGTCGTTGGGGGTTTGATTTTGGTATGAGGTGAGTTCAGTCAACTGGCTTCATTTCTAGGAGATTTTAGGGGGCGACAGCTCAGCTTAGAACTCCTAGGCTGCATCTGCTAACTCTCAGGGGCTGGTATCGGGTCTCTTAAGGTTAGGAACCTGCTTTACTTTAGGGGCCGAGGTGTTTCTGGTCCACTGGCCACAATATTCCAGTGGGCAGTGCTGGCCAAACTGCTTCACTGGGGCAGTGGCAGTGGTATCTGTGCTTGCTTGCTCATGCCAGCCACTGTGGCAATGTGACAAGGTGCATATGTCTCAGCTGGGGCAGAGTACCAGTGGGAGCAGGGCTACAGTATTCTTGCTTGTGCCTGCAGTGGTCGGGGAGGGTCTGCTGGCATCTGTGCACACACTGACACTAGCGGTAGTAGGAGGGAATAGTAAGGTTGCTGGCATCCCTGCATGTGTTTGTGCCAGCAATGGCAACTTGGCCAGGTGACTGCATATTAGTGGGGAAATGCAGTGGGGTGCTGTTGTGCCAGCAGCAGTGGCATGGTGGGGTACACATGTACACGCAAGCTGGTGGGGGAAGGGAGGTGAAGTCTACCCATGCATGTGCATCAGTAAAGTGGTGGTGGGGTGGTCACAGGCAAGTATGTGCTGGCAAAACAGGATGGGGAGCCTGCAGGGGTTGGGGGGTGGGTTGGTGTGCATTGGCAGGGTCTAGTCTGCTGAAGCTCTCCAATGGCCAGCTGTGGCCTGCTGGCAAAGGAGCTATGATGAAGGCCCCTGGGAAGCAATCTGTTTGGGCATCCAAGGCTGCGTTGCAAGCAGATGTGGCCAGGCTACGGCCCTGGGAGATGCCAGAAGACAGGGAGGTGCTCAGATCTGATTGGCTGTATTTCACAGGCAAGATCATACTGCTGTGTCCAGGCCTGACAGTTGTTGTAAGGCTGAAGTCTCCTAGAGGAGCATGGTGAGCCTTGAGGGATGGGCATCCCTGGCTGTGCTCCACTGTAGATATTCACACATCAAATCTTCTGGGTTAAGCACAGCCTGTAGTACTGGTACTACCACCTCTCTAAACAGCTCTCCCTGACAGCTCAAGTGTCTGTGGGGGGGATGCAGGGTCTGTTGCTGCCAAGATTCTGGAGATTTGTGGCGAGAGTGGGCCACTCCTCATTGTTCAACTCACCCCTTCTCCAGGATTTGCTGGGGGCCAAGAACAAGTCCCAGTGCCTTGTAATCCAATGCAAGGTTCCCAGCTTCCTCCTCCTTCAGCGCAGCATCTGATTCTCCCTCCATCCACTCTCAATGCCATCTCTCTGATGATTTGCTGAGAGTGTGTCAGTCTTCTTGATGTCCTGGTCTCTTGGGAGACGTTTCTCCTGGCTGCATCTATTTGGCTATCTCGGCTCCACGTTTTTATGTTTTTAAACTTATTTAGTCACACTTATAAGTAAAA
Organism: Homo sapiens; assembly: GCF_000001405.40. NCBI lineage: Eukaryota > Metazoa > Chordata > Mammalia > Primates > Hominidae > Homo > Homo sapiens. Next base: position 20,906,418 of record NC_000023.11, read on the forward strand.
TTGGGTGCTTGTGCCTAGATGCTATAACCTAAGGTGTTGGGTTGCAAGGGGGTGCAATTCTTCACTCCCTTGTTATCCTCACAATGAGATTTTGCAGCTCTTTCTATTAATAGATGGAGTCTGTTTCCCCTCTTTCTGAATCTGAGCTGCCCTTGGGACTTGCTTTGGTGACTATTATGAAGTAAAAATGACATTGTGTCAGTTCTGAGCCAGGGCTACAAATGTTCATGCTTCTGCCCTCCCTCTTGGACTTTAGCCTGTGTCATGAGAAGAAGCCTGGGAAACCCTGCTGGAAGATGAGACACCATGTAGAACAGAGACAAGTCATGGCAGCTCAGGCCATCCTAGACCAGACTTCCTCTGACTACCTAGGCAGCTGACCACAGACACTTGAGTAAGCCCAGCCAAGTCCAGAAGTATTGCTCAGCTGAGCCCAGCCCAAACTGCCAATTGTGAACTGAATAAATGGTTATTGCTCTAAGTCATTTTGTTTTAGGGTGGTTTTTTATACAGCAAAAGCTAACCAATTTGCCAAAATACCACCATACTACAATTACAAGCCATGCATTTATGTGAAAATAAAGAGATTTTAGTTTGAGAATTCAAATTTATGAAGCATAAGTCCCACTTTTCCTCTTGGAATGTTCTGCTTTTAATACTTTATTTGTGGTAGCATTCTATTAAGAGTTTCTAGAAAAATTTTATATTATTTGACTTCCTATTTTGAAAATTTATATTCAAGAAATAAAGATTAAGAAAAATAAGATTAAGATTGCCCTAGTGTATACCACAGTATTATGAGGGCAGTAGAATTTTGAGAAATTTGAGAAATGTTTGATTATTTCTGTAGCTACATAAAGTAGCATGTCCCAGTTCAAAGAGAAAAGACTCTCCCTTGTGATATGAGGAAGAGTTAAAAATAGAAAACAGAAGGGTTCTTCTGGGGCTTTTAGTAGTACGTTTTGGATAATAAAATTACTACATGCCTAGAACACGATAGGAACAATAAAACAGTCACTTATAATCCTGTTTCCCAGAGGTAGTTAACATTTTAGCACATTTCTTTCCATGTTTTAAATATAATTATGAATGGTTTTTAATCTTTTATAATGTTTTATATGCTGTTTTTCTTTTCTTTTAAAATGCATGTTTAATAGTTTCCCATTAAAATTTTTCTGTAAAATAATTTTTATTGCTATACAATATTCTATTCTGTGCATATATTACTATTGACTTTAGGTTATATTCCAATAAAATAATGTGTAATTAAATTATCTTTCATAGGAAGTTGATATAAATAATATGGCAAACATTTCTGTGTATAAATCTCTGTATATGCTTATGTTTCTAGGTATTTTCTTAGGACATATGCCCAGGAGTAGAATTATCAGGTAAAACGGCATTAATTTGTAGTGGTGCGATCTCGGCTTACTGCAACCTCCACCTCAGCAATTCTTCTGCCTCAGCCTCCCGAGTAGCTTGGACTACAGGCATGTGCCACCACGCCCTGCTAATTTTTTGTATTTTTTTTAGTAGAGACGGGGTTTCACTGTGTTAGCCAGAATGGTTTTGATCTCCTGACCTCATGATCCACCTGCCTCGGCCTCCCAAAGTGCTGGGATTACAGGCATGAGCCACTGTGCCCGGCCCATGGGCATTAATATTTTTAAGGCTCTTGAAATATGTCAAATTGTCCCTAAAAATGATGGCCTCAATTTCCATTTCTGACTTAAGTGAATGAGAGAGAGTCTTTCAATGCGCCTTCACTAGGTGCATTGCCTAGAACACGATAGAGAACAATAAAACAGTCACTTATAATCCTGTTTCCCAGAGGTAGTTAACATTTTAGCACATTTCTTTCCATGTTTTAAATATAATTATGCATGGATTAAGTATATGCTTATTTTAAAATCTGGGCTATTTTGAAAGACATAAAATAAATCTTACTGCTTTATTTTACTTTTTTACTGACAGTAAAGTTGACTAATTTTTCAGGTATTTTACCAATTTTCATTTTTATATTGAAAGAATTTTCTGATTATGTCATTTCCTTCATTTATCAAAAGATTTAAATTCCTGTGAGCTTTTTATAGATTAAGAATTTTAATCTTTGTCTCACATTTATTGAATATAATACTCCCAACTTGTTTGATTTCTATTTTTGATAAACCTAAGTCTTACATTGCATTGTATTATATTGAAGATTCCACTTGATTATTTTTATTACTTTCCAGTTTAGAAAACTTTTCTTAATCCTTAGATCAAATAACTATTCAGCCATTTTATTCTGTGCTTTTATGTTTTAACTTTTTAATGCTTCTGAATATTTAATCAGAGGGTCAATCATAACTCCCAGTGCTTATGTGTTTAGGAAGAATGAATTACTCCAGATGAACTGTGGTGGGAGAATCTTTTCTCTTAGGGAACACACACTTAGGGATTAAGTTAAAAGATATTTATTTTAACTTTGACAGTTGAATTTTTTCTGTCATACTGCTGAACTTCTTTCTAATCCACAGAGGTACAGCACTATCTCCAAGAGGGATGACCTAGATTCATTCTCTGTCTTACAAAAGTTGAGAGGAGTGAGATCTGTTTCCACATCAGCGATTAGTCTGACCATTGTGATGAGAAACTTAGAACACACGTACCTTCGGGAGACTGAATGGACAATATGGCACGTTAGAGGTTGGCCTTGATGATTTTTCTAAAAAATAAAATAACTCTAAAGATTGCATATTTTCTTCCTCTTAGTGTTTCCTGATGGCTTCCTAACATAACAAATGATTTTCTTTTTTTAATATCAGCTAAACTCATCTTTTATTGCAATATGCTTGGATGTCACTATGCTAAAATTTGAACTAGAGTAATATAACTTATTAGTGGTATTGGAGGCTTTATAGAAATTATTTATCATGTATTCTCTACCCACTTCTAAACCTAGAGCAATTTACAAAAACTTAGATACAATGAAGTCAACAAATCTATAATTACTAAAGTGTAAGTTCTAAGTAATGGGAGCAAGGGTTGGGATAGAGACGGGAAAGACAAGAGTGGAATAATTAAAACATAAAACAGAGCTAAGAGAGTCTGGGGTATAATGAATCAAATAACTCTAAGCTTCCTGGAAGCCAAAGTAAAAGGGAAACATAAGGGACACAACAAATTATCAGGAGAGACGATCTCCTAGCCCAGATCTCTGAGAGAAACTGAACAGTGGGTTGGGAAATTTGAACAATGTAATGAACAGGATCTTCAATACAATTCTGTAACAACTACAGAGACCTTCTTTATATGCCCATTTTTATATTAGTCCTATATAAGTAATTAAGACATAATGTTAATGGTAGTTTTGTAAATGCATTTTTTGAGGAATCAGTTGAGAAGGCAATATTGATCAAAGGGAGGATTTGGAATGAGAATTTAAAGCATAGAAGAAGCTGCAGGTTTCAGGGCTAGTTAGTAGAATTCGAATTTGTGAAATCAGTCTTTTCAGTAGCACATTTGTACGTTATCTGAACATCACTGAAAGAGAGACAAAGTTAAGTTGAGAAGGAAGGGTGGGGGAAACCAAAGAAGGTTTACATTTTGGATCCAGCGTCCACCATGCTCTTTCACGTGATTCAAGAATCTGTGTTCTTAATGACCACCTTTTCTACTCTTCACACCACATAGAGGTAGATTCTTTTTTTCTTGGTAAGGATAAGGATACACTGTTGAATTGAACTGGGGTGAAGAGAAGTGACTTAGGAAAATGATGATCTTTTTTTTCAGAGTTAGTATTTTTTTTTTTCTTTAAAGATGGAGTCTCGCTTTGTCGCCCAGGCTGGAGTGCAGTGGCGCGATCTCAGCTCACTGCAAGCTCCTCCTCCCGGGTTCACGCCATTCTCCTGCCTCAGCCTCCCGAGTAGCTGGGACTACAGGCGCCCGCCACTGTGCCCAGCTAATTTTTTTGTATTTTTGGTAGAGACGGGGTTTCACCATGGTCTCGATCTCCTGACCTCGTGATCCGCCCGCCTCGGCCTCCCAAAGTGCGGGGATTACAGGGGTGAGCCACCGCGCACGGCCCAGAGTTAGTATTTTTAATTTGAAACCCTATCATCTAATTTCCCTGGATTCCTACCTGAGCCCACTTTTGTCCAGTTTCTTCGTATATTATGACAAGATAGTGTTATCAAAAATACAGAAAATGAGAGAAAATACATACGCACAATTACATGACTTAAATACAACTCTATATTCAATTTGGATAAACTGTTCTCATTTTAATATATGTGTATGTATATATATGTGAATATATATAAATTCTTTTTCTAACTTTTGATTATGGAAAATTTCAAGCACGTGGAAAAGTAGACAGAAAGGTATAATGAATCCATCAATTGTCTTCTTGCTGCACCAGTTATTGACATTTTCGCCAACTTCATTTCATCTCTCCCACCTGCCACTTTTTCTCAACATTTTATTATAAAACTTTTCTAATATAAAGAAAAGTTGAAAGATTATAAAATAACATTCATGTGTCCAAGACTTAGATCCTATAATTAACCTTTTCCTATATTTGTTTTATAACATATCTGTCTATCCCTCCACCTATCCATCCATCAATCTCACTTATATTTTGATTATTTCTAAGTAAGTTGCAGACATCAGTTTTTTTCCCCCAAATACTTCAGCTAGTGAATTTTAGAGTGCATTTATTTATACTTTCTTATTTTGAGGTAAAGGTTACATGCAGTGAAATTCACAAATCTTTAGTGCATTGTTTGATGAGTTTTGACATATGCATATTTGACCTATGTAGCCTAAACTCCTATTAAACTATAAAATATAGAAAATAACCATTACCTTAGAAAATCATGCCCCTTCCCAGTCAATTCATGCTTGAACCCCTATTGCAAGGGACAGCCACTTTTCTGGTATTTCTTTTTTTACCTTTAGAAACTGATGTTTCTCTTTTTACCTTTAGAAACCGATGTTTCTCTTTTTACCTTTAGATCAGTTTTATGTACTTTAGAACTTCATATAAATGGATCATGTAGTATATGTTCTTTTGTGTAAGGCTTCTTTCACTCAGATAAATCTCAAAAACATTGTTTTTTTGATATTTATCAATGTTTTTGAGATTTATCTATATTGCATGTATAAGTAATTTGTTTCACTCTTCCACTTTAAAAATTATGAAGTATTTTATAGCAAATGCACCACGTCCTTTTGCCCCTCAATACTTTCATTTTGTTTGTATTCTAATTTATACATAAGGTAGTCTGCCTCTTGTTTCTCTCATCATAATTTTTTCATTTCCCTTCTTTTTTTAAGCCACAGGTCACCCAATGGTTTTGACTGTCTGGATTCCTTATTACTGACACTCTTACATCAACAGGCAGTTTGTGATAGTACCATGAATGAGGGAAATTTAACATTTTCTCGTTGCATGAAACATGTTTTTGCTATATTAAACTTTCAATGTTCTTTTTCTAGAGAATCTTTTTCTTCCATAGATGTTTCAAGAAATTTCTGCCCACTTGATTTTCCCACCTCCATCTCTGTCTGCTTCACATCCCAATCATAGCATTACTCCACTCATCACTCTATAACAGTAACTATTTTACATGAATGATCCTATCTTCATGGATCCTTTGTTCTGTCATCCATAAGCGGAGAACAATCACAGTAAATGAAGTAGGGAATAATGGTGAATTAAGAGTGCAATGTTTACTCTACATGAAAGCTCCTTCTTTTCCTGAATATTTTGATATAAATATTTTAAAAGTTGTTTTATACTTTTTGTCAATTTAAAATTATTTTACTCTCAAATTTCCAGAGAAAAGCTTTTGACCTAAACTACCAGCAGTTTAATTGTGGGACTGGGAATGAACAAGGTGAGCCTATGTTCCGCTTCACCATAGATGTCAGGTTAATTAGTAAAAACTCTAGAAGGAGAAATTTGGGGATTTAATTTTTATCACCCACTGGGGGAAAAAACACCACCTACCAAGACAGTGTTCTCAGTATGTCTGCACCCTGTTATTTCTCCACTTAAAATTTAACATCCAGGATAAAATGCACTCTCTTGGGGGATCACATGTGGTGACAAACACAGTTACTTCCTCTTTTGCAAGAAGCAGAGAAAGGCAAGTGACTTACTTATTTCTAACATATATTGGCACTCAAAATTTTAAGCAAAATATAAAAATTGAGATTTTGTTTCAAAGTATTTCTCATATCATTATATAGTGTATTACATAGTACAATATATGCTTTAAGGAGAAAATAAGTAGTATATCCTTTGAAAACTACAACAGTTTGAATAAACTTACCATAAAATATGCTAAAATGGATAATATGGAGACATTTATAAAAATGAGCTTTCCAGGATTTGGTAGGGTTTTCCTTCTTCTATTTAAAAATGGTCACAACAGGGTATGTAGTGGCGCAAAATTATTATGATAATGACATTGCACTTTGGCATAAAAAGAAATGTCTGCTACAATAAAATGTCTCCCCTCTTTTACCATGTGTCTGTCCTCTTCTCCCATGATATTTCTGTCATGTACCCTAACAAATACTTGTTGAAACAATAAATATAGAATACTTGCTGAAATGATAAGTACAAATACATAAGCACAACTTATGTGGATTTAATAAAACATGGCAATTACCTGGGACTATCATTTAGGAGTTTATGGAATATGTGTAGGTTCATAATCACTTTCATTGTGTTTAATATTCATTCATAAATGAAGTTCAGTGATGTTCGGTGATTTGCTCAAGGTCACAGAGCTGGGAAAATCAGGACTCAAGCCTCGATCATCTGAGTTTATATCTAGTTTTCTCCCTCTTATATCAGGGATTTCCATTAAGGACAGAAGACACATATATACACACAAGTGATTATAACACAAGACCATAAGCAATGAATGATGTATATGTTATATAAGATTCCACACATCACATCCGGATGGGAATATCAGGATGCAACCTTAGATGACAGTGTGCTGAACCTTTCTTCTTGACAGAGTAGAGATAGGCTACATTTCTCTTCAATTCCAAAATATGTATGGTTTCTGCATTTGGATTCAAATGAAATGTGCAAGTGCTCCAGGTTTGTGTGTCCTTTGTAAACACAACTTCCTGTTGGATTTTAGTAAGATTCTGAAATGATTTAAATGACTTCCTGAGTATTAAATAGCTCTTGAAGAGTAAGATCTTGATGAATTATGTGTAATCACAGACACAAATTCAAGACATGAATTTTAAACTTCTCCTCAAATACACGTGCTTAAAAGCAACATAAGGGAAGAAAAGTTTGTAGCAAAAAAATGTTTTAGAATGTTTTCTTTCTTAAATGGTCATAAATTCTATGAAAGGGCAGAGATCTAACAAACAATAATGCCTGTGCGTACTCTTTGTCATCAAACTCACTTTTGTACACTTTTAAAAATACTTTCAAGGCTCTGAGGCAAAAGGTAGTTAGACCAGCTTAGATAGCTTCTATCACCTCTACTCTTTTACTTTCTAGACCCTCAGTGGGGCCACTCAGAACCATGGACAGTTCCCTTCCTGCTCATAGTCTTGGTTTAAAGCCCCCGAACAAGTTTTTCTTTTTTTTTCTTTTTGCAGTTTTTAAATTTATTTTTAATCAATAAAATGCAGTTAGTAATACCAATCTGAAAAATTTACCCAATGCAAACCATTGCCTCGAGGACAATTCAGCATTCTCAAGTCTCAGATAAATTTGATAAGATGTGGGTCTGGCTCTTCAGCAGCCTCTGTGGACCTCTGTGAGGCTTCTGAGTGCTGGCAGGCATTATCCTCAAGCCCTTACTCCAAAGTGGGTACACCAAATATGAAAAAGATCAAATAGGAAAGGGAGAAATATGAACAGTTAAAATGATGTAGGAAAAGTAGTAAGATGAGGAGAAATGTTTAAATTTGAGTGAGAAGAGAGGAGAGAAAACAGAGACTTATATTCTGAGTAGAAGTATGACATGAGAAAAAGCTTCCCTCAGTATGAGTTCTTTGGAGCCTTTGGGAGTGCTCAGGAAATACTTGTTGAAGTACACACCTCAACAGGAGAATTGTGGAATGCTTATTCCATTTATATTAGGAAAAAAAGAGTCCTAAACACCAAGGACCTGGGGAGAAAGCCTATATCAAAAGCAGATTCTCATGGGTTTGAACTTCTGAGCTTTTTTGCTGACGATTTTATGTTCTATTGTTTAAAAAAAAAAAAAAAACTCTTCAGTATGCTGGACCCGAAGCCCAGTGCTACGATTTGAATGTGTTCCTCAGAGTTCTTATATTGGAACGTAATCTCAAATGCAATAGTGTTGAGAGGTGAGATCTTTAAGAGGTAATTAGATCATGAGGGCTCTGCAGCATGAATTGATTAATGCCATTATCATGGGGATGGGTTCATTATTGTGGGTGTGGTCCTTACAAAGGTTGAGTTTAGCCCCTCTATAACTCTCTCTTGCCCATGTAATGCTTGCTGTTATGTTATTATGCAGCAAGAAGGCCTTCATCAGATGCTGGCTCCCCAATCTGGGACTTCCTACCCCCAGAACTGTGAGAAATAAATGTCTTTTCTTTATAAACTACCTGGTATCTGGTATTCTGTTATAGCAGCACACAACAGACTAAGACACTCAGTCAGACAGAAAGAGTTTTTCTTTGACTAATGGAAACCAAAAACTCATGAATACATATAGACAAATCTCTTCCACAAAACATATTCCATATCATGTAGCTGGATGGAGAAATTTTGCAGTTGATAGAGCCTTGTCTAGTGGAGTGCAGAAACTTATTTAGCCTTGGGGTAGTCTGTAATTCTAACTATGTTGTATGCAAAGTCTATGCCAATCTCCAATACAGTGGAACCAAATAGTTTATGGATCAAATGAGAGTAATTTGACTTGCTGGTTTCTGAATGGGACTTAGAATGGTAGTGGCTTAGTTAGTTCAGGCCACCATAACAAAGTACCATAGACTGGGTGGCTTAGAAACAATCTGGAGATTGAAAGTCCAAGATCGGAGTGCCAGCATTGTTAGGTTCCAACGAGCGTCCTCCTCTGGGTTGCATTTTGTCAATTTATTATTGTGTCTTCACATGACAGAAAGAGCTAGTTAGCTCTTTGGCCTCTTATAAGAGCACTAATCCCGTTCATGAAGTCTTCACCTTCATGGCCTAACAACATTCCAAAGATTCCACCTTCAAATACCCTTACATTGGGATTAGGTTTCAATATACAAATATTGGGGGGACACATTCGCTCATTGCAGGTTGTAAACTTGGAGTATATGAAAAAGGTGAGCAGGAAGTAGGACAAGAACTCCAAATTTCATATAAGATGGTGAACTAGCATGGGATGCTGGCTACCTGCCCCCATGGCAAACCTAGAGATGCCTCAGAAGAGTTGGAACAGTAGGTGCATTCCATGAATTCACAAAATATATAGAAAAACCTTTAGAGAAAATGAAAGTAGTTGGGTTTCTGTGTGTGATGAGCAAAAGCAGTAAATATGGCATCTCCTGTGCCAAGAGAGGATGAGAAATGAGATGGGGAAGGGTTGATGGAAAGCTTTCTAATTCTGATTTGTATTTCCTCATTTGCCCAGGGATGATCACTGTTAGCCCCATTGCTATCCAAGGCTAGGAAAGGCAGCAATGGCAATCACTGCTGAGTAAGATTGGGGAATCCAAGATCCTGATAAAATGAAGAACCAACAGGAATCAGTATGGCTCTGATTGGTTGTTTTCCCCTCTATTCAAAGACTAGACAGTTACCACAGAGGCTGCTTGTCCCCAAAAAGGTACCTCAGGGGGTAGTAAACACTGAAGTGGGGATGAAAACAAGAAGTGATTGGATCCATAATACAATACTAGAAGTCTCTGCCTTAAATCATGTTCCTTGATAAACTTCTGAAGGGGCACACGGTCCTGAGACAAAGGTAGACACTGCAATGCAAACCATCTGATCACTCCAAGGGAAAAACGGATGAACTCAAAGGCATTTAATTCATAATTTACTCTAGGAGTGAAGTTGTATCACAATGAGCAATGGCCCCACTCTCAAGGTCAGAGTTATGGAGACAAGGGCAATTAATAGTAGGGAACAACTCTGTCTAGTAGAGAGGTATATTTATTACAATAGAGATTAGGCAGATGTACCAAAAGTCTAGTTGTTTAAAAAAGACAGAAGTTTAGTTCTTGCCCATCAAAGGTGGTCTAATACTGGTATGACAGGACACCAGGATCAAGAGCCTAGTGTCCTTCCATCTTGTTCTGCCATCCTCAATATGAAATTTCCATCTCTTTGTTACAGGCAAAGACACCATCAGATCTGTATTTTAGCCAGTGAGAAAAGCAAAGGGGGAAAAGGAAAGATAGACTTCTTTTCTTTTGAAAGTATGAACTTGGAGCTTGCACAAATCACTTACACTCACACACTATAGGCCAGAATCTAGTCACATGGTCCCACCTAGTTGCGAGTGAGGCTGGGAAATGAGCCTTTGGCTTTGCGCTTAAATAAAAGTTGGGTGTTCTACTACCAAAAAAAATGAAGGTGAGGAGAATATTAAGGGGCAACTAGCATTCTCTGCTACAAGGGACAATCTCACAAGAGTCACTGATCACAGGTCACAGAAGAACAGTTGGAGATGCTTGGTTCTTGGCTGCTTGTGTGGCCTCAGAATAAACTGGGCACTTTCTCAGTGGTTAATTTATGGCAACAAAGTAAAGAGAAAATATGTGATACTGTATAATGTGTAGAAAAAAATATTGGAATAATAAACTACAACTTGATATCAGTAGTTATCTCTGGGAGTGTGGGAATATGGATTGTGTTGTGTATGTGTGTGGTTGGTTTGTAACTTTTTAAAAATAAGCAAGTACACATTGTATATATAAGTGTATCAAAATTTATACTTTTATGACAACCAAACTCTGATGTTAACCATTTGTCATCTCTTCTTATAGTAGAAAAAGTATAATGAGGTTGTCATTCTTCAGACTCTGTATTTTCCATGTCTTAATCATCTTTATTAAGTATCTGTCATCTTGTTGTCACTATCATTCTATAGTCATTCTAAAGCCAAGAAAAGAGTAAAACTGATATTATATACTTGCTGATTTTTATAACTGATGGATTTGGTAAGTATGAGGATTTCAATATTTAAGAGTCAATTGCTATACAAATGAATATATTCCTGTTTTCTACATATATGCTATGAAATGGGTATGTTCCTAAGGGAAAACAGCTTTAGGCATCTTGTAAACCCCACTTAAAACCCATACAAATTAAGTCTCTAAAGATGAAAGGACCAGAGAAGATTGAGCATCTACTCTGAGTCAGGTGTTCTCACAAACATTTTACTTAATTCTTACAGCAACCTCTGTCAGCTGGCTTCATCCTTCTTCTATACTTGAGAAAAAGGAGCCCCCGAGTGCAAAGAAGTCACAGAACTAGTGTCTAAAATTGTTTGTTTCTAATCCCAAAACACGTGCCCCTTTCACTATAACTTATCACCTCTTATACAAAACAAAGTGTGCTGCTTGTCTTGTTTGGAAAAGTTACACATCATACCAAATTATTCTTAGTTTTACATCTGTCCATCATGAAGTGGGGATGTAGCTGATGTGTTCTCTAGTCCTTACAAATCAACTCCTGTATGTGCTGAAGCACATATTCAAAGCTGAATGGTAATTTAAAGCCCTCAGCATGAACTATCTTTCCTAATTTTTTATTTTATGTATTTAACACCTCTAGATAAAACTTTAATAATTATGCCTTTATTCTGAATTTACATTGAAGAGTACACTTATACATGACAAATTGTTTATAAATAAATATTTTTAAACATTGAATGTTTTTAATCATTATTTTTATTTTTGTTTGTGGCTTATTTTGGTTCCACTGGGCCTCCTTTAAGGGGAGCACATTTGTATTATTACATTTATTTGGTGGAAAATGAGACACAATTTTTGAGAGGCTGCCCTGTAGTAAGATTTCCACAGAGATTTTATGGAAGAAGTAGGCTGCAAATAAACTGGAATACTTGTAAACCTGAACATTGCAACCTCGAATATAAATTAACTTTCTACAAAAGATCACTATAATGAGCAATTTAATAATGATAGTTTTGTATTTTAGCTAAAAGTCCAGAAATAGAAAAATAGGAAACATCAGGACCTAAGTGAAGAAATAAATCTAGACTATGTAAAGCTGCTGCCCACACTATACCATTTTCCTCCTGAAATTGCTTTCACATACATAACAACTCATACATCTTTCTTCTTCTCCATGGAAACCTACTTTTCCCTAACAACAATTCTACAAAGCTAATTACTGCCACAAAGATATACGGTACAGAGAAAAGTATTGATCTTGACAATCCTGAGAAAATTGAAATTACTTTGTAAAACACTATTGGTTTGGGCCAACTTTGTGTGAAATGTTTAAATATGTAAATATGATATCTTAATATGATGCAAATAGGTAAGCACTTCTGAATTGTTTAGCATGTCAAATACTTTGAAATAACCAGTTGCACACTCTTTTGAGTTCTAAGACATAACGTGTCCTTTGTGAGACAGAAGGGTTATTCTGCAAATAAGGAATAATTTCTCAATTGTTACAGGTGGACATATGGTTGCATTGATCCAAAAATGCTTAACTGACTTAGACATCCAGAAAGTGGAAAAATAATTTTCTGGTCAAAGGTTAATTTGTTGCATTGCAATACTTGGCATCAACAGGTACATTTTTTGGTGCCACAGTTGTATATCAAGTCCAGCAGTGGGTGTGCCGTTGATTATATGCCAGTGGCAGGCTGCTGAAATGCTATTTTAGCAAGCCAGCTTGTAGTAATTATAATGACTTGACACCTCTGCCCAAATTTAGTGTCAGGAAAGTTGAAAACTCTTTTCTTAGGACGAGTATCTGAGGGGTGTGTGTGTGTTGGTGTTGGGGGTGGGGCGAGAGGGGCGTGCGGTGGTGGGCTCTGTTTTCTGAATTGTCTTTTGTGGAATTTAATTTTTAGAACAAAACACTCATAGTTATTTGAATTGTATCAATTTGATCCAAATGCTTTTAAAGTGGTTATGATCACACAAAAAGTTTCTGGAACTTTCTGTTGTTGATGGGGATCTGCCTTTGGAAAGTGACGATGAAAAGATTATATTAGCTTGCACAGATCTTAGACTCTTATCACCGTTTCGTGATTTTTTTGGTGGAGAGTGCCATTTTATCTTAATATATTTCCCTCTATCTATAAAATAGTGCCCATCCACTATTTTCAATTCATAAAACTGTATACATTTTGTAAGAGATCACCTTCTCAGTGCAATTTCCATAGTGTAAACCAGAATCTATGTTGCTTGATAATATTATTTTTCTTGAACTCCTTTTTTTTGTCAGTCCAATTTGTTTGACTGCAAAATTAAGACCATATTGTCTGGCCTTTTTCTCTTCCTAGTCCCCCAGCAGGTACTCTTATACTTTTCCCCCATGTACTTTCTACTTGACACTCAGGACAGTCTGATAAAATTGCAAATCTGACTGTACTCGCTTCCCTTACTTCCCAAGCACTGAAGTCCTCCTCCCCGGACAGAGGCTGGGGAGAAGGATGGCCTTTGTCTAATAGCTAATTGGAAAATTTCAAGAGGTAATTTCAAGCTTTAACCAGGTTTTTGTGTAGCTAGCAGAGTGGTCATTAAGAAGTATATGGCTTAGTAATGGGTCACTTCTTATTCTTGGCAGGCTCAAGGAGGTACAATTTGAGAGAAGGGGATAAAAGAAAGGCACTAACAGTGCTTTGCATAATAATCTGCTGTACTAACTCCATTGTGAGAGAGGTGACCTTGTAAGTTATGGAACCTTAGGGAATTATTGCCTTTTCCTTTTTACTGGGTTTGTTTGTATTGTCTCTGCCAAATAGTGTTTGTCCTCAAAGACCATGAGTAAGTGTATGTGTGTACACATAAGTATGTGTTCCAACACTTAACCATTGGGCAATCAGAAAAATTGACTTAGCTGCAACTTATACTGGTGGAAGAAGCTCTGATTAGAACATAAAAGCAGTGTCAATGCACACCTGGATATTTCGATAGGATGTAGAATGTCAAAGACTACTATGGACTGTCTTGCTAGACCCTAGGTTGAATAACTCAGATTTATGGTAATTGCTGGCAGCAGACAGATATATCCAGGACTAAGAACAAGACTTGTGTGCACTGGAAAGATGTCTTGGAAGGTTAATGAAGATTTGGAAAAACGTGGGTGTGGAATTTGGACACCCTTCCCCACATACATACTGAGTCCTTTTCCTTTGAGTTATGGGGAGGAACATATTTGCTATGTTCTTTGAGATTTTTTCTTCCCTTCTCCACTGTAATTCTCAACCATGCACGGAATTCTAATATAACTTCAGCCTTAAAGTGTGGAACTATTGGGATAAATAAACAAAGGAGGAAAATGTGTCCTGTCCCACATTTTCCCCTCACTGGGGCCATACAAAGGGGAGCTGTAGCCCATTAGGAGACTCTACCCAATGTCCAAGCTACAACTGCAGTGGAATGAGCAGGAGTGAGACAGCACAGAGAGGTGGGCAGCAACCTACACACTGAAGAAACTTTTGTGTGGACAACTCATGAGCCAGATCAGATAAGCTCTCCCCTCTCCCCAAAATACTGGAGGAAGTAAACACAGAAGATATGGATTACCACTTGTATTCATCATCTTTTTACTGTCCTGATTAGAATCCTTCAATAGCTTCCTATTGTCCTTAGAAAAACAGGCATGTTGGGGCTCAGAGCACAATACCACAAAATATGGCACCTTGGCAATTGAGAAACTGCAGAAGCAAGAAGGTCACTCTGACCTCCTGCCTTTCTCCTCTGAAGCATGGTCATAAAAGAATTTTCTGATCTACCACTCCTGAAAGTAGATGATAAGACCCTCAGGTGACAGGTGCCCTGCAAATCAAAACTACAATGAGACATCATCTCACCCCAGTTAAAATGGCTTTGATCCAAAAGACAGGCAATAAGAAATGCTGGTGAGAATGTGGAGAATGGGGACTGTTGGTGGGAATGCAGATTAGTACAACCACTATGGAGAACAGTATGGATGTTCCTCCATATAAAATTTTGGATCAACTTGTCAATTTCTACAAAGAAGCCAACTGGAATTCTGATAGGAATTTCATTGAATCTGTAGACCAATTTGGGAAGCATTACCAACCTAAAAGATACTAAATTTTCTGACCCATGAATGTGGAATGTCTTTCCATTTGCTTATATCTTCTTTAATTTCTTTCAACAACATTTTGTAGTTTTCAGAGTATATGTTTTGTACTTCTTTTGTTAAATTTATTCCTATTTTATTCATTTTGTAAATGAACTGCAAGCATCTAGATATCATATTTTTTAATTTTTATTTTTATTCAATAGTTTTGGGGGAACAGGTGTTTGGTTGCATGGAAAATTTATTTAGTGGTGATTTCTGAGATTTTGGTGCACCCATCACCTGAGCAGTGTACAGGGTACTCAATGTGTAGTCTTTTATCCCTTGCCCCGCTTCCACCCTATGCCTGAGTCCCCAGAGTTCATTATATCATTCTTATTCCTTTGCATCCTCATAGTTTAGCTCCCACTTATAAGTAAGAACATACGATGTTTGGTTTTTCATTCCTGAGTTACTTCACTTAGAATAATGGTCTCCAACTCCATTCAGGTTGCTTCAAATGCCATTATTTCATTCCCTTTTATGGTTGAGTAGTATTCTATGGTATGTGTGTGTGTGTGTGTATATATATATATACACATAATATATATATTACATAATATAGATACATAATACATATTACATTATATACATAATATATATTACATAATATATATACATTATATATTTACATAATATATATTACATGTATGTATGTGTGTGTGTCACATTTTCTTTATCCATTCATTGGTTGATTGGCATTTAGGCTGGTTCCATATTTTTGCAACTGCTACTTGTGCTGCTATAAACATGTGTGTGCAAGTGTATTTTTCAAATAATGACTTCTTTTCCTCTAGGTAGACACACAGTAGTGGGATTGCTGGATCATGGTAGTTCTATTTTCAGTTATTTAGGGAATCTCCATACTGTTTCCTATAGTGTTTGTACTAGTTTACATTTCCACCAACAGTGTAGAAGTATTCCATTTTCACCACATCTATGCCAACATCTGTTTTTTTTTATTTTTTTAAATTATGGGTATTCTTGCAGGAGTGAAGTGGTATCTTATTGTGGTTTTGATTTGCATTTCCCTGATAATGAGTGATGTTCAGTATTTTTTCACGTTTGTTGGCTGTTTGCATATCTTCTTTTGAGAATTGTCTATTCATGTCCTTTGCCCACTTTTTGATAGGATTATTTGTTTTTTTTCTTGCTGATTTGCTGGAATTCTTTGTAGATTCTGGATATTAGTCCTTTGTTGGTTGCATAGTTTGTGAATATTTTCTCCCACTCTGTGGGTTATCTGTTTACTCTGCTGATTATTTCTTTTACTGTGCAGAAGCTTTTTAGTTTAATTATGTCCAGTCTATTTATCTTTGTTTTTGTTGCATTTGCTTTTGGGTTCTTGATCATGAACTCTTTGCCTAAACCAATGTCTAGAAGAGTTTTTCCAATGTTATCGTCTAGAATTTTCATGGTTTTAGATCTTAGATTTAAGTCTTTGTTCCATCTTCAGTTGATTTTTGTATAAGGTGAGAGATGAGGATCCAATTTCATTCTTCTACATGTGGCTTGCCAATTATCCCAGCATCATTTGTAGAATAGGGTGTCCTTTCCCAACTTTATGCTTTTGTTGGCTTTGTTGAAGATCAGTTGGCTCTAAGTATTTGCCTTTATTTTTGAGTTCTCTATTCTGTTCCATTGGTCTATGTGCCTATTTTTATACCAGTACCATGTTGTTTTGGTAACTACATCCTTGTAGTATAGTTTGAAGTCAGATAATGTGGTGCCTCCATATTTGTTCTTTTTGCTTAGCCTTGCTAAATGAAATTACTTTATTTCCATTTTTAATTGTATATTGCCAGTGTATAAAAATACAATTGATATTTGTATGTTGATTTCATATCCTCCAACCTTGCTGAATTCATTTATTAGTCTTAATAGTTTTTTTAGTTATGTCTTAGGATTTTCTTTATACAAGATTATCATCGCTAAACAGATAGTTTTACTCCTTCCTTTCCAGTCTTCATTTTCTTGTCTAATTTCCCTACCTAGAACTTCCAGTACAATGTTGAATAGAAGTGATGGGAACAGACATCTTTGTATTATTCTTGATCACAGGAGGAAATCATTCCATCTTTTACCATTATGTATGATGTTATCTATATGTTTTTGTTGATGCCCTTTATCAGGCTGCAGAAGTTTCTTTTTAATTCTGGTTTGCTGAAGTTTCTTTTTACCATGAAAAGATGTCAGGTATTATCAAATGCTTTGTTGCATCTATTGAGATGATCATGTGCTTTTTGTTTTTTATTCTAATGATATGGTGTAATATATCAATTCATTTTCAGTGTTAAAACAAACTTGCATTGCTGGGAGTAAATCCCACTTGTTCATAGCATATAATTTTTTTTACATGCTGATGGACTAGGTTTGCTAATATTTGATTATTTTTGTGTCTGTATGAATAATATATACAATTAGTTTTCTTTTTTATGACTTTGTCTTATTTGGATATCAGAGTGATACTGGCCTCATGAAATGATTGAATTGGGATGTGTTTCTCCTATTCTTCTCTTTGGAGGAGCTTGAAAAGGATTGGTATTCATTTTTATTTAAATATTGGTAGAATTCACCTGTGTTGACATCTGGGCTTGGACTATTTTTTGTAGGTAATTTTGTGATTACTAATTCTATCTCTGTACTTGTTATCCTTGTTCATCTTTCAAGTGTGCATTCTGCTATTTTTAGGTATAGTGTTCTGCAAATATCAATTAGACTACATGTTATGTTTTGGTTGTGCCCTCCCAAAATTCATACATTGAAACTTAATTACTAAGGAGATGGTGTTAGAAGGTGAGACCTTTGGGAGGTGATTAGGTCATCAGGGCAGAGCCCTTATGAATGGGATTAGTGCCCTTATAAAAGAGGCTTGAAGAAGTGTGTTAGCTTTTCTGCCCTTCTGCCATATGAGGACACAGCAAGATGTGCTGTCTATGAAGCTGCTCTCACCAGATACCACATCCACTGACACCTTGGTCTTAGAATGTCCAGCCTCTAGAACTGTGAGCAATATATTTTTGTTGTTTATAAATTACCCAGTTTCATGTATTTTGTCATAGCAGCCTGAATGGACTAAGACACTAAGTTAACTGATATTGTTGCTCAGATCTTTTGTATTCCTATTGATTTCTTTTTTTCTAGTTATGCTGGCAATTACTGAAAGAGGTGCGTTCAAATTTCCAACTCCATTTATGGTTTTTTCTGTTCTTCCTTTTAGTTCTGCAAGTTTTTGTTTTGTATACAGTGAGGCTCTATTATTAGATGGATACACCTTTAGGATTATTATGCCTTGTCAATATATGAATTTTTTTTCTTATCATAAAATGTCTCCTTTATCCCTGGTACTACTTGTAGCCTAGTGTGTCTGTAAGAAGTTTACTTTGTCTGATATCAGTATAGCTATACCAGTTTATCTTACTCCACATAATTTGTTGACCAGTAATTACTGGGTCTTGATTTACATGGAGCACCAGATAATCTTCTTTTCCCAATGTGGGAATGAGCTTTCTAGTCGGATTCCTTCTTGGGTTGTGCTGAACCTTAAGATGGTGACTAGAGATATTTACCTGATGGTGCTTAAATGGTATTTCATTGATAAGTAATGTAATCTTGTCAAGATTTAAAGCAAATCTATATGGATAATATATAGATTATTTGTGG